>NC_000008.11:138130844-138432922 GCF_000001405.40 Homo sapiens | reverse complement strand
GTTGGGTACCTGGACTGTTTTACAAACATTAAGGTTTTCTGGGGCCCCGTCACCCCCCAACAAATTGAATCAAGCTGAGCCATGGATCTATACTACTGTGTCTAATTTGATGTATATTCATCAAGAATGTACTGTGTGTTCACTCTGTGTTAGATGTCATGGTACATGTGTATCGGAACCAGCTATGGTCATTGACCTTAAGGAGTTCCTATGCTAATAGAAGATGAAAGAGCAAAATATCTACCAGTTAGATTTTGCCCTCTTCTGTTAGTGATGATTAGATGGGAGGTACCTGATGCTACGGATGCTATCCCTATTTTAGGGATGTGGATAACCTGCTTAGGGCAAAATAACCTGTATAACTCTCTCTATATATCAAGCAGAAGGAGAAAAGTACCAAGATGGGTAAGATGACACACCTGGTTTGCAGGACATGGTCAAAGACTGCACAGAAGACCATGATATTAGAGACTGTTGTTTGGGAACAGGTGCAGTTTCAGCAGACAGCTTGGAGTAGTGGAGACCATGCAAGCTTTGGATCCAAAGTGTAGGAATTTGAATACCACTCTTGCTCCTTACCAGCAAGTCCCTCTATCTGGGAAGCTCTTTCACAGAACCTAAGGCCTGTTCATTCTTATCATTCAGGGCTACATTCAGGCATCATATCCTGTGAGATTCCTTCTCTGAACACGTTTTATAAAGGAACATTTTACCTTTATGCTGACTACAATCACTTTCATATCAGACACTGTTGGGGTCCAGTAGTCTCTCCTCTTTTGTGCCAACTTTGTTTATACATGTATCCCTCCTCAACACAATTTAGGGGAGAAGGAGCCTACACCCATCCCCAGGGATCGTTCTGATGGGTATTAGCCAGTTGTGCTGGTCTCCTTCCCTGCCCAGTGGCTGGTTTAGGGGAGGACACATGACACACTTCTGGCTGATGAAGTCTGGTATTGTTGGTTATCTTTGGGTGCCTCTGGGAATGATTTTGTTTTCCTCCCAAGAGAGGCATTCTTAGGAGTGGCCTTTCCTCTGGAGGATGCTCTCTTCTCTTCTTGACTCTCTGTCAATCTGAGTCTGGAGTATCTGTATTCCATCTTGCAAACCTAAAGGGACCCAGCCTTGCATGAAGCTGTAGCCTGAAGGCCACAGAATGGAAAGATGCGAGGATCCTGAGTCCCACGTGACAGCAGTGATTCAGGACATGATATTGTCTTCCTCAAAATCTTCATTTATGGGGGATAATACATTTCTCTATTGTTTAAAACAGGGATTGGAAAAAGTTTTCTGTTAAAGGCTAGATAGGAAATATTTTAAGCTTTGCAGGCCATGTGATCTGTTGGAAGTACTTGAAGATGCAATTGTCACATGAAAGCAGCCATAAAGTATATGTAAATAAATGGGTGTGGTTGTGTTCCAATAAAACTTTATTTACAAAAGCAGTTGTCAGACTAGGCCTATGGGCTGGTTTGTGGACCCCTGGTTTAAGCCATTTGAATCAGCATTATCTCGTTCTTTCAGGTGAAACCATGTCCACTAATGTATTCTCTCTTTCTTTAACCTGATTCATTTAATTAAGAGGCATATTATGAGAAATTATTTACTTGTTTGGTAGTTCAGTCTGTCTGTCACTGGAATACAAGTCCCAAGATGGCAGGGGCATGTTTTCTCTTTCCTAGCACATAAGAGAAGTTTCATTAGTGTGTAAGTGTGAGTGAGTTAGTGAATGTGTGTAAGCTAATTAATCTCTTTCAGTTTCAATTTTAGTTTGATTTTCCCCATTTTCAGTGGTTAATGATAATGTTAGCTGGAGGTGAACATAAATTCTGGTGTATACCTGTTGTCTCTATGTAAATTTCATAAGGCTTTCACTCTTAAAAGTATCCTTAGATAATTAATTATATTAATAGAAACTGTATGGAGACTTACTCTGTGTGGGCATGATATTAAGCTCATTTTATACATTATTTATTCCCTTGGGAAATTTCGTGGTGGTATTCCCATTTTAGGGATGAGGAAACTGAGGCTCAGAGGTGAAATAACCTATCCATGGACATACAGCTGATGGCAGAGCTGAAATGTTTGACTCCAAAGAACAGTTTCGTAATTATTATATTCTGGTAGATTTTATTCCCAAAGATGCCTGTAATAATATTTCCTGTCTTATCCCAGTTGCTCTTTCACAAGTTGACTTTATCACAGCCCCACTGGGAGGCAGGGTCTTTTTACCCCCGTCCTCGAACCCAGGCCAACTCTGCCACCTGGCTTAAAAAATAGAATGTGGAAGAAGTGATCCTGTTTTCCTTCCAAGTTTGAGCCTTAGGAGATTCACAACTTCCACCGTCACCTTGTGGAATGTATCCTCTTGGAGGCCAGCACCTGCCCAGCAGGAGAGAGAGGTTATGTTGAGAGAAGCACATCCCAGCCTCAGCTGAGAGCTCCCAAGCTGGATGTGGAGGTGCCCATCTGAGTTCTGCTTAAATTCCTGATCCATAGAATTGAGAGCAAACAAATCATTATTAATTTAAGCCACTGAGTTTCAGGGTGATTTTATGCATGTATATTAAAAATACATACTAATTGTCCTTGCAGTGTTCTTCTGAGCTTCGGAAGAAGCATATACCAAGCATCTTACTGGGTGTGTGGCACATAACAGGTGATCAGTAGTGACTATTGTTATCAATACAGATGGAAGTGGGAACAGCATGGGCACAGTGAGGTGTTTATGAAGCAGCAGCCGTTTGTTGCAGAGTAAGCTTCCTGAAGGATCAGGAGAAGACAGAACTGGGAAGGTGGTGAAGGCGTGGAATACCATGGGAAAAATTTACATTAAATTTGCAATCACTATAGCCCTTCTCTAGAAAGTGCTGCGTTGGCTGAAATTTCATACTTCTGGCATGCTATTAAAGAAACTCGGCATAGTAGAAAGAGTTTTGCATAAAACAAAACCAACAAAGATAGGGCCTAAAACCCATTTTCACCCTATCTTGCTGTATGACTGTATGACCTAGAATTTATCTTCTCAGGCCTCAGTCAGTTTCTTTCTCCAGTATGGTAGTTGGAGAGTGTTTCTGAAAAGGGCTTTCTGGATGTTAAAAAAACATAGTTCTAATTTTTAAAGTACCTAAGAGCAAATATCTGTTGTCAGGATAGTGCCTTTGATCTCTGCTCTGGACTGGCCGCCAACATCTCTGCCTCTGCTGTTCTACTTGTAAGCTAGTGTTTTAACCCAGCTTAAGACAAAACACAGTCATCATATTGGATTTGCAAGTAGTCATTAACAGAAAGCTGTCCTTGCTACAAGCTTGTAAAATTGCTATAAAGGAACCAGAGAAGAGGCTCTGAAAACAAATTAGCATTTCAGAGAAGCAGTTGGAGTTAGTCAGCTTTCTCATTTCTTTTGTCGTCAACAAATTGTTGTTTGCTTCCTTTACGTGCCAAGAAGGTGCAGTTAAAATAGAGTTCGTCACATGGGGCTTGGATTCAGACACGTCCCACATTTTTTCTCCAACAATGGTGGTAGCCACAAGGATAGCAGCAATAATGGTGATGATAATAAAAGCCAATTCAAGGGAGAGCTATTAACCACCTATCATATACCATGCAAGTTTTATAGGACATGGGCTCAAAGTGTGAATAGGACATGGTCCTGTACTTGTGTTACTCATAGCCTGTAGGCAAATAAATTACAGTGAAGTGAGGGTAAGTGCAGAGGTACAAATAGTGCCAGGTTTCTTAATTTTACCTAAGGAATAGGAAACCTTCCCAGACCTCATCAACTAGATCCAATGCCCCGTTATACTCTTTTAAAGATACCCATATTTTTTGTCCATAGCATTTACCACAATTGGAAATTGCATTTCAGTGTGATGCATGTGAGCACTCCCCTTCTCCCCCACTACAAAAGATAAGCTCTGAAGAACAGGGAGTATGACTTTTTATTCACCATTGAATCCCCAGTACGTTGGCCACTGCCTCCTACATAGTAGGCCCTTGGGGGCAGTTTGTGGAACGAAATAGAGGCATAAATGATCTGATAAGACTCCCCAGAGAATGAGATATTCAAATTAAATTTCGAGGTATAAATAGAAGCCTGCATCCAAAACAGCAGAAACAAAAGCAAGTCTAAAAATAACGGGCAGTTTAAAAGGAAAGTGGGACCTCATTAGCCCTTTGTTATGAATGGGCAGGGATCCCTACTAAGACTCATGAACATGTGGATCTTTAAGGAGGTAGCTTTTGTGGTGGAGGGAGCCTGGCATAAAAGTATCAAGAATCAGTGGGTTCTAAGTTTGCTTCCTGCCAACATTAGCTGGGTGAACTTGAGGGCATTGCTTGACCTCTCTGTGCTACCATTAACACACCTGCAAATTGAGGAATCATGACTCCAATTTTATGATTCCTCTGTTACACAAGATATGAGACAATGAGACAATGGCCTAGGCACTGAAATAAATCTCTGCCTTAGTACCCCAGCTGTAAACAGAGAAATCACAATTATGTTGCAAGCAGAGACAGCTTGATGTCTGGATCTATCATTCTGAAAGTTCGTAATTTCAGTAGTCAATTACTAGCTAAGATAGTTTGGGCGTTGGACTGTATACTAGCTGTGGTTTTGAGTCCCAAGTTCTGTAGGCCCTAATTGTGTAGGATAGATCTATGTATTACTTAGTCAACGGGAGACTTCATTTTCTTATTTAAAAATGGGAGGACAATGCCCAATTCCCATAGTTACTGTTAGTTTATTTTATTTTATCTTTTTCTGTTAAAAATATCAACAGACTATCAGTACTATTCCAGGGGATGATTGGATTATAAATTAACATAAAACATTTAGCCCAAAGTTTGACACCCAACTAATGGAAGCCTATTATGATCGTGGTGCTGTTATTGCTATTGGAGAAGTAGGCAAAGTATCATGGGAGTTAAAAAGAGTGAGAGGACTTTGAAGAAATAGGTACGCTTTGCACAGGTTGGTGGATGAGAATTCTGAGAAGATGGAACCATCTGGCTTGAGACCAGGTGGAGAAATCCATGGGGCATATTTGGGATGAGTAGGAAGTTTGTTATGGCAGGAATAAAAGATGTATCAATGAAGTACAGGCAATATAAATTAAAATATGGAAAATGATCAGGGAATGATGTTACATCGATTTCAACAGCAATATACAATATATTGTACATTCTAGGGCTCGATTGACATAGCTATGTTATGTAATGTGTTTAGATCTACTCTTAATAAGTGCTGCTACATGGTTTTCTAAACAATGTAGTGGCCTAACCTTAATGTAATAGCATTTACAGGACACGTTTACTCACTCACTGACCCATTACAAGTATTTATTATGCTGGCAAGTTGTTGCAGTGTTAAGTTTTCAAATTTCATTCTCACTTTCACTTAGTGAAAGTAGATATCATAATTATTGTCTCATAGGTCAAGGTTCAGAAAACTTAACTTATATTTTTGAATGATAGTTTTTGTTTCAGGATAAAAAATGAGAAATTTTGGAGAAATCAATTTAAAAGCCATGTCTCAAAATTCAGTGCCATGTAACAAACTTTTAAGTATTTTATTAAAATATACATTTGTAGAATGCATATATATATATTTGTAGAATGCATAAATATTATATATATATATATATAATCTTGATGAATTTCTTCCAACTCAAAGATTCAGTTTAACTAGCACCCAGATCAAGAAACAGAATATCACCTACACCCCCAAAACTCCCTTTTGTTCCTGTCTACACATAATCACTCCCTCTTCCCCACTACCAAAGGTATTTACAATCCTGAGTTATAACACCATAGGTTAGTTTTGACTATTTTTGAACAGGTTTATACAAACAGGATCAGACAGTATATATTTTTTCTGTTTGGCTTCTTTTGCTCAAACATTATTATGCAATTAATCCAAATTGCCATATAGAATAGTATTTTATTCTATTATATCATAATTCTTGTCTCATAAGTCAAGGTTCAGAAAACTTCATTTGTATCTTGGGAAGATAGTTTTCATTTCAGGATAAGAAAATAGGAATTTTTGGAGAAATCGAGTTAAAAGCCATATCTCAAAATTCAGTGCCATGTAAAAAATTTTTAAATATTTTAAAAGGTAGATATCATAATTCGTGTCTCATAGGTCAAGGAATATGTGTTTAGGTCTACTCTTAATAGATTCTTAATAGAATAATAATATCTTAATCCTGTCTTAATAGAATAGTATTTTATTCTCTTTGCCATGAAGTGTTTTAAAGTATGACTATACCACAATTCAATTACCCATTCTAATGAGATTTGTATAAATTATAGTATTAGATTATGATAAAAATGATAATAGCATTCTCATACATGTCTTTTAATGTATATATATACACATTATATATATGTATACATATATTATACATATATAGTATACATATGTGTATATAGTTGAGTATATCACCAAGAATGGCACAGTTGTGTAATGAGGTACATGCATGCTTAGTTTTAGTAGATATTGCTAAATAGTTTTCCAAAGTAGCCATACCAATTTACACTTCTCCAGCAATATACAAAAATTTCAGTCATTTCACATCCACATCCACACTTGGTAATCTCTGCTTTTATATTTTAGCTTAGCCATTCTGGTCAATATGAAGTGCCATATTATGATGTTATTTTGTGCTTACCAGATTACAAATGAAGTTTGATGTAGTCTTCCTTGGTACAATATTTTGATGTACAACTTGAGGCTTAGAGTTTTTTCTGGTTGTGCTTAGCATTATATATATATATACACACACACACACACACACATATGTGTATATATATATATAAAACATACATAAAACATTTTATATATGTGTGTGTGTGTATATATATATGTGTGTGTGTGTGTGTGTGTGTATATGTATGTGTGTGTATATATATATATATATATATATATATATATATATATATATATATATATGTTGGCCTGGCTGGTCTCGAACTCCTGACTTCAGGTGATCTGCCCGCCTTGGCCTCCCAAAGTGCTGAGATTACAGGCATGAGCCTCCACGACAGACCCCATAGTATATTTATATTCTCCAGTTCCTGTGAACTTTTTGCTGGTGTAAACCGAGCCTCATTCTTTTATGTGACTTCAGCACCTAGGACAGTACCTGACCAACAATTGTTTGACCAAAGTTCAGGAGAAAGCATGGTATCTACACTGAGTAAGAGTTGAAGCCAGGATGAAAAGCCAAGCCTGTCTGTATTCATTCTACTCTGAAGAGGGTGAATGAGGCTTAGCACACTCTTTCTTCTCCATTACACTAGAATCATTCCAAATGGAATGTTCATTTAAGCCAATGAGAGGAGCTGCTCTGAACAATAGGATTCTGGATGGCCACTATAGAGACCACACCTTCAAGAGCCAGAGGTGCTTTCTCTCTGGACAGTTTTATGAATACATAAGGAGGTTCTGTCCCCACTCCCTTCGCAACCGCATCTTATTGGTGAGAAGCCTTACTCAGAATAATATTTACCTTTTCACCAACTACACATGATGTTTCCAAGCAAATGCTTGTGGCCTGAAAGCTATGCTCTTTGAGATCTGGTCCTGCTTCTTATTTGCTCTGTTTGAACTTTGGTCAGATTGCTAGTGCTCTGAGTCTTTTCCATCTGTGATACTGAGCAATCTTACCCACATCAAAGGCTGCTGTAAGGATCAAATGTATCCATGTATATAATACTCAGGAGAGTTCATGGCAACAAGTGAACACCCACTCAATGCCAGCTCTTATTACTTTTAAAATATATAATGCTTGTACACATTATGGTAGCTCTTATTATGAATGGTGAAATTAAGTCAAAGATAAGGATGACCATGTGGTTGGCCCAACATGGCTTTGGGATGAATTTGTGACAGACATATTCTGAAGTGACAGATAATCAATGGAGTTGGCTGGCTCATTGAGCCTTACAAAGGCTAAATGGTAGCAATGCACTGTAATGTACTTTGAATAGCAACCTGAGGAATGAACAATATTCATAAAATTCAATGTGATGGATGGTTCAAAAAATGTCATGGTTTGTAATTTTAGAAAGCAAAGACAAAATGGAATCCTGAAAGTTTTCCCTACTCCTCATAGTGTTATTTTACCCATCAGTTTATTTATTGAGACAACAACTAAGTATCCAATAAGTAGAGGCACTAAAATCTAGTGGAATGGACAAGAGTTTTGGGGTAAGGCACATCTGAATTTGAATTCTAATGTCATTGCTTCCTAATTGTGGATCCTTGAACAAACCACATAACCTGACAGAGCCATAATTTTCTAGTGTTAAAATAGGGAGAGCACTGGGAAGTTGTAAATATTCATTGAGATAATGCATAGAAATTGCTTAGTCTGACATTTAGCACTAAGAAACTACTTTGTCAAGGGTAAATTTTAAAGTAGATACCCATTTGTGCAGATCTTTGTGCTAGAATCTAAGAAGGTATTGAAGATATATACATCTACATGTCTTTCTCACTGTTGTGGGAAGTCAGGGACCTCGAACGGAGGGACCGGCTGAAGCCATGGCAGAAGAACATAAATTGTGAAGATGTCATGGACATTTATTAGTTCCCCAAATTAATACTTTTATAATTTCTTACGCCTCTCTTTACTGCAATCTCTGAACATAAATTGTGAAGATTTCATGGACACTTATCACTTCCCCAATCAATACCCTTGTGATTTCCTATGCCTGTCTTTAATATCTTAATCCTGTCATCTCATAAGCTGAGGAGGATGTATGTCGCCTCAGGACCCTGTGATGATTGCGTTAACTGCACAAATTGTTTGTAGAGCATGTGTGTTTGAACAATATGAAATCTGGGCACCTTGAAAAAAAGAACATGATAACAGCAATGTTCAGGCAAGAGAGAAAACCTTAAACTCCAACCGCTGGTGAGCTGGGCAGAACACAGCCATATTTCTCTTCTTTCAAAAGCAAATGGGAGAAATATGGCTGAATTCTTTTTCTCAGCAAGGAACATCCCTGAGAAAGAGAATGCACCCCTGAGGGTAGGCCTCTAAAATGGCCCCCTGGGGTGCAGCCGTCTTTTATGGTCGAGCTGTAGGGATGAAATAAGCCCCAGTCTCCCATAGTGCTCCCAGGTTTATTAGGATGAGAAAATTCCCACCTAATAAATTTTGGTCAGATAGGTTGTCTGCTCTCAAACCCTGTCTCCTGATAAGATGTTATCAATGAAAATGTGTGCCCGAAACTTCATTAGCAATTTTAATTTTGCCCTGGCCCTGTGGTCCTGTGATCCCGCCCTGCCTCCATTTGCCTTGTGATATTCTATTATCTTGTGAAGCTGATGATCTCTGTGACCCACACCCTATTCATACACTCCCTCCCCTTTGAAAATCACTAATAAAAACTTGCTGGTTTTGCGGCTTGTGGGGCATCACGGAACCTACCGACATGTGATGTCTCCCCCAGACACCCAGCTTTAAAATTTCTCTCTTTTGTACTCTGTCCCTTTATTTCTCAACCTGGCTGATGCTTAGGGAAAATAGAAAAGAACCCATGTGAAATATCGGGGGTGAATTTCGCCCGATATCTGGCTGAATTTTCCCCGATATCTCCCTAAGTAGAAAGCAAAGGCTTTTTTTCCGCTAACTTTTATTTTAGGTTCAAAGGGTAAAAGTACAGATTTTTTACATAGGTAAGTTGCCCCTTGTCTGGGTTTGGCTTACAAATTATTTCATCACTCAGATACTGAGCATAGTACTCAAAAGGTAGATTTTCAATCCTCACCCCCCTCCCACTCTCTACCCTCATGTAAGCCCTGGTGTCTGTTGTTTCCCTATTATTGTACATGTGTACTCAGTGTTTAACTCCCACTTATAAGTAAGAACATGTGGTCTGTGGTTTTCTGTTCTTGTGTTAATTTGCTTAGGATAATGGCCTCCAGCTGCATCCATGTTGGCGGCAAAGAACATGATTTCATTCTCTTTTATGATTGCATCGTATTCCATGGTGTATATTGACCACATTTTCTTTATTCAGTCCACTGTTAATGGATATGTATGTAAATTACATGTCTTTTTGCTATTATGAAAAGTGCTGCAGTGAACATATGAGTATATGTGTCTTTACAGTAGAACAATTTATATTCAATTGGATATACACCCAATAATACAATTGCTGGGTTGAATGATAGCTTTTTGTTTTTGTTTTTGTTTTTGTTTTTTTCAGAAATCTGTAACCCAAACTGCTTTCTACAGTGGCTGAACTAACTTATATTACCATCAGCAGTGTATAAACATTCCTTTTTCTGTTATTTTTTGACTTTTTAATTGTAGCCATTCTGACTGGTGTGAGATGATATTGTAGTTTTGATTTGAATTTCTCTAGTGATTAGTGATGTTGAGCATTTTTTCATATGCTAGTTGGCTGCAGGTATGTCTTATTTTGAGAAGTGTCTGTTCATGTCCTTTGGCTTTTTAAAAATGGGGTTATTTGTCTTTTGCTTGTTGGTTAAAGTTTATTATGGGTTCTAGATATTAGACCCTTATTAGACAAATAGTTTGCAAATATTCTCTCCAATTCTGTAGGTTTTCTGTTTAATCTATTAATAATTTCCTTTGCTGTGCAGTAGCTTTTTAGTTTAGTGAGGTCCCACTTGCCTATTTTAGTTTTTGTTATAATTGCTTTTAGAGTCATCGTCATAAAATCTTTGTGAAGGTGGATGTCCAGAATGGTATTTCCTAGGTTTTCTTCTAGGGTTTTTATGATTTCAGGTTTTATGTTTAAGTCTTTAATCCATTTTGTGTTGACTTTTTTGTGTATGGTGAAAGGGGGAGTCCAGTTTTAATCTTCTGCTTATGGCTAGCCAGTTATCCCAGCACAATTTATTGAATAGGGAGACCTTTTCCATTGCTTGTTATTGTTGACTTTGTAGTTGTGTGGCTTTATTTCTGAGTTCTCTAACCTGTTCTGTTCCATTGGTCTATGTGTTTGTTTTTGTACACATACCATGCTGTTTTGGTTTCTGTAGCCTTGTAGTGCAGTTTGCAATTGGGTAATGTAATGCCTCTAGCTTTTTTCTTTTTCCTTAGTATTGTTTTGGCTATTCAGGCTCTTTCAGTTTCATATTAATTTTGGAATAGTTTTTTCTAATTCTATGAAAATGATATTGGTAGTTTGATAAAAATAGCATTGAATCTGTAAATTTCTTTGGACAGTATGGACATTTTAACAATGTTTATTCTTCCTATCCATAAGCATGGAATGTTTTTCTATTTGTTTGTGTCATTTCTGACTTTTTTCAGCAGTTTTTGTAATTCTTGCTGTAGAGTTCTTTGACATCCCTGGTTAGCTGTATTCTTAGGTGTTTTATTATATTTGTGACTATTGTGAATGGGATTGCATTTTTTATTTGGTTCTCAGCTTAGACATTAATTATGTATAGAAATGCTGATTTTGTACATTGACTTTTGTATCTTGAAACCATACTGAAATTGTCAGTTCTAAGAGCTTCTATACAGAGACTACGGGATTTTATAGGTGTAAAACCATATCATCTGTGAAAACAGATAGTTTGTCTTACCTTTTCCCTATTTAGATATATATTTTTTTTTGACAGAGTCTCGCTCTGTTGCCCTGGCTGGAATGCAGTGGTGCAATCGTGGCTCACTGCAAGCTCTGCCTCCCCAGTTCATGCCATTCTCCTGCCTCAGCCTCCTGAGTAGCTGGGACTACAGTTGCCTGCCACCATGCCTGGCTAATTTTTTTTGTATTTTTACTAGAGACAGGGTTTCACCGTGTTAGCCAGGATGGTCTCAATCTCCTGACCTCATGATCTGTCTGCCTCTGCCTCCCAAAGTGCTGGGATTACAGGCGTGAGCCACTGCACCCAGCCTGGATGTCTTTTATTTCTTTCTCTTGCCTTATTGCTCTGGCTAGTACTTTGAGCACTATGTTAAATAGTTGTGGTGAGATTTGGCAGCCTTGTGTGGTTCCAGTGCTCAAGGGGAATGCTTCCAGCTTTTGCCCATTCAGAATTATGTTGGCTTGTAGGTTTGCCTTAGACATCTCTTGTTATTTTGAGGTATGCTCCTTTAATTCCTAGTTTGTTTAGGGCTTTTAATATAAAGGGATGTTGAATTTCGTTGAAAGCCTTTTCTGTGCCTATTGAGATGATCATGTGTTTTTTGTTTTTAGTTCTGTTTATGTGATGAATCTCATTTATTGGTTTGTGTATGTTGAAACAACTTGTCATCCTAGGAAAAAAAGCCTACTGATCTTGGTGGGTTAGCTTTTTGATGTGCTGGTGGATTTGATTTGGTAGGAGTTTTACATCTACATTCATCAAGGATAGTGGACTGTTTTCTTTTTCTGTTGTGTCTCTGCCCAGTTTTGGTGTTATTAATAGAATGATGCTGGCCTCATAGAGTGAGTTAGAGAGGAGTCCCTACTCCTTGATGTTTTGAAAATATTTCAGTAGTTTTGGTGTCACCTGTACTGTCTATATCTGGTAAATTTTGACTGTGAATCTCTCTGATCCAGGGCTTTTTATGATTGATAGATTTTTTATTATTGATTCAGTTTTGGAATGCATTATTAGTCTCTTGAGGTGTTCAATTTCTTCCTGGTTCAGTTTTGGGAAATTTTATGTTTCCAGGAATTTTATCAATTTCTTGTAGGTTTTCTAGTTTGCATGCATAGAGGTGTTGTAATAGTCTCTGAGTGTTTTTTCTTTTTTTCTGTATTCCTGTTGGGTCAGTGGTAGTGTCCCCTTTGCCATTTCTAATTATGATTATGTGTATCTTCTCCCTTTTTTCTTTATTAGTCCAGTTAGAGGTCTATCACTATTACTTATTTTTTCAAAGAACCAGATTTTGGTTTTGTTGATCTTTTGTATATATTTTTGTATCTTGATTTCATTCACTGAATCTCAATTATGGTTATTTCTTTTCTTTTGCTAGCTTTGGAGTTCATTTGCTCTTGTTTTTCTGGTTCCCCTAGGTGTGATGTTAGGTTGTTAATTTGAGACCTTTCTGTAACTTGATGTAGGTGTTTAGCACTATTAACTTTCTAACACTGCTTTAGCTGTATCTCAGAGATTCTGGTATGTTGTATCTTTGTTTTCATTAGTTTCAAAACATTGATTTCTGTCTTAATTTCATTCTTTACCCAAAAGTTACTCAAGAGCAAATTGTTTGATTTCCATGTAATTGCATGGTTTTGAGATATCTTCTTGATATTATTATTTTTAATTGTGCTGTGGTCTGAGAACATGGATATGATTTTATTTTTAAAAATTTGTTGAGAATTGCCTTATGGCCAAATGTGTGGTTGATCTTAGAGTAGTTGCCATGTGCTGATAAGAATAATGTATATTCTGTTATTGTTGGGTGGAATGTTCTGTAGATGTCTGTTAGGTCACTTTGGTAAAGTGTCGAGTTTGGGTTCTGAATATCATTGTTAGTTTCCTGCCTTGATGATATGTCTAATACTATCAGTAGGGGGTTAAAGATTCCTATTATTATTGTGTGGCTATTTAATTGTCTTTGTAGGTCTCTAAGAACTTTTTTTATGAGTCTGGTGCTCCAATGTTGGGTGCATATGTATTTAGTATAGTTAAGTCTTCTTGTTGAGTTGAACCCTTTATCATTATGTAACACCATTCTTTGTCATTTTTTATTGTTGTTGGTTTAGAGTCTGTTTTCTCTGAAATAAGAATAGCAACCTCTGCTCTTTTCTGTTGTTTTCTGTTTGCTTGATAGATCTTTCTCCATTTCTTCACTTTGAATCTGTGGCGTCATTGCATGTGAGATGGGTCTCTTGAAGACAGCATACAGTTTGGTCTTCTTGCTTCTTTATCCATCTTGCCACTCTGTGCCTTTTAAGTGGGGCATTTAGCCTGTTTATGTTCAAGGTTAATATTCATATGTAAGGATTTAATTCTGTTATCTTATGTTAGCTAGTTATTATGTAGACTTTATTGTGTAGTTGTTGTAGTGTCAGTGCGCTATGTGCTTAAGTATGTTTTTTTTTTTTTTTTGTGGTTGGTGAGTGTTTTTTTTTTCTATGTTTAGCACTCCCTTAAGGACTTCTAGTAAGGCTGATGTGAAAAGAAAATCTTTTTCAGATCAGCAAACACTAAGATAATTGGTTACAGATTTGTTAACAAGTTCCCTTAGTGTTTGCTGGTCTGAAAAGGATTTTATTTATCCTTCATTTACGAAGCTTAGCTTTGCTAGATATAAAATTCTTGGCTGGAATTTCTTTTCTTTAAAGATGCTGAATATATGCTTTCAATCTCTTCTGTCTTGTAAGGCTTTTGCTGAGAGTTCTGCTGGTAGTCTGATGGAGATCCTTTTCTACATTATCTACCTCTTCTCTCTAGCTGCCTTTACTTTTTTTTTTCATGTTGACCTTGGAGAATCTGATGACTATGTGTCTATAACTAATTTTGAATGGTCATCTTGTATAGCATCTCGCAGTTTTCTGGATTTTCTGAATTTGTATATTGACCTTTCTAGTAAGGTTGGGGAAATTTTATGGACAATATCCTCAAATATGTTTTCAAAGTTGCTTGCTCCCTCTCTTTCTGCGATGCCAATGAGTCATAGGTTTGGTCTTTTTACATAATCCCTCATTTTCCCAAGGTTTCATTCACTTTTAAAAATTCTTTTCACTTTACTTTTGTCTGAGTTGGTTTGAAGAACCAGTATTCAAGCTCTGAGATTCTTTCATCATCTTTGTATATTCTGCTGTTAATACTTCTGATTATATTATGAAATTCTTATAGTGAGTTTTTCAGCTCTAGGAGATTACTTTTGTTCTTTCTTAAAATAGCCATTTCATCTTTCAGCTCTTATATAAATTTTATTGGATTTTTTAGATTCCTTGGATTGGGTTTCAACTTTCTCCTGAAACTTGATGATAATCATTATCATCCAGATTCTGAATTTGACGTCTGCCATTTTAGCCATTTTAGCATGGTTAAGAACCATTGCTGGGAAGTTAGGGCACTCCTTTGGAGGTAAGAAGACTGGCTTTTAGTGTCACCAGAGTTCTTATGCTTATTTTTTCTCATGTGAATGGGTTGATGTTCCTTTAATGTTTAAAATTACTGTATTTTGGGTGGGATTCTTTGATGCTTTTGACTGTGGTATAGTTTGGGCTTAGTTAATTGGCTTAATTTCTCATTGATTTCAGGGGTCCAAGGCTTAGCTCAGCACTCTTGGGCTGTGTGCACTAACTGTGGTAGTCTGGGACCAGGCCTGCATATTTTTTCTCTCTGGCCTCTCGAGGTTAAGCACCTGCTGTGTTGGAGGAGCCAAGGTGTCCCCAGTCCATTGGTAACAATACTGTCATGGGCAATGCTGGCAAGCATGCTTCAGCAGGGCAGTGGTGGGGCAGTGGCTGGTCCCATGTACACATTCATGCCAGTGGCAGCCAGGGGAGATTGTGGGCGAGTGAGCACTAGCAAAGCAGCAAGGAACGGCTGGGGGTGAGTATACACCAAAAAAGCAGCATGGGGAGAGGGTTGCTGGTGGTGAGGGCCTGCCTATGGAAGCCCTCCAGCTTTAGGCAGGTCTGCCAGTGAAAGAGCTATGGTGCAGGCCACTGGCAGGTGCCTGGGCTGGGCAGCTGAGGCTGTGTTGCAACTAGGTGCAGTCAGGCAGGGACTCTGGGATAAGCCAGCAGATGAGGACAGTCAGATCAGACTGGCCCCCTCCCATGGGAAAGATAGCCCTGCTCTGTTCAGGTCTGTCAGTCAATCAAGGCTAAAGCCAGCTAGAGGGGTATTGTGAGCCTAGGAGGATGAGCACCAATGACTGTGCTCCACTATAGTTGTTCCCAAGCCATATTCTCTAAGCTACATGCAGGCTGGAGTTCTGTCTCTGCCATCTCTCTGGGCAGTTTCCTGCCAGCTTAAATGTCCATCGGGGTTGTGGAATCTCCTGAAGCTAGGATTCTGGAGGTCCATGATGAGACTGGGCCACTCCATGCCTCTTTCACACACCTCTTCCCCAGGATCCACTCTGGGCCAGGACTGAGTCCTGGTGCTTGGCAACTCCATGCAGGGCTTCTACCTTCCTCCCCTTTTAGCCTTGCATCTGCACCCTCCCTCCATTCACTCTCTGTGCCTTCTTTCTGGAGATCTGTTTGGAGTGTGCTAATCTTCTTGATGATTTGGTATCTTGGTGGGAGAAGCTCTTCCTGTCCACATCTAGTCAGCCATCTTGCTCAAAAGTAAAATCTTTGGGAATAGGAATTATGTTTGTTTGGTTTCAGCTCAGTATCTCCAGTGCTTAGAAGAATATCTGACATACATTGGTGTATAATAACTAATTTTTGAATGAGTGAATGAGCAAGACATAAATCTGACCCTCTGGAACTTATACAGAGAAGGGGAAAAGATAGACTAAAAGGATGATAACACAAGATAAAAAGTGAGGCATTAAAATATGATTATGCATATTATTATATTTTACTCCAGCTGTATTAGACTGGATGAAATAAAACAAGTACCAAACATTGTGCAAAACAACAGGTCTTATGTATTATGTAAGTCACATGCCCTTAGGAGGTGACAACATTAATATCTCATTTTGCAAATTAAAGGTTCAGGGAGGTTAGGGAATTTGCTAAGGATCATGTAACTAGTAAGTGGCTGGTCTGTTTGACTTAAGCTCCTGTGCTTTAACCTCTCTATTGCTCTGCTTTACTATTCTCCTAGTTTTGTACTCCAAAAGTACAGAGAATTAAGATTTATTTTGTCCTGGGGGATCAAGGGAAAGTGCCATCTAAACTGTGCCTTACAAACTGAGCTGAATTTTGATACATGAGGGAGGATGAAGAAAGAGAGTCTTGCAGACTGGGCAAAAAATTGAGGACCAGGCATGAATGCTCCAAGGGAAGGGAGAGGAGGTTGTCCAAAAGGCTGCAGAGAACATTGAGGCTAGCAAAGGGCATTGAGGGAAGAACAGAGAGGGCTTTGACTGCTATGCCAAAGAAGTAGAATTTTAGTTTCTAGACACCGTGAAACCAATGGAGATATTTGATAAACACATAACCATGTGAAACATATTTCAGGAGATGGGCCTATGGGGATGTGAAGGATCAGAGCAACTTGTTACTATGTCACTGTCATTCATTCTCAGATGCTGGAGAGTATTAGGATTCCCCTTGGGGCCATATTGTCTTGATTAGCTCTTCACACTAATTAACTCCCTCTTGCCCTTCTGTCTTCCACCAATTAAATTATTGATGATCTCCTGCAAAGTCATCCTCGGCTTTTTTCCTTGGGAAGCTTCATGGGAAATGGAAAGAGTTGTAACATAAATTCAGGAGACCTGAGCTTCCCTCCTATCTCTGATGCTACTTCGCTGTGTCTGGCAGTGTCTCTCCCCATCCCTGGGTCTCAGGTTCCAAACTCTAAATTGAGAGAGCTGGCCTGGAAAGTTCCATACTGGGCAAAGACTCTATGATTAAATCATTTGTCTTTGTCACCACGAGAGCTAAACTGGGAGCTATGAGAGTGTTGTGAGGTCAGAGTCAGTTCAACATTGTGGGAAGGGAGCTGTTAATAACAGGACACCTGCTCTGGGCCAGATGCTGTGTGAGTCCCTTTACTCATGGTAACATAGCCCACCAACTTAGATTTGCAAAAATGGAGCTGTTTTTTGTAGTTGAACCTCATTTTTATTCTAATCTCCAGGCCATAGATTAACAACAACAGCAAAATCAAGAATTTCTCCTCACTTTTCTGTGAGGTTGAAACCAAGTTCTTGGATTTCCAGAGAGCTATAGTATTGGAGTTGAGAATTGAGCATGGGGATTGAGTATTTAGCTTGTGATCATTATCTTCCTCACCAGCATCCTTTGAGTTTTACATCTTCCCATAGGATCCTCAGTCATTAACTTCTCACTGCTTATCCCGAGTTGCTACTTCTGGATTCTGGACCCTTTAAGGTCCTTTGATAGGAAACCATTTGGTGCTTGGAGAACTCAGGGACCTGCTGTGTGCCCAAATTCGAATGAGGGATGAGGACACAGATCATCTCTGCACAGAGATTCCTCCATGTCATTTCATGTTTTTTTCTTTAGAATTAGGACACTCAGCCAGGTTTGAAGGTGGGGTGAGAGCATGCATGGAGCCTCTTAGTGGGGGACTGGTAAGTGCTACAGCCATCTTCACTTCCCCTTTGACTCTGTCTCAGATTCTCTTAGTCCAATCAAACTCTATCCAGTTTTTAGGTTGAAGAGTGGGGAAAAAAATTAATCAGTTAATAATCTCTTGAAGCTACTATTCATGGCCAAATTCCTGGAGTTTTGAAGTTTCAAATTCTTTGTTATTAAATTAAAATCTTACTCATTAAATTCAAAAGTCTGTTTGAAAACTTAAAATTAAGGATAAACTATTCTCTTCTTATGTCTGCAATTCTAATGCACCATCTCTTTTGGGGGGTGTTTCGGGAATGAAGAATGCCCAATGGCCCTAGATTATAGGTAGAACAGGAACAACAGTCTGTACTAGAAGAAAACATCTCTTCATGTTTCAAAGTTGTTCTCCATTCATTCCTGTGATTGCTGCTATCATCCTTTGTACAAGGTCATGCAGGCACATATGGTTCAGTTGTATGGATGAGAAAATTGAGGCTCAGTGGGTGAGCTGACTTGTCACAGGTCACAACCTAGAAAATAATATATCAGATATCCTCTATATTCATTATTTAGGTAGAAACAGAATGAACTGTCTCAAGTGCTAATGAGCTTCTTATATATTTTTTGTGCATATATATATATATATATATGTATTTGTGTGTGAACAGGGGAACTTAAGCATATTGTATTTATTAAATTATCACACACATTCTTTGGTCTCAAAAGTCATTGATCTGTAGACATTTCCAAGGTTGTAGAACTTTGGACACTTCATGCTCTCACTCTTGAAAATAAGGTTGATGTTAGAGGTGGGATATTGGGAAGTGAAGGGTGTAGGCCTAGCCAAGGCAAGAGGGGAGGTGAAAAATGCTTGTCACCCACCCCCCCAGGTTTATTCTGCACGTTTTACCATGTCATCTCATAAGCTCTGAAGTGCTAGAGGAGGAGGGCCAGATTGTCTGCCTTGCTGAACTGCACTGATAACAGCAAACTGGGTGCAGGCTGAATATGGAACTGGTTGAAAGAGTGTGAGTTTTTATTCCAGTCACCCTAACTTTCAACACAGAATTGAGTAGCTTTCAGATTTATGTTGAAATTGTCAGCACGACATTCAAGGGAAAATTGGTTTTAGTCATTCTTCTTGCTTTATTGGATTTATTCATTCATTCAATGAAGAGTATTAAGCACTGAAGGTGTTAGATGAATATACTATGGTTGTTGTTCCAGCAAAGTTTATAATGTTTTTTATGAAAAATGAATAAGGCAGTCAGATGTTCTAGTTTCTTCTGAGATCTCAGAGAAGGAACACTTCGTCCAAAGGGAGGTTTTTAGAGAAGGCTTCCTAAGTTGCTGGATGAGACAAACTTTAAAGTGGTATCATTAAAAATACATAATAATTAACTAGAAATTTGGATGCTATTTGTGGCAGGGGGAGTAGATGAGCAAAGACTTGGAAGTATGAAAGGGTGATGAGACAGGGGAACTCTACACTGGAAAGTACCAATAAGGAATGAAGAGCAAGGGAGGGAATGGGTGGAAGGAGTTACAGGAGAGTGAGTTAGGAGGGAAAAACTTCATCAATTCTATTTGAAACTTGTTCACTGAACTGCTTTGTGTCTTCCATTTTGTTATCTTCTCTCATGAAGATAAGAAAGAGGCTATAAGAACAAAATAAAAATATAGGGAATTATAAAACTTTCAAATTAAAAGGAATACGGTCCGGGTCACTCAACCATACAGAGAAGAGGCTTGATAGTTTCACTGACTGAGCATCTCTGATGTATTAGACAATGTCCATCCTAGCTTAGATTGCCCAGAAATCACAGCCCAACAAAGGCTTCTGCACATGCAGTTTTGGGAGATGTGATCCCAGGGAGCAGGAGAGAGAGTCAGGAAGCAAATCATGGAAGGAGAGATTGCTGATGCAAGTGTTGCCAGGTGGCTGTCTCTGTAGGTATTGTTGCATACTTTCACAGTTACCATACAACAGTTCCTGAAAAGCAGTAAGAAATGTATCTCAGGATGCCATTTCCAGGAAAAAGGAAAGGGGAAATCATGTATTATCCATTGTTCCATTGCCCTCTGGTCAAAGATTTGCACCATAGCAAGTTAACTTATCTGCAAAATAGACATGCGTGGGTGCAAGGCAGGTGGGAGGAGACAGGTACAATATAAGACAGAAGCAAAGTCGGACCAGATTCCACCTGCATGAAGGTGACTGGAGCCCAAGCAAGACTGGTCACCTCAAAGATAACTGGATTCGGAGCCAGGTGAGTCCCAGAGGACCTGAAGAAGTGTGTTGGAAGAATCTGATGTGAACACTTTATTAGTCTTCTCTGCTGTGTAACAAATTACCCCCCAAGGTTAGCAGCTTGAAACAAAAACGTTTATTTTGTCACAATGTCTGTGATCAGGAATCTGGGTGTGACTTAGCTGGATTATCTGCCTGAGTCTCTGACTAAGCTGCAATTAATGTGTTGCCTGGGGCTGCAGTCCTCTTAAGAAGGACTCACTTCCTTTTTCTTTTGTTTCTTTAAATAATTTCAGCTTTTATGTTAGATTCAAGGGGTACATTTGCAGATTTGTTGCATGAGTATATTGCATGATGCTGAGGCTGGGGATACAAATGATCCCATCACCCAGGTAGCGGGCATAGTATCTAAGAGTTGGTTTTTCAGCCCTTGCCCTCCTTCCCGACTGCCCCTTCTAGTAGTCCCCACTGTCTATTGTTGCAATTTTTATGTCCATGTCTAACCAATGTTTAGCTCCAACTTATAAGTGAGAACATACGGTATTTGGTTTTTTGTTCCTGCATTAATTTGCTTAGGAAAATGGCCTCCAGCTGCATCCATGTGGCTGCAAAGGACATGATTTTGTTTCTTTATGGCTGCAGAGTATTTCATGACACATATGTACATTTTCTTTATTCAGTCCACCACTGATGGGCACCTAGGATGACTCTATGTCTTTGTTATTATGAATAGTACTGCTATGAACATACAAGTACATTCTGGATATTAGCCCTTTGTCAGATGAGTAGGTTGCGAAAATTTTCTCCCATTCTGTAGGTTGCCTGTTCACTCTGATGGTAGTTTCTTTTGCTGTGCAGAAGCTTTTTAGTTTAATTAGATCCCATTTGTCAATTTTGGCTTTTGTTGCCATTGCTTTTGGTGTTTTAGTCATGAAGTCCTTACCCATGCCTATGTCCTGAATGGTAATGCCTAGGTTTTCTTCTAGGGTTTTTATGGTTTTAGGTCAAACGTTTAAGTCTTTAATCCATCTTGAATTGATTTTCGTATAAGGTGTAAGGAAGGGATCCAGTTTCAGCTTTCTACATATGGCTAGCCAGTTTTCCCAGCACCATTTATTAAATAGGGAATCCTTTCCCCGTTGCTTGTTTTTCTCAGGTTTGTCATCAGATAGTTGTAGATATGTGGCATTATTTCTGAGGGCTCTGTTCTGTTCCATTGATCTATATCTCTGTTTCGGTACCAGTACCATGCTGTTTTGGTTACTGTAGCCTTGTAGTATAGTTTGAAGTGAGGTAGAGTGATGCCTCCAGCTTTGTTCTTTTGGCTTAGGATTGACTTGGTGACGTGGGCTCTTTTTTGGTTCCATATGAACTTTAAAGTAGTTTTTTCCAATTCTGTGAAGAAAGTCATTGGTAGCTTGATGGGGATGGCATTGAATCTGTAAATTACCTTCGGCAGTATGGCCATTTTCATGATATAGATTCTTCCTACCCATGAGCATGGAATGTTCTTCCATTTGTTTGTATCCTCTTTTATTTCCTTGAGCAGTGGTTTGTAGTTCTCCTTGAAGAGGTCCTTCACATCCCTTGTAAGTTGGATTCCTAGGTATTTTATTCTCTTTGAAGCAATTGTGAATGGGAGTTCACTCATGATTTGGCTCTCTGTTTGTCTGTTGTTGGCGTATAAGTACACGTATGTTTTTGGTAAAATGATTTATTTTCTTTCAGATATTTACCCAGTAATGGGATTGCTGGGTAGAATGGTAGTTCTGTTTTATATTCTTTGGGAAATCTCCAACCGCTTTCCACAGTGGCTGAGGTAATTTACATTTCCACCAGCAGTGTATGAGCGAATGCTTTTCTCCACAGCCTTGCCAACATCTGTTGTTTTTTGACTTTTTAATAATAGCCATTCTGACTGGTGTAAGATAGTATCTCATTATGGTTTCGGTTTATGTTTCTCTGATGATTAGCGATGTTGAGCATTTTGTCCTAAGTTCACTCAAATTGCTGTGGGTAGGATTCTGTTCCCACAGGCTGTTGTCTGGAAGCTTCCCTCAGTCCCTTGGCTATATCGCCAGTTCCATAAGGCAGTTTACAACATGGCACTTGCCTTTCATCTGACCAAGCAAGAGAGATCAAGCAAGGTAGAAGCCAGAATCCTTAGGATCACACAAGGGCATCGACACCAGGAACAGGGCTCACTGGGGCTATCTTAGAAGCAGCCTGCTACACAAACTGCATTGCATTTGGGAATCAGGGAAGTCTCAGGGGTGTGGTCATTTTATGCCACCAAGGACTTCACCTCAGAGTCTTTTCAACCTCTCCTCCTCCTGGAGCCCTTCCTGGTAATATGTAAGCCCCACTTAGAAAAATATCTGCTTTCTCTAAGTCAGCCTTTACAGTGGCAGCTCCAGGCACCATCCTGTCCTTGCTGCAGAACCTTTTCACTCTCACCAGCAGTATAAAATATTGACAGTGTCTCATTCAACTGTGAAAGGCAATGCAATGACAGTTTAGAATGTGGGCCCTGAAGCTGAACTTTGGGGTTCAAGTCCTAGCTTTATGACCTTGGTCAACTCTCAGACTTCCATATCCTCTTCTTGCATACATCACTTTTTTTTTTTTTTTTTTTTTTTGAGACGGAGTCTTACTCTGTCGCCCAGGCTGGAGTGGAGTGCAATGGCGCGATCTCGGTTCACTGCAAGCTCCGCCTCTTGAGTTCATGCCATTCTACTGCCTCAGCCTCCCAAGTAGCTGGGACTACAAGCGCCCACCACCATGCCTGACTAATTTTTTGTATTTTTAGTGGAGACACGGTTTCACCACGTTAGCCAGGATGGTCTTGATCTTCTGACCTCATGATCCACCCACCTCGGCCTCCCAAAGTGCTGGGATTACAGGCATGAGCCAACATGCCCAGTCTGCTCTTTACTTTATTGTCCTTCCTAGGTGATGCAATTTTTACAAATTAAAGGTTTGTGGCAACCCTGCCTCCAGCAAGTCTATTGGCACCTTTTATTTTTTTCCAACAGCATGTGCTCACTTTGTGTCTCTGTGTCCCATTTTGCTGATTCTCACAATTTTCATACCTTTTCATTATTTTTATGTCTGCTGCGGTGATCCATGATTAGTCTTCTTTGATGTTACTATTGTAATTGTTTTGGCTGCCATGAAGCATGCCCATGTAAGACCGTGAACTTAATTGATAAATGTCGTGTGTGTTCTGACTGCTCCACCTACCGGCCCTTCCCCCATCTTTCTCCTCTCGTTGGCCCTCCCTAATCCTGGAGACACAACAATACTGAAAATCGGCCAATTAATAACCCTACAGTGTCCTCTAAGTGGACAAGTGAAAGGAAGTGTCGCATGTTTCTCGCTTTAAACTAAAAGCTAGAAATGATTAAGCTTTGTGAGGAAGGCATGTCAAAAGCTGAGATCAACTGAAAGCTAGGCCTCTTTTGCCAAACAGTAGTCAAGTTGTAAATATAAGGGAAAAGGTCTTGAAGAACATTTAAAATCACTTTTTCAGTTAACAGATGAAAAGCAAGCAAAATAGCCTAATCGCTGAAATGGAGAAAGTTTTTGTGGTTTGAATAGAAGACCAAACAAGCCACAGCATTCCTGATATGTTTTGGCTCTGTGTCCCTACCCAAATCTCATCTCAGATTGTAACCCCACGTGTCAAGAGAGGGACCTGGTGAGAGGTAACTGGATCATGGGGGTGATTTCCCCCATGCTGTTCTCATGGTAGTGAGGGAGTCCTTATGAGATCCGATGGTTTAAAAGTGGCAGTTCCCCTGTGCTCTTGCTCTCTCTCCTGCTTCCATGTAAGCCGTGCTTTGCTTCCCCTTCACCTTCTGCCATGATTGTAAGTTTCCTAAGGCCCCCCAGCCATGCAAGACTGTGAGTCAATTAAACCTATTTTGATCATAAATTATCCAGTCTCAGGTAGTATATTTATGACACTGTGAGAATGGACTAAAAAATTCCCTTAAGTAGAAGCAAAATCCAGAGCAAGGCCCTAACTCTTTTCAATTCTATAGTGGCTGAGAGAGGTGAGAAAGCTGCAGAAAAAAATTTGGAAGCCAGCAGAGGTTGATTAATGAGGGTTTAACGAAAGAAACCATCTCTATAACATTAAACTGCAAGGTGAAGGAACAAGTACTGATATAGAAGCTGCAGCAAGTTATCAGTTAGAAGTTAGAAGATCTAGCTGAAATCACTGATGAAGGTGGCTACCCTAAGGAACAGATTTTCAGTGTAGATATAAACAGCCTTATAGAGGAAAAAGATGCCATAAAAACCTTTGATAACTAGAGAGGAGAAGTCATTGCCTGGCTTCAAAGCTTCCAAGGCTGACGTCTTTTGTTAGGGGCTATTGCAGCTGATGACTTTAAGTTGAAGCCAATATTCATTTCCCGTTCCAAAAATCCTAGGGTCCTTAAGAATTACACTAAATCTACTCTGCCTGTGCTCTAGAAATGGAACAACAAAGCCTGGATTACAGCACATCTATTTATAGTATGGTTTACTGAATATTTAAGGCCAGTGTTGAAACCTACGGCTCAGAAAGTAAAAAAAGATTCCTCTAAGAATATTACTACTCCCATTTGTCAATTTTGGCTTTTGTTGCCATTGCTTTTGGTGTTTTAGACATGAAGTCCTTGCCCATGCCTATGTCCTGAATGGTAGTGCCTAGGTTTTCTTCTAGGGTTTTTATGGTTTCAGGTCTAACATTTAAGTCTTTAATCCATCTTGAATTAATTTTCGTATAAGGTGTAAGGAAGGGATCCAGTTTCAGCTTTCTAAATATGGCTAGCCAGTTTTCCCAGCACCATTTATTAAATAGGGAATCCTTTCCCCACTGCTTGTTTTTCTCAGGTTTGTCAAAGATCAGATAGTTGTAGGTATGCAGCATTATTTCTGAGGGCTCTGTTCTGTTCCATTGATCTATGTCACTGTTTTGGTACCAGTACCATGCTGTTTTGGTTACTGTAGCCTTGTAGTATAGTTTGAAGTCAGGTAGCGTGATGCCTCCGGCTTTGTTCTTTTGGCTTAGGATTGACTTGGCGATGTGGGCTCTTTTTTGGTTCCATATGAACTTTAAAGTAGTTTTTTCCAATTCAGTGAAGAAAGTCATTGGTAGCTTGATGGGGATGGCATTGAACCTATAAATTACCTTGGGCAGTATGGCCATTTTCACGATATTGATTCTTCCTACCCATGAGCATGGAATGTTCTTCCATTTGTTTGTGTCCTCTTTTATTTCATTGAGCAGTGGTTTGTAGTTCTCCTTGAAGAGGTCCTTCACGTCCCTTGTAAGTTGGATTCCTGGGTATTTTATTCTCTTTGAAGCAATTGTGAATGGGAGTTCACTCATGATTTGGCTCTCTGTTTGTCTGTTATTGATGTATAAGAATGCTTGTGATTTTTGTACATTGATTTTGTATCCTGAGACTCTGCTGAAGTTGCTTATCAGCTTAAGGAGATTTTGGGCTGAGACATTGGGGTTTTCTAGATATACAATCATGTCGTCTGCAAACAGGGACAATTTGACTTCCTCTTTTCCTAATTGAATACCCTTTATTTCCTTCTGCCTAATTGCCCTGGCCAGAACTTCCAACACTATGTTGAATAGGAGTGGTGAGAGAGGGCATCCCTGTCTTGTGCCAGTTTTCAAAGGGAATGCTTCCAGTTTTTGCCCATTCAGTATGATTTTGGCTGTGAGTTTGTCATACATAGCTCTGATTATTTCGAGATACGTCCCATCAATACCTAATTTATTGAGAGTTTTTAGCATGAACGGTTGTTGAATTTTGTCAAAGGCCTTTTCTGCATCTATTGAGATAATCATGTGGTTTTTGTCTTCGGTTCTGTTTATATGCTGGATTACATTTATTGATTTGCATGTATTGAACCAGCCTTGCATCCCAGGGATGAAGCCCACTTGATCATGGTGGATAAGCTTTTTGATGTGCTGCTGGATTCTGTTTGCCAGTATTTTATTGAGGATTTTTGCATCAATGTTCATCAAGGATATTTGTCTAAAATTCTCTTTTTTGGTTGTGTCTCTGCCCGGCTTTGGTATCAGGATGATGCTGGCCTCATAAAATAAGTTAGGGAGGATTCCCTCTTTTTCTATTGATTGGAATAGTTTCAGAAGGAATGGTACCAGTTCCTCCCTGTACCTCTGGTAGAATTCAGCTGTGAATCCATCTGCTCCTAGACTCTTTTTGGTTGGTAAGCTATTGATTATTGCCACAATTTCAGATCCAAAATTGACAAATGGGATCTAATTAAACTAAAGAGCTTCTGCACAGCAAAAGAAACTACCATCGGAGTGAACAGGCAACCTACAAAATGGGAGAAAATTTTCGCAACCTACTCATCTGACAAAGGGCTGATATCCAGAATCTACAATGAACTCAAACAAATTTACAAGAAAGGAGCAAACAACCCCCATCAAAAAGTAGGCAAAGGATATGAACCGACACTTCTCAAAAGAAGACATTTATGCAGCCAAAAGACACATGAAAAAATGCTCATCATCACTGGCCATCAGAGAAATGCAAATCAAAACCACAATGAGACACCATCTCACACCAGTTAGAATGGCAAACATTAAAAAGTCAGGAAACAACAGGTGCTGGAGAGGATGTGGAGAAATAGGAACACTTTTACACTGTTGGTGGGACTGTAAACTAGTTCAACCATTGTGGAAGTCAGTGTGGCGATTCCTCAGGGATCTAGAACTAGAAGTACCATTTGTCCCAGCCATCCCATTACTGGGTATATACCCAAAGGACTATAAATCATGTTGCTATAAAGACACATACACACGTATGTTTATTGTGGCACTATTCACAATAGCAAAGATTTGGAACCAACCCAAATGTCTAACAATGATAGACTGCATTAAGAAAATGTGGCACATATACACCATGGAATACTATGCAGCCATGAAAAATGATGAGTTCATGTCCTTTGTGGGGACATGGATGAAATTGGAAATCTTCATTCTCAGTAAACTATCGGAAGGACAGAAAACCAAACACCGCATGTTCTCACTCATAGGTGGGAATAGAACAATGAGAACACATGGACACAGGAAGGGGAACATCACACTCTGGGGACTGTTGTGGGGTGGGGGGAGGGATAACATTAGGAGATATACCTAATGCTAAATGACGAGTTAATGGGTGCAGCACACCAGCATGGCACATGTATACATATGTAACTAACCTGCACATTGTGCACTTGTACCCTAAAACTTAAAGTATAATAATAAGAAGAAAAAAAAAAGAAAAAAAAAGAATATTACTACTCATTGAAAATGCACCTGTTCACCCAAGCACTCTGATGGAGATTAATTTGTTTTCAAGCCTGCTAGCACAACATCAATTCTGAAACCCGTGGATCAGGGGGTAATTTTGACTTTCAAGTTTTATTATTTAAGAAATACATTTAGTGAGGCTATAGCTGCAATAGGTAGTGATTCCTCTACTGGATTTGGGAAAAGTAAATTGAAAACTTTCTGGAAAGGATTCATAATTTTAGCTGCCATTAAGAACATTGGTGATTCATGGGAGGAGGTAAAAATATCAACGTTAACAGAACTTTGGACGAAGTTAATAGCAACCCTCATGGATGACTTTAAGAGGTTCAAGACTTCAGTGGAAGAAGTAACTGTAGATGTGTTAGAAGTAGAAAGATAACTACAATTAGAAGTGGAGCCTGAAGATGTGACTGAACTGCTACAATCTCATGATAAAACTTTGATGGATGAGAAGTTGCTTCTTATGAGCGAGCAAAGAAAGTGGTGTCTTGAGATGAACTGTACTCCTGGTGAAGTCGTTGTCATTGTTGAAATGACAACAGAGGATTTAAAATATTCTATAATCTTAGTTGATAAGGCAGCTGTAGGATTTGGGAGGATTTACTCTAATTCTGAAAAACGTTCTACTTTGGGTAAAATGTTAGCAAGCATGCTATCACATGCTACAGAGAGATCTTTCATGAAAGGAAGGGTCCAATGACATGGCAAACTTCATTGTTGTCTTATTTTAAGAATTTGTCACAGTCACCTTAACCTTCAGCAACTATTACCCCGATCAGTCAGCAGCCATCAACATTGAGGCAAGACTCTCCATCAGCAAAAGATATGGCTCACTGAAGGTTCAGATGATTATTATAATTTTTTAGCAATAACATAGTTTTAAATAAGATGTGTGCATTTTTTTAATTAAACATAATGGCATTGCACACTTAATAGACTACATTATAGTGCGAACATAACTTTTATATGCACTGAGAAACCAAAAAAATCCATGAATAGTTATTTTTATTATTTATTTATTTTATTTAAGTAGCAAATATTTAGTGATATTTGCTTTATTGTGGTGGTCTGGCACTGAACCTGCAACATCACCAAGGTATACCTATAATTGAATATAAGAAAATCACTCAAAATGGTGTAAGATTACCTATAATTTTCTTTGTGTATCCTGTTCCTAGGATTTCTCAACCTTAATACTATTGTTGTGCAAGTACTTCCCTATTCATGTTAGGATGTTTATCCACACATCTGTCTTCTACACACTAAATGCTGATGGCTCCCTCCAGTATTGAAAATTAAAAAATGTTTTCAGACATTGCTGGCAAAGTTGCCTCCGACATCTAGTTGAGAACCTCTGCCTCATACCAATGAACAGCTTAGAAAATTTGCTGCATGAAACACTGGAGGAACACTGAGGTGTAGGTCTTTGGGGGAGGGGAATGGGCAGATAACCATTCAGAAGAGGCACAGAATGTGCTAAAGGGACCAAGTTTTCAGGGTTGCTCTGCCTAGAGCAAAAGGTCATGGTCCAGCCCCACTCTCCATTGGTATTGGGATGCCTTGTCAACCTTCTCTAGCTCAGTTTTCTTATCTGCAGAGCAGAGATAAACATTTATGAATTTTTTATAGATTGTTATAAGGATTAAATCAAATAATCCCTGTGTAACAATATGAGGAAACTTTATATTTCATAGCAGCAGACTCCTTTTTGTATGAAGAACTCTATGTTGTTGAGAATCAACAATTTGGTGACCTGTTTGAATGAACCCTCCCAATAGACTTGACTTGGATATCATGAATGATATCCGGGTTGTTCTCCAAGGTTGGTGATGGGTCTGTCTACCTGCAGGGCTGGTTCTCTCACGTAAAAGCATGGGAATGGAAGGTGAGAGGGCTTTGTCTGGACATTTGAAGGGTTGAATGGGAAGAGGGAGAGAAGGGGTTTGCCTCTGGAAAGGAACTGGTAAGGAGTTGTCTCATTGGATCATCAGTATGTTTTGCTGTGGAGTAAGTGAGATAAATATTTTCTCATTTTAGTTCAGGATGCTATAACAAATACCATAGACAGGATGGCTTAAACAGCAAACACTTATTTCTCACAGTTCTGAGGCTGGGGTCTCCACGATCAAGGTACGAGCTGATTTGCCATTTAGTAAGGGCCTGCTTCAGTTTGCAGATGGCCGTCTTTTTGCTGTGTCCTCACGTGGCAGAGAGAAAGATCATCTCTTTCATGTCTCTTCTTGTAAGGTCACTCATCTCCCTTGAGAGTTTCCACCTTCATGATCTAATGGCCTCCCCAAAACTCCACCTCCAAAAACCATCACATCAGGGGTTAGGGCTTTACCATGTGAATTGTTTGGAAAACACAAACATTCAGTCCATAGTGCTCATTTCCTCACAAATTCTAATTTAACTTGCATTATTCACTTTTGCACTGGGATGATAACCTTGGTAGTGTAGTATAGTGACTGAGAACAGCAGTTCTGGAGTCAGAATGCCACAGTGAATTCCAGTCCTGTCCCTTCCTACTTTTGGACCTTGGCCAAGTTATTTACTCTCTTTGTATCTTGGTTTTATCATCTTCAACAGGGAGCACCTACTTCTCTGCATAGAGGTGAGTTAATGTAGGGGAATCACTGAATGCAAGGTCTGGTCCCAGAGTCTCTGGCTATGTTGTTTATAATGGTTATTTGAGGGTGCAGACATAACAGAATTGTGGGTTTTGCCTGAGGTGAGCTACAGTAAACAGAAGCCATCTGGTCCTTACACACCTGGGTCAAAAACATCAAGAGCTGAGCACAGAATCAGAAATGAACATTCTTCCCAGTTAACTTCTTGAATGTGGATTCTATTTCCCACGAAAAACTGAGAAATCCCTTGTCATTAAGTGCCCTGACTTCATAGGCCTTTATACAATACCAGAAATACCCTTTGTGTTTCACGCCCAAGGGAAGGAAGGATTGAGTCTGTTGAAAAGGCAGTGTTCCAGGTACTGCTGAGTCTGCGGATTTCTAAGCCCCCAGTGATTTTGGAGTTGACCTGCAGCTATTCCTTCTCTTTGTTTTCTCTGCGTAAGAGCCCTTTTGCCCGTGGAACTTCAGCACCAGTTCTCACTCTCTGTCTCTGTCTGTCTCCACCTCCCACCCTCCTCACACACACACACAGACACACACACACCAGGGACAGGCATACAGTAGACAGTGGTAACTCTTTGTAAGCGGACTGGTATCTGAGCAGAATAAATATCTGTGGAGAGCAGAGCTTACCTGGGAAAACCATGCCTGAGTTCCCAGAATGCTGATACTTTCTGTGATGATCCACTTAAGCCAGACCGTTCTCAGAAATGATGGGGTGAGTTTGGTATCATAGCTTTACCCTAAAATGTATTACCCAGGAGTGGTATTTCTTGCCCATCAGTCACATTCATCACTGGCTCTTAAGAAAGGAAATGCAATTGGTTGTTATCTCTGTAGGAAAATATTGCATTGAACAGACAGATTCTCATCCATTGCTTTTCCAGGTCCCATTGCTATGTCAGCTGAGGTTAAAAGGCCATTTTTCTTTCTTATTTGTTGAAGGCTGAGAAAATAGATATGAGATTGTCACTGGGACCAGCATTTGGCTCATAACCTGGGCTGGTAAACAGATGGGTTTCTTTTAAGCACGTGGCTGTCACTGACTGGGAAAGAAAGGCGACGTGAGTGCCCTGTGCCTCCTGTGTGCCTGCTCAGGGTTTCCACAGTTACACCACCTTGGTCTTCATTGGTAGGACAGAAATAGCACAGAAAGCAACCAAGTCTCAGAAAGTTTTAATGATTTTAAGGTTGCAGTGATGGTAGATCAGCTTAGATCAGCTTTTCTCAAAGAGTATAACATAGACAATCAGTCCAGGTAATAACCTACAAAATAATAATTCCATAATTAAGGGAGCTAGGGAGACATTCTGCACTAGTCCTGCTTAGAGTATTACAGAGGGAATCATCATCTCAAAGGCTCTGAGAAGTCCTGCAATCTAGACATTTGACCTAACATGTCCCAAACTTGGTTGAGCATGGAAGCTTCTTTTGATATAATCCCAGTTAATATTTTATATAAAAGCTTGCCTAGGTTTATAATTTTGTAAATAAATGCCCAATTAGAGGATTGCTAAGCCTCTCCCTTTGAATCCCAAACATTTTGTGAATTTCTAAGTTGTTTCTTAAGTGCACAGTCCTTTGCAATCTTATCAGAGATCTTAAAATGGTTGATGGTTCAGTTTCAGCAAAGTCATCAAACTGTAGGAAATAAATTGCATATAGTCTTGCAGTGTTTTCAAACCTTATTTGGAGACACTATTTCTCATACATTTTGGTGTTTTGGAACACAGACCTATTGTATGGATTTTGGAGTAGTTTAAAATTAGGGGGATGGGACACTTCCCTACGTGTAGAGTGAGGCAGTGGGTAGCTCAAGGAGGAAATGGCTCTGGCAGCCTTGAAAGGTAGCACATTCCCTGTCTTGGATGGGTTTAAACAAAGGCTGAGCAACAATGTGCTAAGGGAATACAGGGGATTCCTCAGCTTGCATCAGGCAGCTCCTTCCACACTTGGGATTCTGCTAGGAGAGTAGGAGTCTGACCTACTTTTCACTGACTCATCTCTTCAGTCCTCCTCCTCTCATCTTCCCTTCCTCCCACATCATTCTAATGGTGGTGGGTGGAGGGTGAGACTGGGATAAACTGGGAGAGATCCTGAGATCTTAGACTATGGGAATGACCAGGCTTCAAGTCTATCACCCAGTCTCTGGTCCCTCTGTTGATCCACGGCACTGCATTCTGCTCTCCACTTATTCCAGAAGGGCTCTTTGGTAGCAGGTCATTCTAGACAGGGGCTGGAGTAAGCGACTGAATCAATTGCCTTGCATCTGTTGGCCTGGGACACTCCATTTCTCCTGCCCCCTCCAAGCAGGAATATCTGAGGAGCGACTCTGGCTTCAGCATTAGCCAGGCTCCCTTGGCAGATTTCAGACAGAATCCCAGCCAAGCCTTGCTGTGGGGGCTTCCAGCACACCCAAAGCCCGAGCTCCAGAGAGATTCAGGGATCTCATTCACACCAACATCCATTCCCCCATCTGAAATTTATTGAGTCTTCATACAGTGCCAAACACTCTGCAGGGGGCCTGGGACTGGTTAGCTAGATAGTTTCAAAGGATGACGATATATATTCATGGCTCCTCCTTATAGCCTTGCCAAGGGTATGCTCTTCCTACAAGGCCAGGTAAGCTCAGGGATACCTTCTGCAATTATGGCTTTTGTTGTATTTCCATATTATGTCCTCTGATGCTGGGGTTGGGTGGGTCTGACATGAATATTTTGATCATGAATTCTGACGTGAATGTGATTCTTCACCAGAAAGCTTATGTCAGTCATTTTCAAAGTATCCATCAGCCTGGGGAGTTATTAGGTAGGGGCTATTGTTCATTCTATTATTTAGTATTAACTGGAGACTCTGTGTGCTTAGCATTGTTCTAGGAAGTGGTGATATAGAAATAAAATCATCGTGTTCATTTTTCTAAATATTAGCCTTTTTTCCCAAGGGAACTCTTGCAGAGAACCCCCATCTATAAAATCTAAAGAAGGCTTGGTCTGTTGACAGTGGGGGTGGTAAAGCCCCAAGACCCACCCATATGGTTTTCCTGTGTTCCTTCAGTGAATCCTAAAAAATGCCTCGCTTCTGCCCTGGGGTTTAAGGGACACTATCTGAAAACCACTTATTTTGGTAGGAAATGGTTGGGGGGAGATTAGAGCTCACTCTCTATTCTAGATTGACTAGATTTGAATACTGCTCTGCTGAATAGCTGGAATAATCTGTCTCATCCTTGATCACCTCATTTGTAAATGGAAAGCGACAATAAGTCACATCTTATAGGGTTGCTGTGGGTTGGATAATCATATAATATATGGTTCAAAGCCAGACACTTCTGAGAATTAATGGGGATGCTATTATTAATTCAGCTAGGAAGCTAGGACACTAGATATTAACTGAGACTGTCCCAGGGAAAAAAAGGCATATGGATTAATTAGAATGATGCAATGCTATGAGAACCCTAAATCAGGGGTCTTAAAAATATATATTATTATTCTTACTCCTGTTATTCTTTTATTAATGAGAAGACAGGCTAATTTTGCATAAGCAAGGTATTGTGGTAGAATGAGCTCTGTTCTAGAATCCTAATGGTCTGGATTCAAGTCCTGATTACAGGGTTATATTCGTCTCCTGGTCAATCTTTGAGCAAGAGTTTGTCAAATAATTTTCCAGATTCTGTATTAGGGGAAATAGAGGCTGGGAAGGGGCAGGTAAGGTTGAGGACTAAATATATATGAAGACCGAGTATCTCACTACCTTCTTGTTAGGGTCTGACCGCTGACATCTCAATAGCTATTTCAACATCTTTTCATCATAGGCTTAAAACCATTGCCTCAACATTGCCTTAAAATTAGTCGATGCCCCCCTCTTTGGAGGAATGCATCTCAACCTTTCTGTTCTCTGCTCCCTATGCCACTTCCTCCCACATGCAGCTTCTAATGTCTGCATTCTTTCCAAATCAAACTGTCATTGCACACCCAGGGGTTGGGTCTACAGGTTGATGAGCCAAACCCTTCTCTCTGGAGTGTCTGAATGTGGCTGATTTCTATTAAAGCCCAGGGCTCACTCTTCCGTGCACTGTGTGCATCTGTGCCTGGTTCCCCGAGGCCTGCAGGGGTGGGAAAGGAAGGTAATAAGGTTTTGACTTGTAAATTGAGCAGATTTAATATGAAATCATCTGTAGAATATCTGCTATTTTTAGCAACTTCCTTTTGGCTACAGGTACACTCTTATACCCTTGAAAATCCAGTCACTGCCTCCTCTTTCCTCTTGGTCTTTTTACCTGCACAGACTGAATGAGCCCCTCTGGGGGTCAAGCACCTTGCTGGGGAGTCCCACGCATGGTGCCATAACTCCTCTGGGCTCTGATGGGTGCTGGGTGGTGGTGCCATTTCCATTTTACAGAAGGCGTGAAGCAGCTTCCCCAAGGTCACACAGTCTTTGAACAGACGAGCCAGGATGCAGGACCATGGCCTCCCTCTGTGTCTATATCATCTGGGACCGGAGGGAGTTTACATTCAGAAGGTCCAGGAGAGCTCCCGCTGCCCTGGCTGAAGGTGTGCAAAGGTGCTGGAAGCTGGGGTGCACTTTCTGACACTGTGAGAACAGATGTGGTGTCAGGAGAAGGGAATCTCCACCTGGCTGGTCAGGCCACTCCTAGAGGGGCATGAATCCTTCCTTGCAGGCACACCAGGGCTGCCCTGGGCAAGGAAGGGATGGCGACACCTTGTTCTCCAAGGCTGGAGGACCCGAACATGAGCCATCACCAAAGGAAAATGTTCTAGGGACGGGAGCTCTGACTTCAAACTCCTGGAGCTCTGTCCATGGGAGAAAGAGGCTTAATCTGTGGAGTCTATGCCAACATGTGGAGCCCAGGGAGTGGCAGGTAGCCTTGATGTCACTGCTAAGATATAAGATGATACAGCTAATTAATAATATGGATAGCTAATTATTTTTAGAGTCAACAGCAATTATTTTCACTGAGTTATGGGATGTGTGCATAACATACTACAAGTACGTATGCTATTAGAGATGAAATTTAACTGAGAAGAAATTTACATAATATGAAATCAACTATTTAAAGTGTACAATGTATTGGCATTTAACGCATTCACGATGTTGTATAACCATCACCTCTGTGTACTTTTAAGACATTTTTATCACTCTAAAAGGAAACCTCATACCCCTTAAGCGGTCGGTGTCCATGGCCCTGGGCTTACCCATCCTGGACATTTCATACACATAAAATCATGCAACACAGAACCTTCTCTGCTGACTTCTTTCACTTAGAATGATGTGTTCAAGGTTCATGTCTGTTGTGGGTGGTTTTGTGCCCTGGAATCTGGCTCCAGATTTCTGTGAAACATTTCGTCTGTCACGGAGCCCAGCCTTCCGTAGGCTCACAGATGCTTGTGATACCTGAATCTACTAAAGCAGCTCATCCGGTTCTTGGGCAGCTCAGGACTGGGACTGACTACCTGGTTAGGTGGTTAACTGCTTTACAGCCTGAGGGATGCACACCTGGCTCCCATCATTGCTAGCTGTGGTGTTGGACAAATTAGTCAAGGAACCCTGATTTTATACATTTTTTAGTTTGCTTCCTTAGACTCTCTAGTTCTGTGATGGAATGAGCCACATTTGTCTTATGGATACATAATTAGGGGCACGTGTGTCCTTTGAAGCAGAAGCAGGTGCTGTCTGGGGATAGGTCTAGGGGAAGGTAACCAGATGGGCTTCCTTATTTGCAAAGCCACACAGGCTGCTCTGTGCGTGGGGAGATGGGGCCAGTGGAGTCAGTGGCCCTGCAGCTGTGGGTGAGGTTTTCCTGAGCGAGGTAAAGTGAACAGATTAAAAGACTTCAGGGAAGATCTGCATCCCAATTATTAGGCACTTCTCCATGTACTATTGGCCAGATGTCTTTCCTGCCAGGGGCTTCAATGTCCTTACCTTTAATCATTGTTGTTATACACACAATTGCTGTAAAATTTCGATCAATAACTAAACACATCCATAGACAAATATTTATCAGGCATTCGCTCACAGATGCCAGGAGGAAGGACAGAGTGAGCCTGCTATGCCTTGTCCCCTTTTCACACCACTCTTGCCCTGAGTCATTGGAATTCAGTGGATCAGATGGAGCCTGAACGTCATCAAGAAGGTATTGACGGAGCTTTATATGGGCTTTACAACAAAGCTGGGAAGTGGCTGTCAGTGTTCTCACTGCATCCCTTTTCCTTCTTTTATTCACTCTTTATGTCTATGCAGCCTGCCACACGCTGGCCACTGCTTTGCTCCATGCAGACACGGTCAAGGATGTGCACAGGGCTTACATTTCAGTGGGGAAGACTGCAGCAAATGGGGCCCTCAGAGGTTCTGTACCCCAAGGCCACAGAGCCAGTAAGGGGAAGCGCTGGTCTTCTTGTCCTGGTCTCACCCCAAAGCTCATGCTCTTTCCAGGAAGAAAAGATGTGCTTTCGTTACACAGATGGGTAAATTGAGGCACATAAACAGGAAAATACTTGACATAAGTTCACCCCAGGGAAGCCTGGTGATGAAGGTTACAACCCTGATGCCCAGACTCCTGTTTGTAAGATAGCAGCCGAGTAATTCATCCATTTGTGGAACATGTGCTATAACACAAAAACTGTTCAAGGGAGTTTGCAGATTATTTTAATCACCACAGACATATAAAGAAGGTAGCTATTATTCTCGCTTTGCAGATAATTAACAGCAGAGACCATGAAGTTAAACAATGTGCCTAATGTCCTACCTTTGTTAAGTAGTGGAGAAGTTGTCAAAACTAAGGTCTTTAAGAGTCTAGAATCTTTCTGCTTTCTGCCCCCAAAGTACAGAGATTGGCAATCCTCTTTTACCTTTGCATATCCAGGGCTGAGCATATTATTTGGCACATAATATGTGGTTGATAAATATTTTGCATGGGACACTTGTGCCCAAGGAGACCCACTTGGGACCTAGAAAGACTAAATTAATCCCATCTTTGCACAGTTGCAAATCTGTAATCTAATAGGGCTGTATCTCAGAGATGTTAGGAGATAGTGCAAAGGTCACCCAGGTGGTAAGTAGCCGATGGTGGATACAGACTCAGGTGTCTCAGTTTTTCCCTTTCCCCCATAGCTCCTTTGGTTCTGTAGCTCTCTGGCTCACAGTGGAGAACATCTGCAATGCAAACTAGGAGAAGACCTCCATAACCAAGCAGGTGCGGCGTCTCCCAGCCAGGCTCCTGCTATTTTGGGGCTGGCAGTTCTGCTGGGAATTCCTCAGAGGACCCAGAGACTGTGGAGGGGCTACAGAGGAGAGATAATGACAGGGTTGTGCAGGCAAATTTATTATATAAGTGGAGACATTTAAATATAATTAATGTAACTGCAGTCTTATTAGATAAGTAGCACTTGGGATTCAGAGCTTGTTTCTCTCACAGGCGTGGAGAAAGGCAAAGGCATTAACTCACTGCATTGGCAATGACCCACTGGCCAGCAGGGGCTGGGTTAAACAGAGTGCAGTGGAAAAGGATGGAAACAAGGAGAAAAATGGAAGTCAAGAGAAGGGACACAAGTGACCCAATCATGTCCATTAAATGATTTGCCTCTGATGGCTGTGTGTTCCCCTCCCTTTGGCCCCTGAATCTGTCATCCTATTTCCTGAAGCTGCTGCTTCCTTACGTGTACCCAGCTGGCAATTAACTCGAGTGCTGCTGCTTACACGGACAGCTCAGTTGCCTAGACCTAAGCTGGGATCTGTCTCCTTCCACCAGTAGCAGTGGGTCCCAGGACATCATAGTCAGTCTGAGCCTGTGTCTTCAGTAAAGTAGGAACACAAACTCACACAGGCCTGTTGTGGGGTCGAGAGAACTCATGCAGAGGACTCAGAACATGGGAGAGACTCCACACATATATGACATTCACGGAAGTCAGATCACCAAGGTCACCTGCCTCAGTGAAATGAGACCACCACAGGTAGAATAACTGGTCTAAAGCGCTCTTCGAGTTTGCACAAGAGCAGGCAGTAGAGTATATTGGCAAGACCTGAATAATTAATTAGTCTCACCATCCTGGGTCCAAATCCCAGCTCTAACTCTGTTCTCTATTACTGGCTAAGAGACTTAGCCTACCTAAACCTCTGTGCTCTCATCAGTCAAATGGGGAGAAGAGTGACTGCTCTCAGAATTAATGGGGGATTGAAGGAGATGATGTGGTACAGCACATGACCCAGTGCCTGCCACATGTAAACTTGATAAATACTGGCCCATTATTATCCAGCCTCAGCTCAGGAGCTGGTGGCCCATGGGACAAACACACCCTGCAGGCAGATTTTGCATGGACTCCAGAGGTTTTGAAAAATGTCTAAATTCATTCTCAACATTGATATGAGGGTATGTCCCCTAGGAAATTAGTGATCTGTCTTCTTCTGAGAAATAGACCAGGCACCCCCAACTTTGCTGAAGGACCACAGTCCCTGGGACTCAGGGGTGCTGTCCTCTTAGTCAAGGCACAGATTCCACAGCCCATCACATGAACCAAAGTGTCCTGTTTGCTCAGGCATGCCAGCTGCTTGGTTCCCAACTGCCCCCAAACCCCACTTTATAAAAGAAGAAACTGAGGCACGGGGTTGTGGCTGGCTCTTAGGCATATGGAGTGCTTGTGGAAGGCCTGGGTTCCAGATATGGGTGTTACAAATCCTCGATCAGAATGTTTGTTCTGTCTTACTGTTGGTCTGTCCATCCATCCCCTCAACAGGCTTTATGTGGCACACACTGCCCAGGACCTCAGCATCTAGGAGAGACTCATGCAGAGATCATGTGAAGGAGCAGAGGACAGTGGGGGTGCTAAGCATGGGCTCCGTGAGGGCAGGAAAGTAAACTGCCTGAAGGCTCCAGCCTGAGACTACTGCAGTTATATTTCCATTCAGCATTATTATTGACATCTCTATAACTGTTTCAGGCAAAAAGGGCTTTTCTGTTCATGCATCTGTACCCCTCCCCCAGCCCGTAAGCTAAGCTGCAGGAAGTAAGTTCACTCTGCACAGAGAGGACCTAGCACCATTTATGGCACATGGAATACTCTTAAATTTTTTTTTTTTTTTTCACTAAAACAGTGTCCTAGAGTGTATCCCCACCTTGGAGACTGACATAAATGCCAGCATGTTAAAGTTTGTGAGAAGTCCTATAGGAGCAAAGATTACCCTTTTAAATCTGGTGATTCCAGAATTTTTTTGAAATTGTCACTTGAATTTTTTGAAAGAGTCACTTGACTCTGTTGGGAAGAAACACCTGATGTGGTTTGGCTCTATGTCCCCAACCAAATCTCATCTTGAATTGTACACCCATAATTCCCACGTGTTGTGGGAGGGACCCACTGGGAGATAATTGATTCATGGGGGCAGGTCTTTCCCATGCTGTTCTGGTGATAGTAAGTCTCATGAGATCTGATGGCTTTATAAGGCAGAGGTTTTCTGCACAAGCTCTCTTTGCCTGCCGCCATCCATGTAAGACGTGACTTGCTCCTCCTCACCTTCCGCCATGATTGTGAGGCTTCCCCAGCCATGCAGAACTTTAAGTCCAATTAAAACTCTTTCTTTTGTAAATTGCCCAGTCTCGGTTATGCCTTTATCAGCAGCATGAAAACAGACTAATACAACACCGATTAAGGAGTATTCTCAGAACACAGTCTGGGAGGTAGTTTCTAATTCTTCCCCATAGGCTGGAGTGGAAGTACAGGGATAGAGAGACTGGCAGGAGGAAGAGAAGCCCCTGAGTAGTGGTCCCTAGCTCCTGCTAGGACCCTGCTGGACTAATGTAATTCCATGCCCCCGGCACAGTTGAAAAAGAGTAAAAGAGTACCTAGATGCTCAGAAGACACTAAGTTACTTGTCTAAGGTCACAAAGCTCAAGGGTGGAGAGGATTTAAACTCAGGTCTAATTCTAAAGCATTGTTCTTTTTTCATTTTGACTTAGAAAAATCCCGACAGAGTAGCTAGACTCTGTGACTTAAAGGAGAAGGTGAGGGGGTGGGGAGAGGTGGACAGGTTGATTGCAGTATTCACAGTGATCCAAGCTCCAGAAAGGACTTTTGTGGGTCTTGGGGACCTGCAACAAATACAGGATTTACTCAGCTCCTGCTTTAAAATATATCCCCCTCACTTTTCCCTTGCAACTGCTGGCTTCATTCACACTTTAGTGTGAATTACTCCAATTAGCTATTATCTTCACAGGAAGCAAAGTGCTACTTAGTCTTCTGGCCTGGAGAGTTCCCTGAAGCAAGCCTAGAGATACATGCAAGTTGGGAGTAGAAGCTAGATTTGGGTGGGAGGGGCTCCCGGGCCTGGGGCCAGAAGATGCAAGAGCAGTTTGCAAAGGCAGTTTCAAAGACTGGAAAGGGAAATGTTTAGTCAAATGAGATGGTTACATTCCAGACGTTATCTGAATGTGTGACATTCAACATGCCAGGTGTTTCCATATGTTATTTGGTTCCATGCAATTAATGAATTAATATTGAGTCTTATGCCTTACCCTGCCCTACCTCATGAGCTAGGTGCTCATCTGACCTGTGGTCAAAGAGGTGAGAGAGACCCATCCTCCTCTAGGCAGTGTTTACTTACCTGGAGACCAGATGGCCTAGTGATGAGCAGCTGGGGATCACAGCCAGGCTGCCTTGGTTCCAATTCCGCTTTGTTACTGATTTAGCTGTGTGACCCTCAGGCAAGTTGCATAACCTGTCTGTGCCTCATAACCTGTCTGTAAATGGGGATGATGATAATAATACCTACTGTATGGAGCTGTTAGGAAGGTTAAATTAATTATATACAAACCTTAGAACAGTGCCTGACATGGAGGGAATGCTTAGTAAATATTAGTCTATGTGATCATTACAGTACAAGAATGACTAAGGGAAGGTTAGACACAAGCTTAGGTGGTGCAGGGGTGGATGGCCCACCAGCTAGCCTGCTCCTTTCAGAGGGCAGCTGGCTTGAGAAGTCATCTGGAGGGAGAAGTAGGTGCTTGCAGGTTGAAGAGCTTAGGTCAAGGCCAGAAAAACCCTGCAGGGCTAGGGAGGAGCGAATTATGAAATGGCTTGACTGTTCTGGAAACCAGGAAGATCTATGTGAGGCTGGTGGATGGGAGAAGTGGATGGAGAAGCTGGGAGGTGAATGGAGGTGAAAGGAGGGAGCTGGGACTGAGGGGAGATCATGCTGGAGGATAGGGGAGAGGCCAGTCCTGGGGGCTCTGTAGCCCTGGATCCTCCTCTGTAAAATGGGAATAACGCCCCCCACTGGCAATAAGACAGTGTAAGTGAGCAAGCAGCAGAGGGGCCTGCCACCCTGCATTTCACCAGTCTCTCTGATCTGGGACCAGAAACAAGGAGCTCAGCCTTAATGGGAGGACAGGGATTCCAGGGCTGCAGGGAAGGGAGCAGTCGGGTGGTGGTGGGGGTGGTGGGAGGCAGCCCCTGCACTTGGGAGCAGGGTGACTCTCGGGTTTGGAAGTGATCTGCTGCTGCCCTGAATACTCCCATTCTTCATCTTGGGAAGTAGCTTCCTGGACGATTCATCCTCTGTGTACCTGGAAACTTTTGCTTTCCCTGGGTAGCACCTGTTGCGTCGTGGTACGGTAAACAGTTGCTTCCTATCTTCTCCAAAGTGTACATTTCTGAAGGGCAGAGTTTCCAAATTGCAAATTTGCTATCCCCAGAGCTCAGCTCTGCTTCTAACACTGCCATAGAGTGCTGCAGAAGGAGACAAAATGGAAAAGGCCTGTCTAGAGCTGACCGCATCCCCACCTTCCTCTGCCTTCTGCTTTTGCTCTCTGTACACTAGAATATCAGTGATGGATGGACATGCACACATTTAGTGAATGGCTGATTTCTTCATTAGTGAACACAGCTGTGTTGAATGAGGACTTATTTATTCATTCAATTTCCATAAATATTTATCTTGTACCTACTCTGCACTGGAGATACAGTGGTGATAGGACAACAAGATAAAGTATAGGACACTATATTAGTCCCTTTTCATGGTGCTGATAAAGATAGACCTGAGACTAGGTAATTTATAAAGAAAAAGAGGTGTGATGGACTCACAGTTCCATGTGGGTGGGGAGGCCTCACAATCATGGCAGAAGGCAAAAGGCACATCTTACATGACGGCAGACAAGAGAGAATGAGAACCAAGCAAAAAGGGGTTTCCCCTTATAAAACCAACAGCTCTCCTGGGACTTATTCACTACCATGAAAACAGCTGGGGGAAACCGCCCCTATGATTCATGTGAACCTCCCACCAGTTCCCTCCCACAACACATAGGAGTTATGGGAGCTACAATTCGAGATGAGATTTGGGTGGGGACAAGGCCGGGCGATATCAGACACCCAGTTAAATGTGCATTTGAGACAAAGAGAAATATTAGAGTTTTGAGTACAAGTATGTCCCCAAATATTCCATTATTGGTCATATTTTTATTTGCTAAGTCTGGAAATCCTAAATGGTGAACAAGATAAACAAGGTTGGTTCTAATGGGTGTTTGCAGGCATTAAACATAAATACATAAGAACATACACATGTAATGATTAAGTGCAAAGCAGATAAGTACAATAAGGCATCCTTATTCTGGCAGCTATTTCCTAGGCCCTCTAACTACTTTAGGGCTGACTTGTTCAGGAAGGGAATTTCCAGAAGAGGGTAAGAGAGAAGGACTTGATTTCGTCCCCTTTTGTGGTGGTAAAACACACATAACACAAACACAATTGGATCCATTTTAAAGTGAACGATTCAGTAGCTTTCAGCATATCCGCAATATTGTCCAACTATCACCACTATGCAGTCTCAAAATATTTCATCATCTCAGAAGGAAATCTTATTTGCATGAGAAATCACTCTTCATTCTCCCCTTTTCCCCTAGCCCCTGTCTGCTCTCTGTCTGTATGGATTTGTCTTGGTCAGGATATCTATTATGAATGAAATCATACAGTGTTTGTCCTTTTGTGTTTGGCTTCTTTCACTTAGCATAATTTTGCAAGGCTCATCTGTGTTGTAACATGTATTAAAACTTCACACTTTTGATGGCTGAATAATATCCTACTGCACGAATATTTTTGATTTATCCATTTTGATTTATCCATTTATCAGTTGATGGCCATTTCCTTCATTTCTGCCACTTGTCTATTGTGAATAATGCTGCTACGAACAATTATTTGTGTAAAAGTTTTTGTTTTAACAATGGTTTCACTTCTCTTGTGTATACATACCCAGAATGGGATTGCTGGGTCGTGTGGTAATTCTAGGTTTAATTCATTGAGGTGCCATCAAACTGATTTCCATATTGACTGTTGCATCATTCCATATTCCCACCAACAATGTATAAGGGCTCCAATGTCTTTACATTCTTGTCAGCACTTGTTATTTTCCATTTAAATTATGGCCATCCTAGTGGCTATGAAGTGATATCTCATTGTGTGTGTGTTGTATGTGAAAAGACTTTATTTTTAAGAGCAGTTTTAGGTTCACATCAAAATAGAATGGAAGATACAGAGATTTCCCATTTACCCCCTGACTCCACACCTGTATGACCTTTCTATCAAGATATTTCAGAGGGGGGATATATATATATAAAACAAATAGACCTACACTGACACATCATTATCACCCAAAGTCCACAGTTCACATTGGGATGCACTCGTGGTGTTGAATACTCTAACATTATATGGGTTTGAGCAGAAGTGTTGACATATATTAACCATTGTAATGTCCTACTGAGTACTTTCACTGCCCTAAGAATCCTCTGTCCTCTGCCTGTTCACTGCTTCCTATTTCTTAAATCTTTGGTCACCACTCATCTTCTTACTGTCTAGGTTGTTTCATCTTCTACAACATCATATATTTGGAATCATATGGTATATAGCATTTTCAGATTGGCATTTTTTCACTTTACTAATATGCATGTAAGGTGCCTCCATGCCTCGACATGGCTTGATAGCTCATTTATTCTTACTGCTGAATAATACTCCATTGTCAGGATAGACAGTGGTTTATTTATTCATTCTCCCACTGAAGGATATTTGAGTTGCTTCCGAGTTTTGGTAGTTATGAATAAGCTGCTGTAAACATCTATTTGCAGGTTTTTGTGTAGACATGTTTTCAACTGCTTTGGGTAGGTACTGGGGAGCACAATTACTGGATCTTATAGTAAGAGTATATTTCATTTCATACAAAACTGTCAAAATGTCTTCCAAAGTGGCTATACCATTTTGCATTCCCACCAGCAGTGAATGAGTTTCTATTACTCCACATGTTTGCCATCATTTGGTATTGTTAGTCTCCTGGATTTTGGCACTTCTAATCGACATGTAGTGGGGTCTCATTGTTGTTTTCTTTTGCATTTTCCTGGTGATGTGTGATGTGGAACATCTTTTCATATGCTTATTTGCCATCTGTGTGTCTTTTTGTGCTGAGGGGTTTGTTAAGGTCTCGGCCCACTTTTTAATCGGGGTATCTCATTGTGGTTTTAATTTGCATTCCCCTCATGACTAATGATGTTGAGCCTCTTTTCATGTACCTGTTGGCCATTTGCGTATCCTCTTAGGAGAACTTTAATTTTATTAAAAGGGTGATAGGAAGCCAATGGGATTTTGTAACCAGAGAATTGTGTGATATGATTTTCATATTAATAGATCCTCTAGCTTCTGGGTAGAGGATGGAGGAGGCAGGGAGACCACTAGTGAAGGTATTTTAGGAGTAGGGAGAGAGATGACTGGGACTTGAGAGTAAGTGGTTCATGATTCTGTGATTATTCTCTCTGGCACTGGGTACCTGGGTATACCATGCCACCCATGAACCTTAGTAATCCCCTCTGTGGAATTGGGTAATAACAGCGCTGTGTCTAGGATTAAGTGGGACTATGACTTTGGAGAACCTACTCTGGGTGTGGCACATAACAGGAGCTCCAAGAAATAGGAGTCCCAACCCTCAGCACTTTCAGGATAGGCTGGGTCTCAAAGTCCAATGGGAGAATGTGAGGTTCTGGATTCATTGATGTTAGGTCATCTTCTTTCTGCTGGTCTGGAGAGAATGAGCAAAAGGAGAAAAGAGAGGAAGGTGGGGTGGAGAGGTGGGCTTATCTGAACTGCATTTGCTTCTTTCTCTATATGTCTACTGGATGGACTCCCCGTCATCTCAAATCCACACAGCACTAGGAGGCGTGTGTACTGCTGGAAGTAGGTAGCTGCAGGTGGCTGCAGGGAGGTGCTAATCTTGTGAGACCTGGACCTAGTTCAGGTGTTTCCCTTTAGAGCCAGGACTTAAGAAGTCTGGCCTGCTCTCACCTCTTCCCTCCCTACTCAGCCAACTCCATAGTACTTGGCTGGTCTGTGCAACTATAATGTTAATTGCCATCATTTAGTGAACTGTTTGCCATTTTTCCTTAATTTCCAAATATCAAATAACACTTTGTATATGAATACATATGTCAGATTAAATGGGAGATAAATCTCACAGATACTCAGCTTTTATAGGGCTTGGGTCCTGTGGGGCAGTCCCTGTGTCCCTCTATACCTTCAAGAGATGAAGAAATGATTGGGCCCCTGTATGATCCTGTGGCAGGCGTTCTGTATAGGCACCATATAGCACTCATTGTAGTGTATGATCATTATCTCGTCATACTTCCCTGTCTTGAACTCCCGTCTCATTCATGCCTGTCTCCCTAACACCCAGTTTGGCGGTTGACACATGCTTGGCCTTTCATTAATATTAACATTTGCTCACGGATTGAATGAAGCAGCGGTCTCATCATGACCAGGGAGGTGTTTGTCTGAGCAGCCTTTGCTGAGATATTGATAAAGGAAGATTGTTTTAAAAAATTAAAAAGCATAAGTTCATGATTAATTCATGCCAAAAATAGGTTGTGCATTGTCATTTTATAAAGATTAATATCTAGGCCAGTATAAAGTGTAATAAAGTGTACTACTTCAAATTCATTCTATACCACAGTTGAAGGCAACTCCTAGAATCCCTAATGCTGTTGGGACTTCCTTCATCTTCCATTCTTTTCTTCCAGCCCTCCAAGACTCTAGCACAACTTGGGCCCATGTCTTCCAAGAGCTCATCAGCTCCTTCTTTTCACTGGCTAGGGGCATCGTAACTCAGTTTTTTCTGTCATGGAACCATCAATAGTTTTATTACCTGGTGGCTTGAGGGAACTGAGGCTGTCTCCTTCTCTCCTTCAGCATCAATTTTCTTCCACAAAAACATGGATATTTTCATGTTGATATGTGAGGTTAGGTTGTTGTTTGGTTGTTTGTTTGTTGGTTTTTGTTTTTGTTTTTTTTTTTGTTTTTTTGAGATGGAGTTTCCCTCTTGTTGCTCAGGCTGAAGTGCAATGGTGTGATCTCAGCTAATTGCAACCTCTACCTTCCAGGTTCAAGTGATTCTTCTGCCTCAGCCTCCTGAGTAGCTGAGATTACAGGTGCGCACCACCACGCCCAGCTACTTTTTTATTTTTAGTAGAGTGGAGGTTTCACCGTGTCAGGCTGGTCTCGAACTCTTGACCTCAGGTGATCCACCTGCCTTGGGCTCCCAAAGGGCTGGAATTACAGGCATGAGCCACGTGCCTGGCTGGGTTAGGTTTTGAAGATAAAATGAAATAAAATGTTGGAGTACCCAGTATCGTATTTGTTCTAAAAGTCTGGCCCGTTTCCTTCTATGTGTCCTTTGTGCCTTTTGCTTTATTTTGTTATTGTTTTTGTTTTTTTGAGCTCGCTCTGTCACCCAGACTGGTGTGCACTGGTGCCATCTCAGCTCACTGCAACTGCTGTCTCCTGGGTTCAAGCAATTCTCCTGCCTCAGCCTCCAGAGTAGCTGGGATTACAGGCACCCACCACCATGCCTGGCTAATTTTTGTGTTTTTTAGTAGACACAGTGTTTCACCATGTTGGCCAGGCTGGTCTAGAACTTCTGACCTCAAGCAATCCACCTGTCTCAGCCTCCCAAAGTGCTGGAATTACAGGCATGAGCCACCTCGCCAGGCCCCTTTTGCTTTAAATATGTTCTTTCTCAATGTTCAACTCCTAAATCCTACGATTTCTTTAAGACTGGGCTCAATGTTTACCTTTAGTTCAATCGGCAAATATTTATGGAGTGCTGTGTGGGGGTTGAGCCCTGTGCTGTCCCCTGGGGATAGAGCATGCCAGGGACAAACGAGGTGCAGCTTTCCTGGAGGTAATATTCTGAGAGAGGACATGAAAATCAAGTAGATAATTCCGTGGAGTGGTTGATACCCCAACTATCATAAGACAGTGATATACTGGAAAGCAACTGAGAGGAGAGAAGAGGCTACTTGAGGAAATGACAATGGAGCAGAGATCAGTAAGGAAAATTGAGGAGCAGCTCTGAGCAGTTGTCAGAAAGGCCCTTTGAGGCAAGTGGATGGTCAAGGCCAAAAGCCTCAGGCATATCTGAGCTGGGGGAAACGGAGTGAGGAGCAGTAAGGAGAGCTGTTTGCTGGGGCATCTTAGGGGAAGGGGGTTATCCACAGGAGAGCTGGGAAGCAGATTATATCAGACTGCGTTGGCCGATGTGAGGGCATGAAACTCATTAACTGAAGGAACGAGAGGTCGCTGGAGGATGACATGATTGGAGGTACTTCTAAGAAAGGTCTCCCATCCCCTCTGCTGCTGAGTGAAGAAGGGATTGTGGAGGGAGGGGAAGAAGAGTAGCAGAGATGCAGTGTGGGGGCTTGTGTCCTCTAGGTGGTGAGACTTGGAGTCAGGAGGTGACCAATTGCTAGCCCCTAAACAGATTTTGGAGCTAAAAACATCAGGGCTTTCTAAAGCCTTTCCTATGTTTCCTTCCATGGCTGCATCTCTCCCTTCTCTAAACCACTCACATACACACACACACAGGTGCACACACACACATACTCACACACGTACACTGTCTCTCTCTCTCTGTAGTTACTTGGCAGAAAACCCAATGTCTCTGCTATGCTTGGGAGCAGATAGTCTTGCCCCATCACAGCCTGTGACCTATTGCAGTAGAGCCTCTGCCAGTCTGGGTTCTTGAGTCACTGGAGTCTGGTCATTGCACCTCTTCCTCTCTGCACAAATCCGCAGGCTGAACTCTGGAAGCCGGGCACATAATAGGCCCCCAATACATCTATTTAGCAAATGGGTAAATAAATAAATAAATAAATAAATAAATAAATAAATAAATGGAGCCTATGGGGCCTAGGTTACCACTAGGCAACCACTAGCCTCCCAGACTAAAGGGGAGGAAGTGATGTTAGGTGCATAACACCCTTGATGGGTTCAGTCACTTTGGGTAGGCCCGGCCCATTGCAACAGTCAGACATCAAGCTAATCCTGCATGCAGTGAGTGGAATGGTATCAATGCAGGCAGCTATGCTATGCACCGGACATCCAGCTGTGTGGGAGCTGAGATTGTGTCCATGTGGCTCATTTCTGTGTCTACAGCTCCTGGAATAGTGCCTTAGGCATCCTGACCAGGCAGGGCACATTGGCTGTATAGACAATGAAGATGGACATTCCAAAACAGGGGAGAACAGGATGAACTTGGAGCATGGGAAGGCTTAACAGAGGAGGGGCACCTCTGGGCGGCTAGGAAAAGATTCAGAGGGAGGAAGCAGGTGCCAGGACAATGGGCACCAAAGGGAATGGGAACCAAGACAGAGGATGGGCGTGGTCTCCTTTGTCAAATGTAAGGAACCCAGTTTGATTGGAACGGTGTTTATACAGCAATGGTCAGGGAGGAGGAAGAAACAAACCAACAAATGTGTCTATTACCTTTTAAGAATAAAAAATCAGAGTGTCAAGAAGAATCATGCAGAGATTAAGTCACAGAGATGGCCTTCCTTAACATCAGTTGCCGCTCACACACAAAAAACGATGTTCTTTGATGACTTCTCATGTTGAGTTTTGAAGATTAAACGAAAGAAGCATTGAAGTATCCAGTATCATGGTGTTTAAGGTTTTGCCTCTGTGGTTTCCTCTTCCCTTTATTCTATTACTCCCATTCTCATTTTTATATAAATTATGAATAGAAATAACTGGGAAAACAGAAACAGAGCAGAATGCTTGGGATCCCACCAACCTCTACATCAGCTATCATGCATCTATTCCCTTTGTGCCAGATGGCACTTAGGTATCCTTAATCGCTAACCTTTCCCTGCTAGATATGTGTGTTTTTACAGATAAGGAAAACTGACCACATTAAGCTACTGACCTCCAGTTTGCACAGAAATACACATTGCATTTGGGATTCGAACCAAAGCATGTCTGGCTTTAAAGACTCTCAGTTGAAGGTCCAAGAAAAAGTGAGGACACTGGGTACCCCTGGACATCAGAGCTCCTGGGCCTGAGCCTCAGGAATCATCTGAGGAGCTGGAGGAGATCGTTAACCTCACTGACATGTAGATAAGTAGTTGACAGTGCAGCAAGGGACACTTTTGAGGTTGGGAATAATGGAGATACTCTATGATCATTCAAATGAATGAACTTTGTTGAGCCTGGGATTTGATCTGGCCCCTTTCCCAGTGGATATGTCCAGGCCAGACGTATGCCTACAATCACTCCTGTTTCCATCCTCTCTATCCATCTTCTGTCCTCTAGGTTTCCTCTCCATCATCCTGGGGCAACTTCTTGCCAGCAAGATTATGCCTGCAGGACAGGTTTTGAAGGAAAAATTCAATATGAAATTAACCCTGTTCATTCATTACAAGGGAGGGGGTCGGGTATTTCTAACTCTGCATGAAAGCGTTATTGTTTTTTTCTAAATTGCAATTCATTGAGTGTCTATTGCCATCACAATAGGACGTTAAGAATAGTAGCAGCTACTCTGAGTGCTCTCTGGGTGCCAGGTGCCACACTATGCACTTTATGTATAAATTCTTTGGTTTTTCACAGTTATCCTGTGCAGAGTCCCTATGCACAGATGAGAAAACTGAGAAATAAAGGCACCACACAAAAGCAGGGATTAATAAAGAACAGGACTAGTGGCCATGAAAGTTTGGTGCCAGACTTTGCCCTTTGCTGTGCACTGAGCTGCCTCTCCATGTCCTGCTGTGGTTTACTCACCCCAAACCCCCCATATCCCTGTGAGACTATGAGCCGACCACTGAACCCTCAAGAGAGGCCTTCCCAGTGAGGTTCACACCCCTGGAGGTGCTGTAGCCCTGGAGAAAGAGGAGCCCCTCAGGAGGATTGGCATTAAGCAGAGCACAGGGAAGACGGATTACCCTAGTTCCTCTGGCTCCCGAGAAATTTTAGAAACCATTGTTTAAGACCATCGTTAAGGCCCTCCGTATCTTGATATCTTGTCCCTACTTAGTTTTCCATTTTGGCTGGGAGGAGGGCAGGCCTTGGAGTGTGTGAGAAGGTTGGGAATGGAGGCTTGCACATCTTGTGGGTGGTCAATGTGGGAACACGGTGACGTGGGCTGAGTCATGGCTGCACTTGTGAAGCTAATGACAGATGCTAAACAAAATTGGATCCCAAACCACCGTGACCAGGGCACAAACAGATAGCATGTCTGAAATGCCAGCCTTGACTCATGTGTGGGAGCCTTGCATCTTGCGTTCACCTCCTCTCCTGTTTATGTTGTGGCATCAGGAAGGATAAATAGAGGACTCATCTGCAGTTGAGACACCACCCGTTACTGCATCCTTCCCCCGACACTGGCTTCTCTGTGGGATTCTGTCAGGCACGATGAATTGTACACACCTCCCTCCTCTCCTCAGTGGACATATGCAGAGGACAAAAGGAGCTCAAAGATGCATTCAAAATAAGACGGGTATAATTCTATCAGTCTTAATGTCCTAAGTAGGAGCTGATTCCAAGTGCCCCAGAAAACTTTGATCAGAAAGGAGAGTAATGGGTTTATTCAGTCATTCATATGTGCATTTTCTCTTGCATTTGTTTAGTCTTTCATTCCTTCTCCTGTTTGTCCCACAGATGTGATTCCATACCTATTCTCTGCCATGTTTCTTGCTAGACTCCATGGCTGTCCTTCAATTTATGGAGCTCACAGCCTAACCTGAAAATAAAGATGCTTTCAGAGCATAACCTATTCAGGGCTATTTTGACATGCACAAGGCAAGGTTGGGGGCTTCTGTTAGGGAGGGCGGTGGCATGGCTGTTCGGGGAGGGCTTCCTGGAAAAGCTAGATTGGACATTTAAGGATGGGGAGCTTGTCAGGTAGAGAGGTGCAAGGTGGGCCCTCCAGTGGAGATAATAGCTTGAACAAAGGTATAATAAAACCATATTTAGAGGTAGTGGAGCACTTTGATGAGAGTATTTTGAGAGGGTTTGTTTGTGGTAGTGGTGACACAGCGAGGGAAGAAGGGCCTAGAGTTGGAAGCATCTGTTTCATGCTAAGGATTTAGATTATGATCAGATTAAATATGCATCAGTGCTGCACTTGAAAGAGGGCTGGGTCTGTTTTGCAGAGTCTTGCAGAGCTCATACTCTAAGGACCCGGATATCTCAGGTCATGGTTTTTCTCTCAGATGGTTGTGCAACAACCGCCCAAACCATGCAAATGTTCTGTTTTTTTTTGTTTGTTTGTTTTTTGTGCATGTGTGTGTTTTGTTGCTCTAATATGAGGGCCTGAGCTCTGTGATCTCTGAGCTTCCTGTAAGATCTAAAGTTCTGATACCCTGATGTTATCCATTACCCGATGTCTGCATGTTAAGAGGAAGGAAGTGGGTATAACTGAGATTCATCAGTGTCTCAGAACTTTAGATCTTATAGGAAGATCTAAAGTTAGATTTTGTTGTTTGTTACTTTTTTTTTCCAACCTCTTGGGGTTCTTTCTGTGATCAGATGAAATCATGGATGTAAAAACTTTGACCACCAAGAATTTAAAGATCAACGGGCTACAAATCTGGAGACAGGGGTCCTGAGGACATTTGTTCTGTGATTATGGGCAAACCACTCCCTTTTCTGGGCCTCAAATGTCGTATCTGTGTAAGGAGCGGGTGGACAAGGTGGTGGTAGGGACCACTGGATCACTATGCTTTGATGCGTGAGGTATTAAAACCTATATAGTGGCCAGGCATGGTGGCTCATACCTGTAATTCCAGCACTTTGGGAGGCTGAGGTGGGCAGATCACCTGAGGCCAGGAGTTTGAGACCAGCCTGGCCAACATGGCAAAACCCCATCTCCACTAATATAAAAACTAGCCAGGCGTGGTGGCAGGCACCTGTAATCCCAGTTACTCAGAGGCTGAGGCAGGAGAATCGCTTAAGCCCAGGAGGCGGAGGTTGCTGTGAGCCAAGATCGCACCACTACGCTCCAGCTTGGGTGGCAGAGCAAGACTCTGTCTCAAAAAAAGAAAGAAAGAAAGAAAAGAAAAGAAAAGAAAAAAAGAAAGAAACCCATATGGTGCTACTGACCTCAAAGGGGTCACTACAGAGACACCACTCACCACTGATACTAAGCCTGCTGATGCCTTCATGTGATTCAACTTGAATTGGGTGCGGTGCACTGCCGTTCTGCAAATGAAATGCTCTTGAAACATTTATAGCCATTAATAAATGCAGAACCTTAAAATTAGATGGTGTGATATTCATAGACTCTCAAGACTGTCAGGAAGCATAGAGGATGTCTACTCAAGGCTCAATCCCAAAGCAGGAATCCCGTCTTCAGCTCCTGGGGCAGACTTGGCATCTGCGACGTTCTTCCAGGGACAGGGAATCAGTGCCTTTCAGGGAAGGTGTATTTGCTCTCAAGTTATGTCTATTATTGCATTGAAACCTCCCCCAACCTCAATGAATGTGAGGTGCTATTCTTCCCTGTCTGAATTAAGTTTCTCAAGGAGGAGAGATGCAACTTCTGTCTCCCTCAGGTCCCAGAGAAGATGGGAACCTACATCTGAACCAGCCTTGTTGGCTGTGGGCTCGGTATCCAGTATGCTTCCCCCAAGCTTGGAGTCCTGGTACCTGGGCCCTGGACGTTGCCTATGTCTTTCCCTAGCAACTCAGCTTCATCCAGGTTATCCTGTGGTTCACTCCAGGCTGGATTTCTTTGAATATTTAAGCTCATCTTTGTTATGCAAAATTTTTATTGCACAACATACAGATGTTTTATTGTTATTATTAGTTATTCTAATATTAGCATTATACACTATATATTGAAAAGCCATAATGTTACTAAAAAAAAATATACATTTATGTTGATCTTCCCAAAAGTGAATCACTACTAAGTAGATAGATATTACTATAGTAGGATTACAGATGTGGAAAATGGGAGCACTAAAATTCGATTAGGGTAACCCGTAAAATGGTCAGAATGTGAACCAGATTTGGCAGCCCTGAAGCCCCTGCTCTTTCCATGATTTGACATTGCCTCTCCAAAAAAAGAACTTGGAGACAGTATGCTCCTTGTTGTATGTGCTTATGTACACACACACACTTAGGAGTCTGTTTGTGTGCATGTGTTTCAGTAAGTGGAAAGAGAGAGAAATTGCCACTCACTGTGGTCCCAAGTTTGACTTCTCAGTGAGTGTCACCAGAGCTTCCAGCACTGGCAGAAAGGGAAAAGGCTCCATGCCTGAGAGCTGCAAATAGTGATGGCATTGGCTGCTGCTCCCTTAATAGAGCTTCCTCATCTTTGGTACTTCAAGCCCTCTGCCTGAGTTTATGAGTCAGTTATCTTTTTATGAGATTGTGAAATCTTATGTGCCTGCAAGCCTGGATTTTAAAATGCTGCCTAAGCTAAGGGGGACATAGAATCTCAAAGAAAACAGGAACTTGGCATTGTGTGGGATGCTTCTATTTGCACTGTCTTCAGATGTGAAAAAAAAAAAGCAAACATACACAGCCGGTTTTGATTTCTATATTGAAGGAAAGAAAATACTTTTCAACATTAAGGGGGTGAATGCCTGGGGCTGCATTTTCTATGGTAGGTGAGGGTCAGAGATGTGATTTCTAGCCTCCCCTCTGCTCCTAATCAGCAGGGAGGCCCTGAAGAACCTCAGAGTTGGTGAGGGTGTAGGTAACTCATTGGTGGAAGGGGATTATCATTCCTCTCCTGCCATTGCTACAGAACTGTTTTTAGGTTTGCTTCTTTATCATACTAGCTTATACTTATTAAGCATTTATCATATGCCAGACTCCAAAGCAACTTGCAGTTGGGGAAACTGAGGCACAGAGAGATTAAATTCTTGCTCCAAGACTGCACAGCTGCTGAGGGGTTGGCCTCTGTATTGCTTGGACTGGCCAGCTCCCAGAAGGCTGACCCAGTGGGTCTCAGCCACCACCAGTAGGTGCTCCTGCCTTCTTTGTGCATCTTTATGTCAGGGTATTTATCCTTGTGGACCACAGTTGTGACTTGACTTTCTCTGCTCAGGTCCTATCTGTGTCTTCCAATGGCCCAGGTCGATGGCTCAGATTTCCTGTGTCCCTGCTATGAGAAGTTGGCCCCAATTCTGCATGTAAACAGGCTTAGAGATGTTATGTGACTTGTCCAAGTTTCCACACAGAAGTGAGACCCAAGATTGGGAGTCAAATGTGGATGAGATGCTCTCACAGCAAGAAAGAGTGCTTAGGGGATCCTCCCTTCTTAATGAAGAAGTGCCAGTTTTCCATCTCTAATAAGATTGTTTGCCTGGAACACTGAGCAGATATTCCCTGCAGTGATCACGGTAGGCAACAAGAGTTATTACGTTGTTAGAATGGCTGCATGCAGTAAATCCCCTGGGGAGAAGGACATCACTGAATGCAGATACATGCTTTCGAGAGTAATTTCTGCTGCTTCTTTTGGACCCTAGAGAAAAGGCAGCACATTCTCACAGGGTAATCTGGGTTTGAGTATGGCTATCTCAAGAACTTGCTAGGTCATGTGTGCTCTGGTATCCTGCTCTGATTTCTGCCAAAACTCATTGAAATTTCATTGTTATTAGCAGTGTTGAAATGTGGAACCTTTAAAAGATGAATAGAGTAATGGTGTTATGGAGGGAGTGGGTTAGTTATCTCCAGACTGGGTTTGTTATGAAAGGGAGTTTGGTCCAGTTTCCTCTCTGTCTTCAGTGTTCTTTTGTGCCTTCAGTCCTTCTACCATGGACAGGGGAACACCAGATGCTCTGCTCTTGGACTTCCCAGCCTCCACAACCATGAGCCAAATAACCTTCTGTTCTTTGTAAATTATACAGTCTGTGGTATTCTGTTATAGCAGCAGAAAACAGACTGAGGTAGATCCCTTCTCTATTCTCACAATATTCCTCTGTACATGAGAGGTCTCTTCCTGAGCCTTTCCCATCTCCTATAGTGCAATTCTGTAATACACAATCGTTTGAGAACAGTAATGTTTTCCCTTTTCATAAAGTAAATGCTGATATATAGTTAGATCAAATTATTATCATTTAATCTTTCAAAGACCATATACTCTGAAGATTCACGTTTTAAAGAAAAATTGCATTTCAAAAGAAAACATGTTTGTGAAATAATTTTTTCCCAAGCAAAATCTAATGAGGTATTGGAATTATGATATTTCTTCAAAACAGTTTTAATATTTTATCCAACATTCTCAGAGGCAACTGAGAATGCTCTAGTACATTTAAAAAATGTAAATAACTAATTAAACATTTTGGTATATTGTGATGAAAAGTGCAAACATTTACTCAGGCATCTACAAATGCCAGAACCTCTAAAGTTAAGATGGGGGCCTAGTTCTTTAGGTCTGGATATGAGGGACCTTTTGAATTTCTGCCATCTATGTTGAAGGTGGAAATAAAAATAGTGATTGCTACTGATGATGAGTGACTGACAGTTTTGTAGGCAATGACTGAAGCTCTTTATATATGTGATTATCTTTAATCCTCAGTGCCACCCTAATGCATTGATGTTCTCCGTGGTACTTTGTACAGAGATGGAATCTTTGAAAGATCACATGTTGTGGAACTAAAGGAAATAGATTAAAGCTCAGTTTTGGCATGGGAGGGAGGATAAAGCATTGTGCCTGGAGAAGTAAGAAGTTGATGGAGTATACAATGCCTCTTGAATCATGGTAAGGGCCAGAGAAACCACTGAAAACTTTTGAGATAAGCAGAACTTGAGCTTCTTGGTGCTCGAGATCTGCCTCTGCAGTGAGAGGGTGGAGAATACACAGAAGGTGATGAAGCTGGAGCAGAGAGAGGCACATGGAAGAGGTGGGAATATTCAGGAAAGAGGATGCTGATCAGCATTCCTAGGGTGATGGCTTTGGAGGCGGAGATAAGAAGTTGAATTTGAGGAGCTAATGATAGTGAGAACTGACAACTAATTGTCTTTGTGAGGAAGGGAGAAGAAGGACTGGGCCCTGGGCCAGGTGCAATGGTTCATGTCTGTAATCCTAGCACTTTGGGAGGCTGAGGTGGGCGGATCACTTGGGGTCAGGAGTTCGAGACCAGCCTGGCCAACACAGTGAAACCCTGTCTCTACTAAAAATATAAAAATTAGCCAGGAATCACTTGAACCCAGGAGGCGGAGGTTGCAGTGAGCCGAGATCATGCCACCTCACTCCAGCTTGGGCGACAGAGTGAGTCTCCATTTCAAAACAAAACAAAACAAAACAAGCAAAAAAATAAGGACTGAAGGCTGAACCCAGTTGATGCCCAGACAACCGGGTAAGTGACGACAGTCTTCCACAATTTTGAGGTCTCTCCAGATTCCTTTAATGCAAGGGGGAATGCCATCTCCTTGCCCTGTTACTGGGAGAAAGACCTGCAGGTCACAATTTTGGAATAGAGAAGAAAGACTTCCCCCCATCCCTACCATGTTGCCTAGTTTTGAATGTCTTTGAATACACCATTCTGGATAATGATGATGAAAAACTGGAGGGAAACCAACACACATGCCAAAAGAAAAGGCTCAGTGAAATATGATGATGAGAGTAAAAAGAAAATTCAAAATGAAACACTCATACAATTAACTAGATATATTAACATTTATTCTAGGTGGCTTCGACTTTACGTGTTATGGAAGGGCTGGGTCTGACATCTGTTGTCAACCTTCTGTGTTACCTGTTGGGGATAAAGATTTATTCGTTGTTTTACAGAGGAGGAGACTGAGGTTTAGGGAGTTTTGTAACTTTAGGTAGATTGTAACATTGATATCTGGATCCTGGCTGGTCTATCCCAAAACCTGACCTACATACACACATATACACACACACACACAAACACACAGAGAGAGACTATAGAGGCTCCATTCCAGGTGCCACCTAGACTCTCTGCATTTTACATGGTACTTCGTAAATCTAGACAATTTTTGTAGCTCTAAAAGAAAAGGAATTTGATTTTTGACAAAACAATCAGCTCATATTTCTTCTCAGAAGTGATTTCTTGTCCTCTTTCGGCCACACAAATGGGGCATAGATGCATTCTGCTAGTCCCTGGCTCAGCTATCAGCTACATGTGCAGTTTTTTTTTTGCCAGAGCTGGCATTACAGGCAGATGCAGCAGCAGGCTCAGACTTTAGCCTTTGTGTTCCTAGATCCTGTCTTGGAGCCTGATTAGGAGGTCTGAGTGTAGGACACAATAATCTGGGGTTGTTGTTGTTGTTGTTGTTGTTGTTGTTGTTAATTTTCCCAGGTTGTTCTTTTGTGGGAAGTTCTTGGAACAAATGTTGGGAAAAACTGGTTTACCCAGAGTGTGGTTGCTGATGTGCTGTGGATGGAGATCTGAATCATGTCCTGCCCTCCTCCTAAGCATGATGCATGTTGACACCTCTCAGTGCACTCATCACTGTGCATCCTCAGAACCCTGTGCCTGGACTCAGCCCGACAGAAGTGGAGAAAGGGCTTTCTTGGACAGCCCCTTTTCGGATACCTCTAATGACAAAGAACTTGCTTTTTCTGCCATAACCAACATCACTGTTTCAACCCTTAGAGCCTCCGGTCTTAGTTTCTGTTGCTTTGTTTTCCTTGCTGAATTCTGTTCCTCTTCCATATTCACACTCTGGCCTAGAGTCTGTTGTCTGGTGTTACCATTTATTCCTTAGTTCCATAGTATTTGTGAACCTCTACTACTTACCAGATGCCAGGTTAGGAATGGAGTGCTTAGAAATTCATAAACAGACAATTACTCCTTTTTAGGGGCTTATAGCCCAGTCATCTCCTTCTTCAAGGAAGAAAAGTAACATGCTATGTTTCCAAAATATTTTTCTGTACTTTAACAATATCCTATTGACAATGAGAACATTTTTAATACTCTACAAAAGTCAGTTTAATTAGTTACCATTCTGTATCATCCTCTGAGGTAGGTGTTTCCCTCCAAGTACAGATGCAGAAGCCTGGACTTACTGGGGAACCTGCCCCAAGAGTCACGTAGGTTCTTTTCTATTTTCCCTAAGCATCAGCTGGGTTGAGAAATAAAGGGACAGAGTACAAAAGAGAGAAATTTTAAAGCTGGGCGTCCGAGGGAGACATCACATGTCAATAGGTTGTGTGATGCCCTGCAAGACGCAAAACCAGTAAGTTTTTATTAGGGATTTTTTTTAAAGGGGAGGGAGTGTACGAATAGGGTGTGTGTCACAAAGATCACATGCTTCACAAGGTAATAGAATATCACAAGGCAAATGGAGGCAGGGCGAGATCACAGGACCACAGGACAGGGGTGAAATTAAAATTGCTAATGAAGTTTCAGGCACCATTGTCATTTGATAACATCTTATCAGGAGACAGGGTTTGAGAGCAACCGGTCTGACCAAAATTTATTAGGTGAGAATTTCCTCTTCCTAATAAGCCTGGGAGCGCTACGGGAGACTGGGGCTTATTTCGTCCCTACATACAGTCTCGACCATAGAAGACGGCCACACCCAAGGGGGCCATTTTAGAGACTCACCCTCAGGGGCACATTCTCTTTCTCAGGGATGTTCCTTGCTGAGAAAAAGAATTCAGCAATATTTCTCCCATTTGCTTTTGAAAGAAGAGAAATATGGCTCTGTTCCGCCCAGCTCACCAGTGGTCAGAGTTTAAGGTTATCTCTCTTATTCCCTGAACATTGCTGTTATTCTGTTCTTTTTTCAAGGAGCCCAGATTTCATATTGTTCAAACACATATGCTCTACAATTTGTGCAGTTAACGCAATTATCACAGGGTCCTGAGGCGACATACATCCTCCTCGGCTTACGAGATGACAGGATTAAGAGATTAAAGTAAAGACAGGCATAGGAAATCACAGGGGTATTGATTGGGGAAGTGATAAGTGTCCATGAAATCTTCACAATTTATGTTTAGAGATTGCAGTAAAGACAGGCATAAGAAATTATAAAAGTATTAATTTGGGGAACTAATAAATGTCCATGAAATCTTCACAATCCACTTTCTTCTGCCATGGCTTCAGCCGGTCCCTCCATTTGGGGTCCCTGACTTCCCACAACATGGACTCAAAGAGATGAAGTGATGTCCTAGTCAACCTATTAAGTGGCAGAAATCAAATCTGAACTGAGGTTTTGTGACATCACCTTCTGGTCCTCTAGCCTAACCTCTGCCTCTTTTTTTCCTCATCAATCAAATACAAACATTGCCTGCCCGAAGGTAATGGGATCTTAGAACCTTGTGGACAAGGGGAATTTAATTGTCATTTAAACTCAAGGCAGGGTTTAAATGCCAGAAAAGTGGGACCTCATCCTTTGTCTGCATACTCCCAGTGATGGGGGGAGTTCATTGCTTCATAACGTGGACTGGTCCATTGTTGGGCAGCTGGGATGGCTAGAAAGCTCCCAGCACAGGGCAGGTCAGTAAGGGGCACTTGATCAAGATTTTTTTTTTAGTGAGTGAAAACCAAACAAGGCTGTAATTTCACTGCATTTTCTTTTACCCTGTCTCCTAGTTATGTCTTCTGTAACAAAGCTAAACATAGTCTGCGCGTATTGAAAGGTTATTACATGCCAGTCTCTATTCTGAGTGCCTTATGTATGTTAATAGTTTTAATTATTGCAGTACTCCAGGAAGTAGGTATTATTATTGTCCTCACTTTACAAACAAGGAAAATGAGGCCCAGGAAGATAATAATGACTCCAAGGTCACCCAGGGCCATTGAGACCCAGGCGTCTGGTTCTGGAGCCTGTATGTATATTGCTTTAGAGATAGGCTGTTCTCTCCAGTGTCCACAAGGAAGGCTAATCTGATGATGCCTGTGTTAATCTCTAGACATAGGCTTCAGGGGCCTTCCCATCCTGCCCCTCCCTCCATCCTCTTCTCTAGGCATGTTTGCCTAAAATGTGGTGCACCAGGGGCAAACTGTCTGTACGCAGGTGTAAGCTGTGGGTGTTGCTGCCTGAGTGAGGACCAGGCAGTAACTAGGGTTCCAGGGAGGTTACACAGTGAAGGGCAGTACCAAGGGCAGGTGTGCCGACTTCAGGTGAGCTGAGGTTGAGATGACCTGCTGTGGTTACTCTCTTCACTTTCTGAACAGAACAGATCTGCACTGATGACCCTAGACTGAGGCATGGCAAAGGCCTCCTCATTCAGAAGCCAGCCTTCCCAGGGAGGCCGTACCTGAGTGCCAAAGACCCAGGTCCCCCCTCTTCCTGAGCCGTCATCACTGTCATTGTGATTGTCACTGGATCACCCTTTCCCAGTCCCTGAGCATCATGAGGGCAAGGTCTGCTCGTAAGCATCATGTGCTTTAGAGTGCCAGAGTGCCTGGACACACAGCTTTCAGGAAGTACAGGTTTGAAGGTGAGCTTTTCAGAGGCACACCAAATGCAGCAGAATGACTGAATTCACTAGAATGGTGGGTGGCACTGGTTGTAGTAGGAAGTTAGTGCAGAGAAGATGTCTGTGGTGTGTGTGCACATGGTGCCGGTGTATTTCGGGTTGGGTATATTGTGTGTATGGTACATGCTCATGTTGGGGGTGAGTGCTGGTTTTTCTGATGTTTCGTGGGAGGTTCTTGGAACAAATACTGGGGAAAATTGGTCTACCCAAGGTGTGGTTGCTGATGTGCTGGAGATGGAGATCTGAATCATGTCCTGCCCTCTTCCTGAGCATGATGTATGCTGACACTTCTCACTGCACTCATCACGATACATTCTCAGAAACTTGCACCTGAACTCAGTCCTACAGAGGCAGAGAACGGACTTTCCTGGACAGTCTTTTCAGCACCCAGTGTGTGCTGGGTATGTGTCATGGGCATCTTGTGTGTGTGATGAAGATTTGTGTGTGTGTGTTTTATCAATGCATATTGTATGTATCTGTGTGTTTGTGTGTATGAGTGTGATGTGTGTGTTAGGTATGTGTCATGGGTCTATTGTTTGCATATGTCATAAGTATGTTCCAACAATATGCCAGACACTATATTAAACACTTTGAATGCTGTCTCCCTACTGATCATGAAGACACTTTTATAGGGTAGGTACTCTTGCTCTTCACCTCTTAGCAATGAGGGACAGAGAAGTTAAGGAATGGATCCAAGGTCATGCAGCTCACAAGAAACCAAGTTAACTCAGGTCTGGTTAATGCTAAAACCCTTGTCTTTAGGCCAGTGGTTCTCAAATTAGTGTTTGCACCTAAATTCCCTGGGGAACTTGTGAAAACACAGATCCCTGAAACTCACCTGTGGAGTTTCTGACTGAGTAGGTCTGGTGTGGGACTCAAGACTTGGTTTTCATAACACAGTGTTGCTGATGCCACTGGTCTGAGGACCACACCTGAAAACCACTGCTCTGATAGCTTCCCACTAATCTTCAGATGGAAAGAGAAGGGGAGAAGGTTGGGACCAAGACAAATGGCTCTAGATTTCTGACCACAAAGTGGACCAAGGATGTTACCAGCAAAATCAACACAGAGTTTTAAAAGTATTTTACATGGGGCAGAGCATGGTGGTTCATGCCTGTAATCCCAGCACTTTGGGAGGCCGAGGTGGGCAGATCACGAGGTCAGGAGATCGAGACCATCCTGGCTAACACAGTGAAGCCCCGTCTCTACTAAAAATACGAAAAATTAGCCAGGCGTGGTGGTGGGTGCCTGTAGTCCCAGCTACTCGGGAGGCTGAGGCAGGAGAATGGTGGGAACTGGGGAGGCGAGCTTGCAGTGAGCCGAGATGGAGCCACTGCACTCCAGCCTGGGTGACAGTGCGAGACTCCATCTCAAAAACAAACAAACAAACAAACAAAAACCAAAATTATTTTACATGGGAACTCATCTTCCTCACTGCATTATGGGTGTTTGGTTATAATGCCTAACATGCTATTTTAAAGGAAAAGGCAATTTCCCACCAAGAAGCTGTGTCTGTGTTTACAAGTTCCAAAACTCTATCCCATTCATCCTGAACAACAGCATGGTATGGTGCATCTTTCAAGGAGAAAAGAATGTTCTGTGTGGTATTCTCCATGCGTTAAATATTGTCTTCTAAATATTAACTCTACCCCAAAACATGGTCCCAGCCATTCTGCCAGTAAGTGCAGGAGATGGAAAACCCAGGCTCCTGGATAGGCACTCTTTGCCTGAACAGCACCACTGTCTGTGTGGCTCGGGGCCAATACTACTCATGCAGAGGGCTTTTGAGGATTGTGTGAAGTCATGCATGGAACCCCCATCAGTGTGTAGTAGATGGTAGGCTGGCACTCTTGGGGTGCATTGTTCCTGCTCTCCCTTTGTCTCTCTTTCTAGATATTCTCCTCCCCAGGATCAGAGATCAGGAGGGGAACTGGGGATAATGGAAAGCCGACAACCCCAAGAAAGGAGTCACATGGTTTTACCAGCTCTGAGTTTTTGCAGGATTCAGACTGAGTGGGGTGATGAGAAAATGAGGACAATGCAGCTGTTGATGTTTAATGTGATTATGAAGGGAAGCACAGGGTGGCTTCCATTTGCTTGCCCCTCCATCCGGCTTTGATTGGAAATGACTTGGGATTAAAATTGAGCCTCGGGTTCTGACCTTGACTGGCTCGGGTGTGTTGGGCAGGGCCAGGGTGCACCTCCATGGCTCTTCATTGGGAAATGGGTTTTTGGCACATTTTGTGAGCCAGGCCTTTCCATGTTTGCCAGATTGAAATTCTGTCTTGCAGAATTTATAGAGGTTGGTTCTGAGGATTTTAATTTGGTATGCAGCCTTCTGAATCTCTAGAAATATTTCCCGGATGAAACATTTGCCTGAGCTGAGATGCAGTTAAGGCCCAGTTAATCCTCCTGCTGTTATCTGTGGGATCTGGCCTAGCCTGACCCTGTTAACTGCAGTGAGGTTGCACTCTGAACCACAAGAATGGTCTGGTCCCTGAGGCATCTGGGGGCAGTAAGAGGGGCTTTGGAAGGAGACCCAAGTGTGAATCACCAGTTGCCAGGTGACAGAGCCATGTGTTCCCTTCCTTTCCCCTCTCCTCCTTCTCTCTCATTCTCTCCCTTCCCAGAGGTCATACCAGGTCTTGAGATCCTGCTAGGTGCCAGGTATATTGCAAGTCATTACCTCTTATCCTATCGGGAGTCTACTCAGTATCTTGCATTATCCCTGTTGTTTGTGGTAGTAAACAGGCTTGGAGAATGGGAGGATCTTACCAAAGGCCACACCACCAGCACATTCCAGAGTTAGAAAGTGGCTCCAGGTCAGAGCTTCTCTGGTCCTTTTTTCTTGCATGCAAAATGGGGCAAGAATAATACAAAATTCTTGTTGGAAAAAATCAGGCAACTTACATGGAATACTTTATGCAACACCAAGAATATAGTAGGTGCCCAATACAACTAAGCTTCTTTCCCTTTCATCACATTCCTGGTATCTAGATGCTTTCATATTCTCAGAAAACCCAACCTGCTTTAAATGTACCTCTCGGTTTATTTCTCATCCTAGACTTGGACTGTTTTAATGTTTTTTTCCTCCCATCTTTTCCATTCAACCATCTTGTTACTGACCCCCAGTAACAGCTAATTGGAAAATTAGCAACCTGTCAAGTTGGGTTAAACATCTACCTGGCAGCAGCACCCACATGCTCTATGTGCCACGCTTGATATTGCTCCAGCCATCTTCAGTCTTTAGAGACTGCATTTATAATATCAATGATAAAATCATTTTAAATTATTATTAACAATGGTAGCAAAAACTTATTCAGTATTTACTACACAAATGACCGTGCAGAGTGCTCAATGTGGCATATTTATTCTCTCTTTCCACCATTTATCAATGTTATGTGCTATTACCAGTCCTCACGTTACAGATGAGAACACTGAAGATGGGAGAAGTTAAGTGACTTGCTCAAGGTCACACAGCTGGAAAGCGGTAGAGCAAGGATTCTTGTGCCTTTGGCCATGAAGGATGTGCTCTCGGCCGGGATGTTGTTGTCTCCATGGTACTGACAGATAGGAAAGGGCAGGGGACCAGCTCAGCTTTGGAGTTAGGACACCTGGGTCTAACTCCTGGCCCTTCCAGGTAGAAGCTGTGACAGTAGGCAAGTCATTTTGTCTCTCTGTGTCTTTTTCCATAAAAGGAACCCTGAGTGGTGACGTTCAGTGGACACACGCTACTCCTGTTGGTCCTGTTGGTCAGATTGGTTTCCTGTTGTAAAAGCCAGGTTCTTTCTGAGTGGCTGATGTGATCTCAAACTGTTAATTTCTCTCTTGTTTTTCAGGTAATGAGCCAAAAAGATCATGTCTGAAATACAAGGAACGGTTGAGTTTTCGGTAGAGCTACATAAATTTTATAATGTGGATCTCTTTCAGAGAGGGTAAGTATGCTTTACAATTTGTGTGTGTGTGTGTGTGTGTGTGTGTTGTTTGTTTCTTTCCGTGGAAGAAGGTGGAGGTGGGGAAGTCAGATTATAGGAAATTTGGGACTAACGAAGAAAAGATTTTCATTGTGTTTTCTTGCCAAGTCAAAAATCCAAACCTTTATTGCATCTGAAAATAAACCACATATTGACAGAGACTAGAAAGTGCTAATTCATCTCCTCCCCCTGCACTCCCTTCTACCTACTCTCTTCTTGGTGGCTCTTTCTAATACATATGTCAATTTTAACGGGAAGTGAATTGATGGAAAATGAAGCTTGCCTGTGTAGCTGTGGTAAAAAGGAGTCAGTGTGTTCAATACTGATGCTGATGCAGGCCATTACTTCAAAACCACGTATTGTAACACTTGTGCCTAGATCTTTCAAAAACTGATAAGGTTGGTATTTGCAAACATCAATTCATATAACTGAAGTATAATGCTTTCATCTTTTTGAGGATGCAGTCTGAATTTGGCATTTCACGTGCAGGTGATATCAGTAAATCCTCATGATAGACTTACCTCCAAGGCTCATTGTAAGTAATCAAGATGTGAAATGGTTATATAAGAAACCAAACACAGATGTGAACTACATGTCTTCATGATGATTGCTACTACTTTTGACATGTTACTGACACACAAAAAGCAAAGTTAATAGAAATTGAATTAAGTGTCCAATTAACAGCGCAAATTAGTACAGAAAACAAGGGGTATCTATCCATTTGCTTTTGTTGCATAACGAACTTTTCTAAAACTTAATGGCTTAAAAACAACAACTTAGTTTAGCTCATGAGTAAGCAGTTTGGACTGGGCTCAGCTGGGCGGTTCTACTGAGTTAGATGTGGCTTGGATGATCTCACTGGGCTCGCTCACAGGTCTGGGGCTCCCAGCTGGGCTGTTGTGGTTCTCCTTGTGGCCTCTCATCCTCCAGCAGGCTTGGGCTATCAAGAGGGGAAATACACAAAATCTCCTGTTGTTCAGTCTTGGAATTTGCATAAAGTTGTTTTTCTAATACATTCCACTGACCAAAGCAAGTCACAAGGCCAGTCCAGCTTTAAAATGAAGAAATAGATACCATCTCTAGATAGAAGACTAAGACTCAATGTACATTTTAATAATCTACCTCCAAGATTAGACTCCAGTTGTGAAAAGACAACCCTGAGTTTAATGCTTCAAGTGCCTCTTGTGTGCTATGGCCCCTACTTACTTAAGGATGAAATTCAGTGAGGCTGAGTGGTTTTGGCAGGTGACCTGAACTCCAGGCAGTGAGAAGAATGGGAAATGGTTCTGAGATCAGCTTTCTGTTTCAGGGAAGGAGGCATATGAGGAGGGGTTTTGGGCAGCATTCACAGAGGCTGAGCTTTAATGAGGCAAAGGTCTGTGCATCCTTCTGGAAGTCCTCTTGCCATTGGTCCACCTCTCATTTGATCAGAAGTCACATTGTATATTGATAGGAGCCCTGGGCTTGGGGCCAGTACTCCTGAGTCCAGGCTGTGCTACTGCTTCAGGAGCTCCTTTGGCACCACTCCACTCTGCTTTTCAGGTTCACGTTTACAAGAAAAGCAAGCGATTTTGATAATGTCAGGTTTCCATCATGGTATTAGACATTTTTCTTGTTTGTCTTTTCCTGACTTTTCATAACAAACCGTAGAACTAAGCAGTATTATCTTCATTTACCAGATAGATAACTTGGGATTAGGGAAGTAGAACAGTACATAGCTCTAACATAGCAGAGTGAGGAGCTGAAGCTAAGTTTCTCTCATTCAAAATCATGTATTATTTTATATTATTTTATTATTTAAGGTGCAAAGTGGGCTGCATTCTCCCCAGGGTGCACAAGACAGCCATCAGGATGTGGAAAGAAAGTATTAGAACGTCTATTTACAATTGCTTTGGTGAAAAAGAAAAAAAAAATGGAAATCAAGCTTCACTAATAATTAGAATCCAGATTGATGTGGAGGACCTTGCTGTTTCTGTATGGCAGAATCCCGTTCAGTAACTTAGGTCTCAAGAGCAAAGAGGGAGTTTGTAACACAGACTGACATTGCAAAATACTGCAGTGTGCAACTGGCCAGTTACATACAGCTCTAAATTGATTTCTAGTTTTAACTTCACTAAGCCTCATATCGTTGGTTATGAAGAGTTAGGAAAAGACAAATAGAAAAATGTCTAATACCATGATGAATCATGAATTGAAGATAATATTAATAATGGAAGCATACTAAATACCAGGAAATGCCAGAACCAACCACATTTATCCTACTTCTTACAAAAGCCTATTGATACACACAGTAAAAATTAAAGATGATAAGCTAATCTATCTAACAATAAGTAGAGAGTGATTTAGTTATATTTTAAAAACTATTTGATATATAGACTTGTAAGCATAAATACTTACAATGCACCTTATTCTAAATGGATATTGGGCCTTGAGATATTGACAGTCTTACACAAAATAATCACCGTTAACAAAATATTTCAAAATAACACATCCAATAGACCCTTGTTGAGTTGTTAAAAAGCTTGAAAAATGAGGATAAAAATCATCACCTATTCAGCAAGCCTAGGATACTCTTCCCTTTTTTCTAGATCAGTATGTTTTTGGGAAGCATCTCGTTTATCCATGCTCACCACTAAAGTCTCATATTGAATTAGGATAAACTAAAACCAGAACTTGGAACCACTCTAATGTTTTTTGGGAGAACAAAAATGCTACGTGATCAGCCAGGCATGGTGACTCACGCCTGTAATCCCAGCACTTTGGGAGGCTGAGACAGGTGGATCACTTGAGTTTGGGAGTTTGAGACGAGCCTGGCCAACATGGTGAAAGTCCATCTCTACCAAAAATTCAAAAATCACCTGAGAGTGGTGGCGGGCACTTGTAATTTCAGCTACTTGGGAGGCCTAGGCAGGAGAACTGCTTGAACCAGGAGGTGGAGGTTGTAGTGAGCTGAGATTGTGCTACTGCACTCTAGCCTGGGTGACACAGCGAGACTCCATCTCAGAAAAAAACCCAAAATGTTATGTGATCTATTAATATATAAAATATCTATTTTTAAAACATGGATTATTATATCCTTCTCTCTCTTTAAAAAACCTTTTTCTATATTTGTAATGCATATTATATATGAGGATAATTGTACATGTATAGTATTTATAAATAAATATACATATATTGGGGTTTTATACTCAAGAATGGTTTTACAGATAAGCATGCAAATCATTAATAGTTGGAGACCACTCGCCCAGAAGATTAGGAATATTCTTACAAGCTTCTAGCTCTTAAGGCTAGCATTTCACGGTTTTAAGGAAGGTGCGTATTTAGGCACATACTTCAGATGTGGATGAGGGCATAATCTTATGACTACATATGCTTGAGGGTCACTTGATTGCAGTTACTTCTATGGACAGGTCTGAGCGTGGTTTTGGTGAAGTGAATTAGACCTCTCAGGTGGATGCACACTGTTTTGTAATGATGTCTCACATCTCTACGGTCTCATCAGCAACAAAACCTTGCACTTGTTAACCACCAGCCTCCTAGATCCTGCCTTTGGGCAGCTGTGGACAGACTGGGCATGATGCCAACCAGGATTCTGCATTTGCCGGGGGTGTTCCTGACAGGCATGATCCCTGATGCTCAAGTGCTAAGTATTTTTCTCCTCTGAGTCCCACAGGAGCTATGCTTAAAATGAAGTGTAATTACTTTATCCAGCAAGTGTTCCATGGAGAGGGCATGGCTACAATCCAAGCCTGGTGTGCAAGGTGGGGCCCCAGGGTAGCTTCTGAAGAAAAGCAAATGGTCTTCTGACATTAGTAAGGAGAAGAAATGTAGATTTTGGGGAAGTTGGTTCCTTTTTGGGGTGCGAGGATGTGTGATTAAATGTGTGCTCTACAAGGTCTTTGGGATGGTAAAAATTAGAGTTGGGGATTGCAAGAGAGGGAGAGTACCCTTTCTCAGACTGAGCCTGACTGTGGTCTTCCAAGTTCCACCTCATTTACATAGTTTATGAGAAATATCTCCTCCATCCAAATGTTGCAGCTCATTGTTACATAGCTGGCCAGAAAGAAACCTCCCCTCCAGTTTTTATAAGATGCTATGTTGGAAGCATAAAGATAAAGAAGAAAGAATATTGCCTGATAATTTGTCCTGATCAGGGAGTTCCTTGCTTCTACCACATTTATATTCATGGGTGTTTGTTCCAGTCTGAGAATGCACACTGCCTTGTAATGATGTTGGCTTTGAGCGAACAGTCAACATGCCTTCATCCAAAGTCTATATGGACTGACACAAATTCTCAAAGGGAAAACTTTTCCTCAAACCAGTCATCAAGAATCATACGATATCACCCCCACATTCAGCAGTAAGACTCATGCTGACAAAAAGTCAGGGGCAGGGAAGTACTGAGGACCTGGCTTTGGGGTCAGACCTTAATTTGAAGCCATGGTCTGCCATTTTTGAGCTCTGAGGACTTGGAAACTTCCCCCAACCCAACATTGTATGGCCTGTAAAATGGTGGTGACAAAGTCTGTCTTGTGGGGCAATCTGAAAGTTTACGGCATTAATTAATATAGGCAGAGAAGGTAGTAGGGTACTTTGTATCTAGCAGATGCCAACTAAATTTTCACTACTACAAGTACAGCCTTGTCTCTAACCTGTCATTAACACTATTAATGGAGTTACTACCCAAAAAGGTTGTCATGACCACCTTGCTTCCCTCTTTAAAACCCTCCCAGTTTCTTTTTGCTCTCACTCATCAGACAATTCTTGGCCCTCTTCCCCCTAGCATCTCTCTTGAAAATTCTATGCTATACAAGTTCCAGCTCAGTATAACCTCCTCTCCCAACCATTTCTGCATATTGACATTTAGCTATTGTGTTCACCCCAGATTTTTGGAATCCGTAGCTTTTCCATATTCCTAAGGCACATCTGTACATGCTTTATTTGGTCATCTACTCATTCCCAAGGACACTAGTTGGCATATGGTATTGCTTTCAGCTCTAGAAACACTAAGATGAAAAGATAGAGCCCCTGCCATTGAGGTGTTTACCAGCTAATGAGAGAGGCTGACATATACATAGAAAATGACCATCAGTTCAAATATTTCAGTAAATCTTGAAGTTATTTTTACAGGGTATGTGTATCCCAATTAGATAACAATAATAAGTAATCGTACCATGTGTCATACCATTTATACATTATCCAATTTATCCTCGAAACGTCCCCAAGACTCTCTATAACTTCTGTGGCATGAAGAAACCAAGGCCTCAAGCTAAGTTTTTTGCCCAAGTACACACAGCTGACAAATGAGAAGGTCAGAACATCTGACTTCAAGCAGTATGTGCTATCCACCTTGCAACATCTTCTTCACATCTTAGAAGGTGACTTGAGGTTGTGGAAACAGCTATAAGTCATTCAGACCAAAGTCTCATAAATTAAAGGGTCACTCAACCAATGGCTGTCAGTGAAGACTCGCATGTGCACCATAGTCCATGCACAATACTACTTGAGGAGATGATCAGATGAATGGTCCCTACCATCACCAAATTGTGTAATGGTATTTGGTAAAAAAAAAAAAAAAAAAAAAGATATGGGGGTGGGGGATGGTGAGAGGGAGGTGGGGCTGGTTAATGGGTATAAAAGAAATTAGAAAGAATAAGTCCTGCTATTTGATAGCACAACAGAGTGACTATAGTCAATAATAATTATACATTTAAAAATAGCTAAAAGAGGGTGATTGGATTGTTTATAACACAAAGGATAAATACGCTTGAGGAGATGAATACTCTCTTCTCCATGAGGTGATTATTATGCGTTGCATGCCTATATTAAAACATCTTATGTGCCCCATAAATATCTGTACCTACTATGTACCCACAAAAATTAAAACTAAAATTTAAAATCAGGAAAAAAAGAAAATGGCCATCATATGCATGGTAGATGCTTGTCACTGAGACAGACTGGGGATACTATGAAGAAACAGAGAAGGAGGAATGCAGTCTCTAGGCAGAGTCAGAACAGATGTCTCGGAGTGAAATAACAGCAGAGCTGTCACTTTAAGGATGGATGTGGGTCAGCCCGACAAGGGACCTGGATATCAGAATGCTGAGCCCACCTGAAAGACCAAAGATGACAACTCATGGTTAAAGTGAAGAGTAAGAGTGGGGGAGTGGGCGGAGGTGAGAGGATTTATGAATTTATTTATTGCAGCATACTTTTTATTAGACTTGGAGATGTAGGGATGTGAGTGTCAACTGCCACAGACTTTCTAGACTGCGGAAGAGGAAACTGCAAAAAAGGAATGTTAGAGATGTAAAGTGTGGCTTTGCCTTCTTCTCTGTCAATGTGAGCTTCTTCAGAGTAAAGATCTGATCTTATTTGACTTTGCATTGCCAGTGCCCAGCATAGGGTCTAGTGCGTACTGGGAGAAAAATTGTAGCTTATCTTTCATTGTATTGAACTTCCTGTTTCTTCTTTCAAAATTTATTCAATTACAGATGAGTCACATGGATCTTCATTAAATGATAGTAATAGAAGATGATTCCAAATTCCTAACGTTCTATTTAAATCAATGCTGCTCAAATGGTGGCTCACGGACCAGCAGCATCCCCATCAGCTGGGAACACATTAGAAATGGAAATTCTTGGCTGGGCGAGGTGGCTCACACCTGTAATCCCAGCTTTGGGAGGCTGAGGAGGGTGGATTGCCTGAGGTCAGGAGTTCGAGACAAGTCTGGCCAACATGGTGAAACCCTGTCTCTACTAAAAATACAAAAAAATTAGCTGGACATGGTGGCATGCACCTATAATCCCAGCTACTCGGGAGACTGAGGCAGGGGAATTGCTTGAACCAGGGAAGTGGAGGTTGCAGTGAACTGAGATTGTGCCACTGCACTCCTGCCTGGGCAACAGAGTGAGACTTCATCTGAAAAAAAAAAAAAAAGAAGAAATGGAAATTCTTGGCCCTGGTCTCAGACCTACTGAGTCAGAATCATCTCTGGTTGAGGGGCTTAGGAGACCGTGTTTTAATATGTTCCCTGGGTGACTCTGGTTGAAGACCACTGCTGAAAGAGTTCCTGTGAAAATCTCAAACTTCATCATGTACTAGAAGTTCCTGGAAAACTGAAATTTTCATCCTCCAGACCAACTAAGTAAAAAAAATCTTCACAGTGGGACCGAGGTGTCAGCACTTGCTAAAGTTCCCGAGGTAATTCCAAGGTTGGAAATGATGGGATTAAGGCTAAGTGAAGATTGCACAGGCCAAGTAATCTCAGCCTCTCTTTGCTAGCCTCTTTATTATAAAGAAAATGAGACCCTGACTTCTACTTTCATAACCAGATTGCGAAGCCTCCTCTTCCCCAATAGGACACTGGATCTTAACTCCATTTATGCATTCTTCTGCTGTGGAAATTCCAGAGACTTTGTGTTAGCTTTCCAGCTTGGTGCTAGTGGTGAGAAAGCAGGAGGAATGGTCTTATTTTCATATGCAATACTTTTCCCCCAAGGAAATACTTTCTAAGTGAACAATTAATTATAAAACTCATTACATAGATATTTGTTAATCATCAGTATATCCATAACTCATTTGTATCTATTTACAAGAGCATGAACCTGCATTTCTAATATTGTTAGCTGAAATGGAGCTAACATTTGTCCTTGACAATGAATTCAAATTTGGTTTTAAATATTAATTCAGACAAAACTCTAAATCAAACTGATTTTCTTTCCGAGTAAGATTTTTCATTGTTTGATGTTGAGATTCATCCCCTGTCTTTCTTCCTCTCCTTCTTTACATATCATTTAGGAGATTTTCTCCCCAGTGGCTTTAGATGATTTTACTGAGAAATTCTGTTCTCATCCACAGAACAGTCTCACAAAAAGGACCTATAATCAGTATTATCAGAGCTGATGTAAAAGTGTGAAGGCTCATAGAAATGTTAGGATTGAAATCTCCTTTGAACGTACTCACCTGCCTTTTCTCTACCAAAGTGGAAATGGTTGAGTTGAAAGTCAAGTGCTTCCTGAAAGACAATGTCATCTTGTGTTTCTACCTGATGTGTCCCATCACTGCCTAATGCCCAGCGACATCCAGCTCCCCTGTGAAGTTAGCTAACTAGCCCTAATGTGCCTTAATAGACTCAGAAATACAATTATCTTTGCTTGCCAGTGATTAATTGATTTGTCTGGTTCTGTCAGAAACAATCTTTTTTCCCCACTTCTCTTATTAAAATATGTTGAGATCCTTTTCATTCATTCCCACACTTTTGAAAGTGAGTGGGAATTATAAATATTTGAGAGCTGCATTGAGTGTTCAGCTTTGCTTGACTAAGAAACAACTGTTAGAGAGCTGGGCAGTCAGCATGCAGGTGAACCTTCAAGTTTAACATTACGACAGCTTTGACAATGGTGCATTTGTGAAGGTAGAGTGTCCACCATGATGAATGGTAGGTGGGTATGATTTGGACACACCACAGAAGCAGTGGATTTAATGCATCATTCCAGTCTCATGACTTTTCAGTTGTTCAAGCCAATCCATTCCTTTTATTTTTGTTAAAGCCAGTTTGATGTAGGATATTGATCACTTACAGTCAGTGTTTCATCTAGCACAAAGGGGTAGGTAGCCTTGTTCATCTCTGAGTCTTTTTTTCTCTAAAATTCCATAAATATTATTTTAATAACAATTTTACATCCCCCTTTCATACAATGACATTATTATCATTGTTCCTATGATGAGTGAATAGACTTCAGTTACCCAAGTGCTTATGTAGATGAACATTCTGGATTATTTTTTGGACAAATCCACATTCCTGTTAATGATTGCCCTGTCCTATTTTTTTTTCTCAATTTACCTTTTAATCTGTGACTTCATGAGCCTGCTGCTTTGAGCCTTTTATCCTCTTAACCCCTGGCTGAGGACAGGCTCAGCAGGTGTATAAAGAAAAGCTCTTTCTAGGGGACCGGACATTGACCTGCTGAGATTTAAAATGCCTCTGGTGAGCTCAGAGCCACCCACAGGGCCCAGATACTTCCTGGTGGAATCAAAGGCAGAGCAGAATGCCACTGGGAAGTGTGGTCCTTTCTAGTTTTGTGCTGTAAAAGAACTCTGTACTCTAAAGGTACTTGACGGTTCTCACTGAGGTCTCTTAAGTAGAGTAAAAGGTCATGTGGCCATGAAGGTAGGATAATAGAAAATCAGAGACATTTAAGAGACACATATCCTGGTTCTAATTTCATTTATTCTATTATTAGCAGGGTACCCATGGGCAAGTTATTAAAATTTTTAAATCTCACTTTCTTCATTTGTTTTGCAGAATCTATTAAATGTCCATGAGGTGATATTTGTAAAGCACCTAGTAAAATAGAGGCCCAGGTTTTACAGTACAAGCCAAGAGGACCCAAGCCCTCTATGGACTACTCCATTGATTGTAATTGAGACTCTGAACCAAACATCCTCAGCTGGTCAGTGCCAGGGCTAGAACAGACTGTCGATCTGGTCAAGCTCTGAATGTATGTTCCTCTCTACATTTTATGCAGGTACTTTATACTTATTCCAGCTAATTCCTCAGGAAGGGGTCTTCTTGCCACTTAAAAACTTAATTGATATGGTTTGGCTGTGTCCCCACCCAAATACCATCTTGAATTTTAGCTCCCATAATCACCATGTGTTGTGGGAAGAACCTGGTGGGAGGTAATTGAATCATGGGGGCAGATTTTTCTTGGGCTTTTCTCGTGGTAGTGAATAAGTTTCATGAGAGCTGATGATTTTAAAAAGGGTAGTTCCCCTACACATGCTCTCTTGCCTGCTGCCAGGTAAGATGTACCTTTGCTCCTTTTTCACCTTCTGCCATGATTGTAAGTCCTCGCCAGCCATGTGGAGCTGTGAGTTCATTAAATTACCCAGTCTTGGGTATTTCTTCATAGCAGTATGAAAATGGGTTAATATACTAACGGACACCATGTTTATTCCTATCGGCTTCAATAGGATAAATCACATTTTCTCTTTTTTACTTTACATCTGAGATCTACAAAGTGAAAATGCCACGTTTCTAAAGAAATGATAGCTGTAGGGACACTAGGGAAATATAGTCAATAAAATATACTAAACTCTAGAATGTTTCTTTCCTAGAAGTTTTTTGAGTAGATCTTGGGCCAGAGGAGGTATAAGAAAGAGAGTGGGATCCTTCACTGCTCTTGTTTTTTTTTCCCATGAATTGTCAGATATTGCTCAAAAGCAGTTTTAAATGTATTCCTTTAGATATCTTCATTTTAAACTTTCAGTTGCACACATATATGTATCTGTGTATGTTTATAGTTCTGATTACATAAATATGCATACTGTGGAAATAAGAAAAAGTACAAAGAAAAATGTCATCATATTCTTTCACTAGGCACAAACTATTTTATATTCACATGTATTTTCCTTCACAAAAATGTAGTGTATAAGTTACTCTCTGTTTTTCTCACTTTCCAAGTTATAAACATTTTCAATAACCCTACATATTTTTACAACATAATTAATAACTACACAGAATTCCATCATGTGATTCTATTATAATTTATTTAACCAATGCTGTATTTTTGGACATTTCACTTGTTTTATAGTTTTAGTTTTAATATTATAATGCATTTAAGAGCATTTTATAAATGGGGGAAAAACATGTTGCTATGCAACAGTAGCACAAATTTTCATAATTTCATTATTTAAAATTGTCTTTTTTTCTTTAGGAAACTATTCTCTATTGATAATATAAATAATATGCTCTAAAAATGAATACATCTTGCTGCTTGTCTTGCTTTGTAGTCCAGGTTAATGTTCATGAAGATTCATATTCTCTTTGATCAAACTCTTCTATCATTGAACAAGGTGAGGGAGGAAATGATCTTTGACTTAATTGTCCTCATATACTCCCAAATCTCTTCTGCTCCACCCCTTCTAAAACCTCTGCAAAAGACATTTCACAAAGCTTAGAAGAATTAAACATAGATTAAGAAACTTCATGGTATTAGGTAATGGATCTGCACTTTTTAAGTGAGAGGAGTTTTCATAAACAGAAAATGTCTACAAATCTTCCATTCAGCTGATGTAAGGGTTTCCGTGGCTCCACAGACCCCAGCCATTGACACTCAGGTAGCTGAGTTACTGTTTAGAAACTTTTGGAAAAACGGAAGACACCATTGGAGGCTGTTCTGATGTCCTTCCTCAAAGTAGGGAGATCTTTGCTTTCACCATCATACATTGTGTTCTCAGACCAAGTAAAATTTGGTGTTTTATTTGAAAAAATCACTTCACCATCATTGGGTGAAACTGTCTTTTATGTCTCAACCCAATGGAGTTAACCAGAATTCTTTGGAGAAGAAAAATTTTGAAATTCTGTGTTATTACAAATAACCTCATGTAATTCTCACAATTCTACAAGGAATATTGTATTATCCCTAAATCATAGAGGAAGCAGAGGCTCACATGGGTTCAATATCTGCCCTGGTTTTGAACGTTCTGCAAGTGGCCACTTGAAAGAATTCATTCTTGGATGCCTAGACTCTAGCGTTCACATACTCTTATGTTTTCTCTCACTCGCTGGCTCTCTCTTTCTCTCTCTCTCTCTCTCTTTCCCTTTCTGTCTCTACCATGCCCCCCTCAACACACCATTTTAGTCCTTTTGTGCTGCTATAACAAAATGCCTGAAACTGGGTAATTTGCAAATGGCATACACTTATTTTCTCACAGTTCTGGAGACTGGAAAGTCCAAGATCAAGATACCAGCATTTGATGCCTGGTGAGGGCCCTAGTGCTGTGTCCTTACATGATAGAAGGGGCAAATGCTGCCCTGTCACATGGTGGAAAGTGGAAGGGAGAAAAAGCTTAAGCTAGTTCCCTCCAGGCCTTTTATAAGTCACTCATCCACTCATGAGGACAAAGCCCTAATTACTTAATCACATTCCAAAGGGCCTCACCTCTTAACACCGTTAGGAGGGCATTAGGTTTCAACATACAGTTTAGAGGGGACACATTCTTACCATAGTGCCACAGTGCATATTTTGTTTTATTTGGCTCACACAAGGGCATTCAAATGTTGTGATGTCTTTCTCCCCCTATTTCTTAAATGCTATGCACTGCTGCAAACAGTGAATTTATAGAGCGGTACTCTCAGGAGGAAATTATACTCAGACTTCCCTTTCTCACTGCTTGGCACCTGCCAGGGTCTCTTCCTTGAATAACGAGAAGATAATGTGGGTTTTGAGAACTGAATCCTTCCAGCCAATGACTGACAGGCGTGAGAGATACTTTCTTAACCAACTGCACTCACATTTCCATAATAAAAGTTTAGTCTCCAAATAGAGTCCTCAGAAGTGATCATGGTCCCCTTTTTCTCCTTCCTTAAAAGAGAGTGAATGATTTTTTTGTCCTTGTGATAGTTTGCTGAGAATAATGGTTTCCAGCTTCATCCATGTCCCTACAAAGGACATGAACTCACCATTTTTTATGGCTTCATAGTATTCCATGGTGTATATGTGCCACATTTTCTTAATCCAGTCTATCATTGTTGGACATTTGGGTTGGTTCCAAGTCTTTGCCGTTGTGAGTAGTGCCGCAGTAAACATAGGTGTGCATGTGTCTTTATAGCAGCATGATTTATATTCCTTTGGGTGTATACCCAGTAATGGGATGGCTGGGTCAAATGGTATTTCTAGTTCTAGATCTCTGAGGAATCGCTACATTGTCTTCCACAATGGTTGAACTAGCTTACAGTCCCACCAACAGTGTAAAAGTGTTCCTATTTCTCTGTGGAAATTGAACAATGAGAACACTTGGACACAGGAAGGGGAACATCACACACCGGGGCCTGCTGTAGGGTGGGAGGAAGGGGGAGGGATAGCATTAGGAGATATACCTAATGTAAATGACGAGTTAATGGGTGCAGCACACCAACATGGCACATGTATACATATGTAACAAACCTGCATGTTGTGCACATGTACCCTAGAAAAAAAGAGAGTGAATGAGAAAAGAGTCCCCTTTGGCTCACTCACTTCTTGCCGATGTTTTCCTCCTCAAAAGGAATGTGTGATGTTTCTCCCATGGCATTTTCATACAAATCCCCCCTTGAAAGATAAACCTCAGGGTCATTTTCCTTCGTTTATTGATTTACAGACTGTCATCAATTTGCTCATTTAGGAGACCTTGAGCTCTTGCTCTTGTTGGCTCTATCCTAAGAATTCTGGGCAGAGCAATGAGAAAGACACAATTGTGAACTCAAGTTGCTCCTGATACAGTGTAAGAGAGACAGGTGGAAGTCAAGAAAGTGATGTCAGAAATGGAAGTTAAACATGGACAAGATGTTGATGGAGGACAGAGAACTCCCAAAACGCCCACCCAGGAGGTATCAGGATGGGTTACTTGGAAGAGAGGGCATTCACAAGCCAGATAAAGACTGGAAGGGGGTCTCAGGCATTGAGAAGGTATGCACAAAGGTACAGAAATGGAAAAGGGCATGTCATCTCCTGGGTAGTGCTAGGGTTTTCAAGAGTACTGCATACAAGTGTTTTGTTTTGTTTTGTTTTTGATAGAGTAGGAGGGATGGGGCTAGCCAGATTCCAGGGAGATTGATCATGAAGGGTGTGTGTGTCCCCTTCTGGAGCTGGGATTGTATCTATAGATAAAGGAAGACTATGAAACAATTTGAGTAAGGGAGTTGCTTGATTGTATGTGTAACAGAAATGACACATTAGAATCAAAGAGGATGACAGCTGGCGTGGGGAGAAATTATTAAAGAGGTGAAGGTAGCTCAGAAGGAGAATAATTGAGGACTGCTGAGGTAATGGAATGAAAAGAATTGGTGTTTTTGCATTGTGTTGAGGGGAAGGGAAAAGTTGCAGTGATGGTTAAGAAGTTCCCTTGGGTGAATTAGTCAATAAAGCTGAAGGAGAAGAGGATCAAGCAGCAAGAGGAGTTGATGTGAGTTTATAGGTCTAAAGGCAATGGGATATCTGAGTGCAGAGGCCAGGTGAGAATCTGGGCTGGGATTCATCAGCTCATAACCGTAATTGAGCTTGGCTGAAATCACTCAGTGACTATACAACACTAGCACAGGTGTGTGAGCTCAGACTGTGCCAGGAGTTTTTACTGTATCAACTCACTTGATGCCATCCATAGACCTGTGAGATAGGTATTATTTCACAGATAAGTACACTGAAGCCCAAGGTCACTTGGCCACCCTATGACAGGGTTTGGATTCATAGCTGTTTGTCTCCAGAGCCAGTATTATGAAGTCTAAATTTTATTTTGTTGGTAAGACCAGACTCTAAAGAGAAAATTCACAATTTATATATATTTGAAGGTGAAGAAACTTGCAAAAGAGTCTCAGCTAGAGCTATTGGAGAGATGCAAGGAAAATTAGGAAAAACAATTCAAAGAATCAAAGAAATGTGAGAGCCAGAAGGTGGGAGCATCCCAAGGCTAAATGTTGCAGAGGAATCAAGGGTATAAGGACCAAAAAGGATCCTGATATCAGCTCAGGAGTCAAGAATAGCCTTTGCAAAAATAATTTGTCTATATGATGAGAGCAGCAGCCAGAGAGCCTTGTGTGCAAATATGGATGAGAACTGATCCTGAGAGGAAAATCTCACCATGTGCTTGGGGGAGCTGACATATAAACCCGGTTTTACTACTCAATATGGTCGGAGACAGAGAAGGCTTCCTAGAGGAGGTAGAAAAGCATGCATAGGAGTTTGGACTTTCTCTCCTAGGAATGGTACAGAAGGTGTGAGTGTGGAATGTTTCAAGTAGGGGAGTGATGTGATCGGATATGGGTCAGAACATCATTTGGCTGAAGTGTGAAGAGCAGATTGTAGCAGGGAGAGGCATTGCCTGCCTAGAACATAGTTGGCACTCACATATTTTAATTCACATTTATTGGATGAGGTGTCTTATGTTAGCTGGCTATTGATGAAGGAGACATGTACTGAGCAGTGTGACAAAGTTCCTACTGCACTCCAAATCCTATTGATGAGTAGTTTCTGAGATGTTGGGGTTAGGTTTATATAAAACTTAAGTCTCACTACTGATTTCTCTCTTCCCTGAATTAGGGAGCTATAGAACCATAAGAAACAGTAATGGAATGGAACCAATGTACTTTATTTATAGCTGGGAACATTCTCAATACCCTCCTAGTGGGGGGCATTGAGGAAAACAGATTGAGCAATAAGTGTAAGACATAGGCATGGATGCCAAAATGGGATTTCTTTCTGTCTCCCTCCACCCTAACTGAGATAAATCTTTAGACTCAAGTGTTTAGAGACAGAGGGTCAGGGAGAGTGAAAGGAGAGAAGATGAATGGATGCCTGGCTCCCAGGAGGAACCCAAGGTCCATCAGCCAAGTTTTGTTTACTGAATACAAGGGAAAAACAGAAGCTAGTCATAAGACTGTGCATGGTTCTTGATATTTTTTGTTTATTTATAATATTTACAAGGTGATGTTTATTTTAGACAGTTGTACACATCTATGGGGTACACCTGATATTTTGATACATGCATACAATGTATAATGATCAAACTGAAGTAATTGGGATACACATCACCTCAAACATTTATCATTCAGATTTGATATTTAAAGCAATTAACCCCCTACTTATTATTAAAATGCATCCCAGTAAAAATCTTGGCCTTTAAACAGTCAAATTGGCAAAGCTTCATTGCCTGGGTGAAACTGTTTCATGGGTTTAAACACTGTCTGGGTGCCAATGGTTTCCCAATGTCTGTAATCAGTCAGCCTTCATGTGGCCCCTTCTAGACCTAGAGTATTATGCACAGAGCATTATGTCAGTGTTTCCAAGGTTCCATACAGGATCAGTCAGAAAAGTACTTAGTTAATAAAAAAATAATCTGGTCGAACGTAGTGGCTTACACCTGTAATCCCAGCACTTTGGGAGGCCGAGGCGGACAGATCACCTGAGGTGAGGAGTTCAAGACCAATCTGGTCAACATGGTGAAACCCTTTCTGTACTAAAAATACAAAAATTAGCTGGGCATGGTAGCACATGCCTGTAGTCCCAGCTACTGGGAAGACTGAGGCAGGAGAATTGCTTGAACCTGGGAGGCAGAAGTTGCCATGAGGTGAGATTGTACCACTGCGCTCCAGCCTGAGCAACAGAGTGAGATTCCATCTTAAAAAAAAAAAAAAAAAAAAAAAAGATCTGCCCTAAGCATGTAGGAATTTGTGGTGTCTTGGTTTTCTAGGGTTGCTGTTACAAAGTATCCAAAACTGGGTGTATGAAGCAACAGAAATGTGTTGTGTCACAGTTGTTGGGTCTAGAGGTCTGAAATCAAGGTGTAAGTGGCATTTCTTCTTTCTCAGGACTGCGAGGATCCGTTCCATGCCTTTATCCTGGCTTCTGGTGTCTTTTCTGTTAATCTCTGATGTGCCTTGGCTTTTCAGTGCATTACTACAGTTTCTGCCTTCACCTTCACATAGTGTTCTACCTGTCTCTTCACAGGATCTTCCCTCTGCACATCAGCCTCTGTGTCCAAACTTCCCCTTTTATAAGGACACCAGTCAGATTGGATCAGGGACCACCCTAATGGCCTTGTTTTAACTCTATTGGGCTTTCTTAGACTCTATAAAGACCCTGTTTCCAAATAATGCCACATTCTGAGGTACTAGGAGTTAGGACTTGAGCATATCTCTTTGAAGGGGACACAATTCAGCCTGTACAGGTGACATCTGCTAGTTTTGTGTAGAGGGAACACAATTTGGAAAAGCATAAAAAGGCATGCCTTATATGTGAAGTAACAAAATTTTGGGTAGATTCTGTATGGATTTTGTCAGGACTGAAGGGGGTTTCCCATAATGTAAGACTTTCAGGGCTAAGACCATGAAAGTCCCAGGCAAACTGCATTGAGTTGGTCACCCTAGGGTTACATGGTGAATGATGACTTTGGGGAGGTAAGCAGGTTATATGGCAACGACATTAGATATGAAGACCATGGACATTATCTGGTGGTGGGTAGGCACCACAAGGTATACAAGGCAATAGGAATGACAAGTATACAGGTATAAAATGTGGAAGTTCTGGGAATTAGCTTATATATCACACAGCTTAGCTTCCTTAATGTATGAATAAGGAAACAGGGCATAGGAAAAAGAAGCTTTGCCTTCAATAGATAAACAGCTGGGAGGTGGAAGAATCCTCTCAGAATCTCAGCTTTCTGATTCCTAATCAAGGCCTTTTCTGTTTCACAACCAAATATTCCAGTGTATTCAATGGAACATTAGTCCTTCAGATACAGCCTACAATATCTCTCTCTTGGGATTTTTACAGCAGCAATATTTCTCCACGTGTGTCACAGATGTGTGTGTGTGTGTGTGTGTGTGTGTGTTGTAGAAAACCTATTTACAATTCCTGATTCTAGTGTCCCAGTGAGCATCTCTTGGAGAATGGTTATTTTCCCCAAGCCACCTCCTTTCATGCATCAAAAGGATTGATTTGCAAAATTGTCCTAAGCTGGATTTGATTAGAGGGTTGGAATGGTTGGTTGCCTTGTGCCCTTGTCTATTGGCCTCCTTTTGAATAACGGCATGGGAATGTTGACTTAGGTGAAAGAACGGGATAGTATGTTTTGCTGTCTGTTTACATGAAGCACTTCATGTAACATATTCTGGGTTTCATCTTTGAAATATCATGAGAATGAGGAAACTTCTCAGATGAGTACACAAAGGAAATCCAAAGGAGTTTGCTTGGGGACTGGGATTTGGGTCCTGGCATCTGATATCAGAGTGACTGAGTGTAGTCTTTACTTCAGGACATCTGAGCGATGGTGGTCATGGCCAAGGTACTTAATCTCTCTCATCTGAACATGGAGAATAACGATAGAGTCCACCTCACAGGTCTTTTGTGGACAAAAAATTGTGTGTATTGTTCTCAATAAATTTTAGCTATGTGGATATTCTTGATCATCATCATGAAGATGTTTATCCCATAATTTGTCTGAGGGAACACTATGGCAGGTGAATGGTATGTCCGGGATTGAAACCTGAATCTGGCTCACTGCAGAACTTATGGATTCTTGAACATGCTTTCCATTTCTGGCTCTGCTTTGCTCATCTCAGCCTGCAGAAAAGTGGGCCTGTATGAGCCACAAAACTACCTCTATTGAGAGTTTGTCTGTCCATCCATCTATCCTCACACATAAGTATTCATTCATTCACTCATTCACTCATTCATTCATTCATCTATTTTATCTCTCATCATACACATATCAAATATGTCATTTGTGGCCAGCCGTATGTCAAATGTTGGGGAATTTAAGAAAGAAAGAAAAAGTGAAAAAGAAAGAACCAGCCTTCCTTAATCCCTACTATATCCTGCTATATCCTAGGGATTGTGCTAGACATTTTATCTACATCATTTCGTTTAATTATCCTGGAGAAGCAGATACTATCTGTTCTGTTTTACACATGAGTAAACAGCCTTCAACAGAGTAAAGCAAAATAACTTACTTGAAGCCATGCAGGGTACTCTGTGAAGGGTGCAGGATCCTGTTCCAAGTCTGTCTCACTTCCAAGTCTACATTCTTTCTCCAAAGGCATGGAGTTTCCCTTCCAAAACACATGTTCTGGGTCCCTATTCCCAAACAGCTCCCAACCTTATTGAACAGTGAAGAAGTGAGGAGGCACAGAGGTACATCCTTTGCTTTTGTTGCTGCTACTTCACAAGGGGCATTAGCCCAGGTGAACTGAAGGGGGTTTCCTGGAATGTAAGACTTTCAGTGCTAAGACCACGAAAGTCCCAGGCAAACTGCAATGAGTTGGTCACCCTAGGGTTACATGGTGAATGATGACTTTTGGATGACCTCCTGCCTGCCCATTTTGGCTGGCCTCATCTAGTCTGGTGCCAGAGGGGCCTGGGCCCTGGCCACAACTCTCTGCTCCAGACAGATCTCTGGGCTTCCCCATCCATGTTTAAAGTCCAGGACACTGGGCACGTGTTGACAAACCTGGGCACTCTAAGCCTGGCCAATTATGCCCCAACCATGTCCTAAAAGAAGTAATTAAATGAATTGGAGATGAGTCAGAGCTGTGCAAGCACAATTTTGTGATCACAAATGGTTTCCCAGGAAGATCAATTGGATTCACTCTTAGTTTCTCTTAAGTCCAGAACTAAGACTGAAAGTGAAAAGAAGGTAGATTTTAAAGGTTCACTACCAGAAACTGTTTTCTAATGAATTGTCCTCAATGAAAAGGGTTGTTGTGGGCAGTCATTAGTGTCCTTACCAGAAGAAGATGTGTTAATATAGTTGGGAGTCTAGGAAAGCTACTGCCAGGGAAGAAAATGGTGAAGGATTGAGTCACAGGTCTTAAAGCATTGTTGTTTATAAAGTGTTTATTTTCTTTTGTCGTGTTGAATTTTATAAAGCAAACCGATGTATAAAAGAGGAAAAAAGGCCAGGTGCGGTGGCTCACGCCTGTAATCTCCGCACTTTGGGAGGCCGAGGTGGGCGGATCACCTGAGGTCAGGAGTTCGAGACCAGCCTGCCCAACATGGAGAAACCCTGTCTCTACTAAAAATACAAAAATTAGCGGGGTGTGGTGGTGCATGCCTGTAATCTCAGCTACTCGGAAGGCTGAGACAGGAAAATTGCTTGAACCTGGGAAGTGGAGGTTGCGGTGAGCCGAGATGGAGCCATTGCACTCCAGCCTGGGCAACAAGAGTGAAATTCCTTCTCAAAAAAAAAAAAAAAAAAAAAAAAGAGGAGGAAAAAGAAGAACTAATCTGATTGTTGTTGCATGGGGGGCAACTTTGAGCCTTCTCCTTGGAACATGAGGACCTCATTGTACATATTTGAACCACTGGGATAACAACAGTAAAAATAGTCATAGTAGAATTAGCCAACAGTCACTGAACATTTACTGTGAGCTTGGTACTCTTCCAGACTTCATATTTATTATCTCATTTATTTCTTAACCTCATGAAATCAGGACTATAATTCTACCTCCGTTTTGTAGGTAAGGGAACCAAGACACAGAAGCATGATGTAACTTACTCGAGGTAACCCTGCTGGTCTGAGGCAGAGCTTGGCTGCCCGTTGTGAGATCAGATTGGGGAATCTCTAAGGTCATATTGATCCCTACCAGTCTGATTGTCCTAGAACAGGTGTGATTGGCTCAGGCCCTGACTTTCCGTCCTCTGGAGATCAGCAAGCAGAGTGATGATGGTAGGTGACTGACGACTGCAACTTGTATCATCTTAAGAATAAAAATAAAAAATCTCAAGGGGTTATGAGAGGGCTGTTAATTATAAAAGCAGCAGACTGTCTTTGTGTGCAATCCTGACTGGGCACCATTCCTTTTGGCTGTTTCCTTCTTGTGATCTTTCAGAAGCTTGGGTTTCCATGCACTACGCTCATGCAGAGGTGACCTGTGGGACTTTTAAGCCTCAGTGTCATAGGCTATGATGCCAGGGTTAAGGATCCCAGACTTCTATAAGCATTGCCATCTCTTTTGTTCTCTCACTTTGAGGCTCAGCCAATGACAGGCTCATGGATCATTGATACCACAGGAAGGGATGATTTGTGTTGTGAAGTGCAGAGCTCCATTTCCAGCCTTTCATATAGAAAGCATCGAGACCCATGACTTAGGTGGATTAGGACATGATGTTACTGAGACATTCTGTCAAGTCCCATTCCCTGAGTGAGGAGCCAGGTCCTCCTGGGGAAGACACTCTCCTACTCACACCTGCCTTCATTCATTCATTCATTCATTCATTCATTCTTCCTTTTGTTCATTCCTCCATTCATTCTTCCTTTTGTTCATGTATTTATTCACTTACCAAACTGTAATTGATACCTATGTACCAATCAGGGTGCTAGATATTAGTGACCAAGAAGTGAAAACACAAAATCTTTTTCTCGGGCTTCTAAAGCCTCATGATAGAAACAGACACATATTATCATACAATGTGATTATAATGGACATTGGTGAGTGCTTGCTACCTGCCAGGCCTTCAGTTGAACATTTCACATGATATAATTTTTTATTTTCTTCAACATTTATTTTAAGTTCCAGGGTACATGTGCAGGGTGTGAAGCTTTGTTACATAGGTAAATGTGTGCCACAGTGGTGTACTGCACAGATCAACCCATCACCTAGGTATTAAGCCCAGTGTTCATTGGCTATTCTTCCTGATATTCTCCCCGTCACCACCTCTGACCCCCCGACAGGCCCCAGTGTGTCATTCCCCCTATGTGTCCATGTGTTCTCATTGCTCAGCTCCCACTTATAAGTGAGAACGTGTGATGTCTGATTTTCTATTTCTGTGTTAGTTTGCTGAGGATAACAGCTTCCAGCTCCATCCACGTCCCTGCAAAGGACATGATCTCCTTCCTTTTTATGGCTGCATAGTATTTCATGGTATATATGTAACACATTTTCTTTACCCAGTCTATCATTGATTGGCATTTGGGTTGATTCCACGTCTTTGCTATTGGGAATAGTGCTGCATTTGTGAACTGCTATTGTGAACAAACATGTGCATGTACCTTTATAATAGAATGATTTATATTTCCTTGGTTGTATGCCCAGTAATGGGATTGCTGGGTCAAATGGTATTTCTGGCTGTAGATCTTTGAGGAATTGCCACACTGTCTTCCACAATGGTTGAACTAATGTACATTCCCACCAACAGTGTAAAAGTGTTCCTTTTTATCTGCAACCTTGCCAGCACCTGTTGTTTTTGACTTTTTAATAATCACCATTCTGACTGGCGTGAGATGGTATCTCATTGTGGTTTTGATTTGCATTTCTCTAATCAGTGATGTTGAGCTTGTTTTCATGTGTTTGTTGGTCACATGAATGTCTTCTTTTGAGAAGTGTCTGTTCACGTCCTTTGCCCAGTTTTTAATGGGGTTGTTTTTTTCTTGTAAATTTATTTAAGTTCCTTGTAGACTCTGGATATTAGACCTTTGTCAGATGGATGGATTGCAAAACATATAACTTAATCATAGAACACAGGCAAGTCCTGTCCACATCCACCTTCTCAGATGGAGAAACTGAGGCAGTAGAGATCATCATGCAGGATGTTATGGGAGCCCTTCCAAGGCAGAGTCTGATTTTCCTTTGGCGAATTCAGGAATGACTGAAAGTCATGGTCAGAAGATACTCTCCCCTCCTCTCAGTTTTGGGATGTCCATTGTCGTCGCCACATGGCTGGGTGGTTTGGGGGCAGTGAGTGGCTTCAGATAGAGTTGGACAGGAGACTGAGTTAATATCACAGAGTCCTCACATACCATGTCAAAGGGGCTTGAACAAATGGGTTGGGGTACCACACTGGCAAAACAAGGGTTTCCACTGTGATTATGGTGGCTGACTTGCAGTCAGTCTACTGCCCACCCTGTCCGTTTAGAATTACCCGGAGTTACATAGACTCTGTTACCTCCAAGCTTTGCCCCTGGCCCTGCTGCTGCTACAAGCACTCTTTCCATCTGCAGTGTTCTCTCGCCAACTCCTGCTCATGCCTTTTGTCTCTGCTCAGATGTCACTTATTTCAGGAAACTTTCTGACGGCTGATCCTGTTTGAGGAGCCTCCCCCATGCTCTCCTTTGTCCTACCACTTATGCTAATCACCTCACTGTGACACAGCAGGGCCTTGCAGCCAGGTCTCATCCATCAACTCCTCTGTTTCCTGGGCTTGCCACTCAGGCTGGCACAGAATGAGGCTCAGCCAAAGCTTGTTGAAAAGTTACCTGAGCTGGGCTGAACTATTCTGACCCTCATCCTCCACTTATCCAACAGTAAAACAGTATTTATTGTCAACTGCATTGCTGACACAGTGCTGGATGCTGCTTTCATGGTTATGACCCAAACAGAACAGTCCCTGCTCTTCCGGAGCATCAGTCCCGTGGGAGAACAAGCATAAAACCCAAACTCCCTTTTCCAAGTGGATCATTCAGTTTGAAATACATGCTATGATGTAAAGTGCAGGTGGCCATAGAAAGTGTAGCAAGAAGCCAGGCGCGGTGGCTCACGCCTGTAATCCCAGCACTTTGGGAGTCCGAGGCAGGCAGATCACGAGGTCAGGAGATCGAGACCATCCTGGCTAACACGGTGAAACCCCGTCTCTACTAAAAATACAAAAAATTAGCTGGGTGTGGTTGCAGGCACCTGTAGTCCCAGCTATTCGGGAGGCTGAGGCAGGCGAATGTCATGAACCTGGGAGGCGGAGATTGCAGTGAGCTGAGATCGCGCCACTGCACTCCAGCCTGGGCGACAGAGCGAGACTCCTTAACAAAAAAAAAAAAAAAAGAAAGAAAGAAAGTGTAGCAAGAGACTCCTAATTTAGACTGAGGGTTCGGAAAAGCGTCTTTGAGGACGTAACATTTAACAGGAGACCTGAAGGTTAATTAAGAAATAGCCAAGCGCAGGTGGGAGGAAAAAGGCCAAAGGAAGGGCAGTCGTGCAACCCCGAGGTGGGGACAGATTATTTCAGAAAATGAAGTGAGGCCACCATGGCTGCTGGAGAGGCGAGCTGGCGCCGGGTTACGATGGGCTGTGATTCTCTGTTGGGCATCTTTCATTGCACTGCATTGGCCACCTTGCCATTGAGAATTACAGGCAGCCCCACAGGACTGAACCCCAGAGTCATTCTTGACATGGTATCTTCTCCCTTGACACTTCTTATCTTTTGTAAATCCTCAGGCAATGATTTTGGCTCACATTCGTAAGATACCTCAAATCCTGCAGCTCTTCTCAGCATCTTCACTGCTGCCGTCCAGTCTAAGCCACTGTCCTCTCTCACCTGGATGCCTGTCACTGCCTCTCCCTAGCCTCCGTCTGCCTCCCTCCTCATCCCATTCTCATCAGCACAGCAGCCAGAGGTGCTGGAGGGAGTATAACTAAATGGCACAAGCCTCGAAGATCTGCATTGGGTGAAAGGGTCAGGCAGCAATGATCTGGAAGGGCCATGGAAAGAAAGGAGCTCCTAAACCCCCCTCCTGTCCAGTGGTGTTTCAGATAAGAGGAAACAACCAAACCAGTGCACTGCAGGGGGCTGCAGAGAGCCAGAGTCCTCAGGGAATGCAGGTTTTCTTTATCTCAGGCAGGGAGATGCAAGAATATTTGGAGACATTTTCTGATTATGAGGTGGGAGTTCCAGGGGACACAGTAGACACGTTTGGGAGGTGATGGAATGGTTGTGGACTTAGTCAAGGGCAAGGAAGAACGTGGGGTGCTTGTGTGGTAGAAGGTACCTGGCCAGGGCAGGGCCTTCCCCTTGGGCACTGGCGGTGAAAGCAGGGTATGATAAGCCAAAGTTCATCACATTCATTTTACCGTGTTGGCTGTGGCTCAGTGTAAGAGGTGAAGACAGTTCCTGCAGCTTCAGTTCAGCCATCCATGGCTGTCAACAGAGACCAGAGGTGGGACAGAGTTAGCTCTGGAGACTTTCAGAGTCCTGAGGCCCTTTTAAGATCCACCTGTGGTCTGGAGGTCAAGCTTTGTGCCTGAAAAGCTGAGATCAGAGTGTCTTTGCCTGGGTTTGGCTGTTCTTGACAGCTATAGTGTATAGCAGTGTCTGCATGTGTCTTCCTGCCTGCACGTCTCTAGAGCTGGGAAACCCAAGGCTTCATGAGAGCCAATTCCCCCATTGAACAGCTCTGTGGTCAGAAAGCTGTGCTTCAGTGGGGCAGCCACCTTCTACCTTCCAGCCCTTAGTTCTGGATTTTCCTTTGAGCTTTATCAGGACTCCAAGTCTTTCAAGCTCTAAGAGCCTCAGTTTCTTCAACTATTCGTCATGGGACAAGCTTTTAAAGAATAAATAAATAAATGAATGCGTATTTTAAGAATCAGTGTACTTCTATTGAAGCATGGAATGTAAGGAAGAAAATGTCACTGATATATCAATATACAGACCTCATTATACTCAGTTCTGAATTCACTATACCTAGCATACAGCTGGGGCCATGGGATTTGTGCATGCATGTTTGGATGCACACGTGTTTGGGTATGCATAGCTGTTTACACATATGTTTGTGGGCATACATGCTTGTGTGCTGACATGTCTATGGGGATGCATAGTTGTGTGCATATGTGTTTGTGGGCATGCATGCTTAATTAAACAAATGAGCAAGCAGGAATATCTGAACTCGGTTGTACAGCACTGAAGGCCTTGGACATTGGAGGGGGCCTGTGGCATCTTTCTTCTTCATGTCCCTTCTCCCAAGTGAAACTTGAATTATCCACCTCATTATGCCATACGTGAAGTTTCTACTGAGTGTCATAATCTCTTGCTCAATGGTCAACTCAGGTATCCTCCTCTCTCCCAGGGGTCTACATGGATATGTTCTAAGAACCATTTGAGTGCCAAAGGCCCTTTAAAATCACCTGAAGGGCTCTTGGTCGCAAGCACAGTTTAAAGCACCTTCCCTTTTCTCTGGTCTGAAAGGAGGCTGTGCCTTCTGCCTTTGCAGCTGCCTTTGCTGATTTTGAGGCCAAAGCAGCAATGAAACTTCCTGACTGCTGGGGAGATGAGGAGGTTCTGGGATGAGTCCTTAATTACTTTGTGTCATCAGAAGGGTCATTCCACCTCTCTGGTTCATTTTCTCTATCTGTCACTCATGCCTGGATTACTCCCTTGAGAGTGCTCTAGAATTGAATCATGGTTCTGTCTCACTCTAGCTGAAGGGTTGGTTTAATCTCTTTGAGCTCAGTCTGCCTGTATTTCCCTATATTATAAGAAAACCTATTTCATGGTGTTTTGTGGGGATAAAATGGGTGAAGAGATGTGGAGATCTTAGCAGAGTGCTTGACGCCTAGTAGGTGTTTCTAGCAGTAATTAATGACAGGGTTAAATGATTGGCAGAGTGCTTTTCGTATCTGCTGGCTTGAGAGCACCAAAACTTGGTCCAGGACTTAAGTGACTTTTACTCCCTGCACCTAAAATAGTATATAGAGTAGTGTGTAGTATAAACGTGTTAAAGGCTTATTAGTGAACTTCTGGGGAGATGAGGAGGTTGACTAAGCATTCCTTTCCTTTCATGGGGAGGTCAGTGTTCCCCCTGCTGAGAGGGTCCTTGTGTGCTGGATTAAGACATTTGTCTTTATGCTTTTGGGAAAGAAAAGGGTGATTGCAGGGGACAGGCATCTAATTATGTGTGAGGGCAATGGATTGGAGTTAGGAGAGGCTTACAGTAGAGAGACGATTCCAGGGGATTCTTGCAGTGGCCCAAGTCTTCATTCATTCATTCACTTTACCAAAAACCTTTTTAATTTTTTTCAATTTTGGTAAAATATGCATAATATAAAATAAATCATTTTAGCCATTTTAAATGTACAATTCTTTGGTCTTCATAAGTACATTCACATTGTTGTGGAACCATCACCATGATCCATCTCCAGAACTTTTAAAGCTTCCCCAGCTGAAACTCTGAACCCACTAAACACTAACTATTTTAACTAACCCAGTTCCTGCCTTTCTCCCTGCCCTGGCAACCACCATTCAACTTTGTATCTCTATGAATTTGATTATGCAAGGAACCTCATAGGAGAGGAATAATACAGTATTTGTTTATCCTTTTGTGACTGGCTTATTTTGCTTGGCAACAATGTCCTCAAGGTTAATTTATGTTGTAGCTGTGTCAGAATTTCCTTCCATTTTAAGGCTGAATACTGTTCCATTGTATGGGCATGCCGCACATTATCCAGTCATCTGGTGATGGACATTTGTGTTGCTTCTACCTTTTGGCTATTGCGAAGAATGCTGCAGTGAACATGAGTATGCAAAATCTGTGTGAGTCTCTTATTCTACTTCTTCTGGGTTTATACCCAGTCCTAAACAATTCTTGAGTACTTTGTTTCAGTTTCTCTCCTAGGTGCTGGGAACAGGGAGTACTAGACAGTGAGACAGTGTTCCTATACTAGGAAAGTGCTCCGTCTTGTGGGATGAACAAAAGCACATTCATGTAACACAGGGAGGTGGAGCTGGATTTGGAGAGCATGCGGGGGCTGAGAGTCCCAAGAGAAAGAAGGGCCATTTACCACTGCCAAGAAAGTGAACCTTGAACCAGCCCTTCAAGGATGAGTGGATGCACGAGGCACAGAGAGAGTTGAGGTACAGGGAGCCTCAGGGGCATGGGCTGACTCATCCAAGGATGTGGGAAGCATGCAGGAGGGAGGAGGGGATGGATGTGGGAGAGCTGGACCACGAGGAACCCTATGTGCCAGGCTGAGGAGCTGGGATGCTGGCCAGCAGGAGGGTTCTAAGAGCAGGTCGGCATCATAGCTAGTACTCAATGCCTAGGTCAGGAATGATGAACAGGACATGGGTGCTGGAGCCTGGCCCTCCTGGGTTAACTCCTAGCTGTGTGGCCAGGACCCATCATCCTCTCTCCGTCTATGTCAGCGTACTGTTTGTGGATGATAATAAGGATGACAGCATGGACATAAGGATGTGGGTAATGTGGATACTAATCATATCCATGTGAACAGGGCAGTCATGAGGATTTAGTGAGACACTTTAAGTAAAATGCTTCACACAGGCCTGGAGCATAGATGAGTGCTCCCTGATCGTTTCCTGTTCTATTTCTTTCTTTCTTTCTGTTTGTATCGTTCGTATTGTTCTGGTGTGGCATTATTATTTTAGAAGGCTCTCTCTAGCAGTGACAGTGGGGAACATGAATTATGATGGGGCTTTCAGAAATCCAGGGTGCAGAGATGTTCTGGATGTGAGTTTTGGACCTCGCTGCAGTTATTCCAGACTTTTCTGTGACCTGCTCTCCATAGACAGCTGAGTCGTGTGCTTCGGGAAGGACTGCAGTCCTGCCAGATGATGACAAAGGAGTTCTTGCAGCTCCCAACCCATCCCGGGATGATGAACCAGGCCTGGCGTCCAGGGATCACAAATTAGATATGAGGAATTCAGATGGAGGGGCTGTGCCCACTGCAGGCTGGACCGGATGGGGGTGGGGATAAAGCACAGCCCCCACGCTTCCACTCCCCCATCAGCTCTTCCTCTCCATCCTGATGAACAGGAAGCGACGGAACCCCTCTCTTTGGAGTCCAGCCCTGCAGAGGACACTCAGGTGGCCTAACAGAGGGGGCTGGGTTGGGGATGTGAGTGAGGGAGGCTTTCCTGTAACAAGAAGCAAGGAGGAATTGTGTTTAAATTGTTCTAGCACTTTAACTCTGTGATGCTGCAGCTCTCAGCTGATGGAATGCTCTAATTCTAATCACCATATGCACATATGCAAAAAAACTGTGACACATATGCAATCTGTGTCCCAGTTTTGTCAAAGGCCAGTGCAGTTTTCTAGCCTCCCCAATCCATTCTCCTTTTTTCTGATGTCACGAAAGCATGGTAGAAATGGCAGGTGTCACTTTTCCTGACTCTAATACATCCCTGGCATTCTGCCCAGCTTCAGGGAAGAAGAGAGGAGAATGGGTATGTGTGGGGGGTGGTGGGGGAGGAGTTCAGGGAAAATAGTTTACATTGGAGATTTTAAAATATATATATATATATATATATATATTTAGTTAGTTTTTTAAACAGGATGCAACTGACTTATCAAATCTGAGTAAATGCCACCTAACTAGCAAACATTTGTATGATTATTTAGGTTTTTTTTTAAATTATACTTTAAATTTTAGGGTACACGTGCACAACGTGCAGGTTAGTTACATATGTATACATGTGCCATGTTGGTGTACTGCACCCATTAACTCATCATTTAACATTAGGTGTATCTCCTAATGCTATCCCTGCCCCCTCCCCCACCCCATGACAGGCCCCGGTGTGTGATGTTCCCTTTCCTGTGTCCAAGTGTTCTCATTGTTCAATTCCTACCTATGAGTGAGAACATGCGGTGTTTGGTTTTTTGTCCTTGCGATAGTTTGCTGAGAATGATGGTTTCCAGCTTCATCCATGTCCCTACAAAGGACATGAACTCATCATTTTTTATGGCTGCATAGTATTCCATGGTGTATATGTGCCACATTTTCTTAATCCAGTCTACCATTGTTGGACATTTGGGTTGGTTCCAAGTCTTTGCTATTGTGAGTAGTGCCACAATAAACATAGATGTGCATGTGTCTTTATAGCAGCATGATTTATAATCCTTTGGGTATATACCCAGTAGTGGGATGGCTGAGTCAAATGGTATTTCTAGTTCTAGATCCCTGAGGAATCGCCACACTGACTTCCACAATGGTTGAACTAGTTTACAGTCCCACCAACAGTGTAAAAGTGTTCCTATTTCTCCACATCCTCTCCAGCACCTGTTGTTTCCTGACTTTTTAATGATCGCCATTCTAACTGGTGTGAGATGGTATCTCATTGTGGTTTTGATTTGCATTTCTCTGATGGCCAGTGATGATGAGCATTTTTTCATGTGTCTTTTGGCTGCATAAATGTCTTCTTTTGAGAAGTGTCTGTTTATATCCTTTGCCCACTTTTTGATGGGGTTGTTTGTTTTTTTCTTGTAAATTTGTTTGAGTTCATTGTAGATTCTGGGTATTAGCCCTTTGTCAGATGAGTAGATTGCAAAAATTTTCTCCCATTTTGTAGGTTGCCTGTTCACTCTGATGGTAGTTTCTTTTGCTGTGCAGAAGCTCTTTAGTTTAATTAGAACCCATTTGTCAATTTTGGCTTTTGTTGCCATTGCTTTTGGTGTTTTAGACATGAAGTCCTTGCCTATGCCTATGTCCTGAATGGTATTGCCTAGGTTTTCTTCTAGGGTTTTTATGGTTTCAGGTCTAACATTTAAGTCTTTAATACATCTTGAATTAATTTTTGTATAAGGTTTAAGGAAGGGATCCAGTTTCAGCTTTCTACATGTGGCTAGCCAGTTTTCCCAGCACCATTTATTAAATAGGGAATCCTTTCCCCATTTCTTGTATTTGTCAGTTTTGTCAAAGATCAGATGGTTGTAGATATGCGGCATTATTTCTGAGGGCTCTCTTCTGTTCCATTGGTCTATATCTCTGTTTTGGTACCAGTACCATGCTGTTTTGGTTACTGTAGCCTTGCAGTATAGTTTGAAGTCAGGTAGCATGATGCCTCCAGCTTTGTTCTTTTGGCTTAGGATTGATTTGGCAATGCGGGCTCTTTTTTGATTCCATATGAACTTTAAAGTAGTTTTTTCCAATTCTGTGAAGAAAGTCATTGGTAGCTTGATGGGGATGGCATTGAATCTATAAATTACCTTGGGCAGTTTGGCCATTTTCACAATATTGATTCTTCCTACCCATGAGCATGGAATGTTCTTCCATTTGTTTGTGTCTTCTTTTATTTCATTGAGCAGTGGTTTGTAGTTCTTCTTGAAGAGATCCTTCACATCCCTTGTAAGTTGGATTCCTGGGTATTTTATTCTCTTTGAAGCAATTGTGAATGGGAGTTCACTCATGATTTGGCCCTCTGTTTGTCTGCTATTGGTGTATAAGAATGCTTGTGATTTTTGTACATTGATTTTGTATCCTGAGACTTTGCTGAAGTTGACTATCAGCTTAAGGAGATTTTGGGCTGAGACAGTGGGGTTTTCTAGATATACAATGATGTCATCTGCAAACAGGGACAATTTGACTTCCTCTTTTCCTAATTGAATACCCTTTATTTCCTTCTCCTGCCTAATTGCCCTGGCCAGAACTTCCAACACTATGTTGAATAGGAGTGGTGAGAGAGGGCATCCCTGTCTTGTGCCAGTTTTCAAAGGGAATGCTTCCAGTTTTTGCCCATTCAGTATGATATTGTCTGTGGGTTTGTCATAGATAGCTCTTATTATTTTGAGATACGTCCCATCAATACCTAATTTATTGAGAGTTTTTAGCATGAAGGGTTGTTGAATTTTGTCAAAGGCCTTTTCTGCATCTGTTGAGATAATCATATGGTTTTTGTCTTTGGTTCTGTTTATATGCTGGATTACGTTTATTGATTTGCCTATGTTGAACCAGCCTTGCATCCCAGGGATGAAGCCCACTTGATCATGGTGGATAAGCTTTTTGATGTGCTGCTGGATTCGGTTTGCCAGTATTTTATTGAGGATTTTTGCATCGATGTTCATCAGGGATATTTGTCTAAAATTCTCTTTTTTTGTTGTGTCTCTGCCAGGCTTTGGTATCAGGATGATGCTGGCCTCATAAAATGAGTTAGGGAGGATTCCCTCTTTTTCTATTAATTGTAATAATTTCAGAAGGAATGGTAGCAGCTCCTCCTTGTACCTCTGGTGGAATTTGGCTGTGAATCCATCTGGTCCTGGACTTTTTTTGGTTGGTAAGCTATTAGTTATTGCCTCAATTTGAGAGCCTGTTTTTGGTCTATTCAGAGATTCAACTTCTTCCTGGTTTAGTCTTGGGAGGGTGTATGTGTCGAGGAATGTATCCATTTCTTCTAGATTTTCTAGTTTATTTGCGTAGAGGTGTTTATAGTATTCTCTGATGGTAGTTTTTATTTCTGTGGGATCAGTGGTGATATCCCCTTTGTTATTTTTTATTGCGTCTATTTGATTCTTCTTTCTTTTCTTCTTTATTAGTCTTGCTAGAGGTCTATCAATTTTGTTGGTCTTTTCAAAAAACCAGCTCCTGGATTCATTGATTTTTTGAAGGGCTTTTTATGTCTCTATTTCCTTCAGTTCTGCTCTGATCTTAGTTATTTCTTGCCTTCTGCTAGCTTTTGAATGTGTTTGCTCTTGCTTCTCTAGTTCTTTTAATTGTGATGTTAGGGTGTCAATTTTAGATCTTTCCTGCTTTCTCTTGTGGGCATTTAGTGCTATAAATTTCCCTCTACACACTGCTTTGAATGTGTCCCAGAGATTCTGGTATGTTGTGTCTTTGTTCTCGTGGGTTTCAAAGAACATCTTTATTTCTGCCTTCATTTCATTATGTACCCAGTAGTCATTCAGGAGCAGGTTGTTCAGTTTCCATGTAGTTGAGCGGTTTTGAGTGAGTTTCTTAATCCTGAGTTCTAGTTTGATTGCACTGTGGTCTGAGAGACAGTTTGTGATAATTTCTGTTCTTTCACATTTGCTGAGGAGTGCTTTACTTCCAACTATGTGGTCAATTTTGGAATAAGTGTGGTGTGGTGCTGAGAAGAGTGTATATTCTGTTGATTTGGGGTGGAGAGTTCTGTAGATGTCTATTAGGTCTGCTTGGTGCAGAGCTGAGCTCAATTCCTGGATATCCTTGTTAACTTTCTGTCTCGTTGAACTGTCTAATGTTGACAGTGGGGTGTTAAAGTCTCCCATTATTATTGTTTGGGAGCCTAAGTCTCTTTGTAGTCTCTAAGTACTTGCTTTATGAATCTGGGTGCTCCTGTATTGGGTGCATATATATTTAGGATAGTTAGATCTTCTTGTTGAATTGATCCCTTTACCATTATGTAATGGACTTCTTTGTCTCTTTTGATCTTTGTTGGTTTAAAGTCTGTTTTATCTGAGACTAGGATTGCAACCCCTGCCTTTTTTTGTTTTCCATTTTCTTTGTAGATAATTTGTATGACTATTTAGGGTTTTAAAATTACGTATGCCATATTGCACAACTCTTTTAATTTACACAAAGAAAATAATAAGATGATGAGGGTGCTGGGCGAGAAGAATGAGGAATCGTTTTAAGTACTGAGTGCAGCGGGTTCTTCCTCTCACCTCTGTGGGACTCTGAAAATCCCTCGAGTTCTCCGATGGGCATGGGATTCCCAAGAACAGACTCCTTTTCAGAATCCTGCCCTGTAGGTCATGTCTAGAGCTGGGCATGGCACTTTCTGATATCTGTATTACATTTGAGACATTTGTGCTGTTGAACAAAAAATCACAGTATACTCATTTAAACAAACTAGAAAATGCAGAATAAGAAAAAATGTATTCCTCAGAATCATTACCAAAGTTTTAGAAAATGTAGACTTTTCTTCTGCATGCATAAGGATTATAAATGCATTGATGTCAGCATTTTAAACAAAAATAAGATTCTGCTGGACACACTGAATCCTTTACCTTTTTCTGATTGCTTATGAACAATTGAGTAGTTCTGTTGTAAAGACACATGTATGCGTATGTTCACTGCAGCACTATTCGCAATAGCAAAGAGATGGAATCAACCTAAATGCCCATCAATGGTAGATTGGATAAAGAAAATGTGGTTCATATACACCGTAGAATACTATGCAGCCATAAAAAAGAACAAGATCATGTTCTTTGCAGGGACATGGATGGAGCTGGGGGCCATTATTCATACCAAACTAATGCAGGAATAGAAAACCAAATACCACATGTTCTCACTTATAAGTAGAAGTTAGATGATGAGAATATGTGGACACGTAGAGGGGAACACGATACACTGGGCCCTATGGGAAGGTAGAGGTTGGGAGTGGGAAGAATATCAGGAAAAATAACTAATGGGTACTGGGCTTAATACCATGGTGATGAAATAATCTGTGGGACAAATCCCCATGATACAAGTTTTCCTGTGTAACAAACCTGCACATGTAACCCTGAACTTAAAATAAAAGTTTTTAAAAAAGAAAACAAAGAAACAAAACAAGTGAATAAGTGAATATTTGCTAAGGGGGTTCTACAGCCACTTGCTGTAGGCCAAAGTCTGAGCGATGTGGGTATGTAGAAGTATTGCCAGAGCAAGCAATTCTAGCCCCACCCTTCTGTCGTGGGTCAATAAGAGAGAGATGGGGCCGGACATGGTGTCTCATGCCTGTAATCCCAGCACTTTGGGAGGCCAAGGAGGGTGGATCACCTGAGGTCAGGAGTTTGAGACCAGCCTGGCAAACATGGCAAAACCCCGTCTCTACTAAAAATACAGAAATTATCTGGGCATAGTGTTGTGTGCATGTAATCCCAGCTACTCGGGAGGCTGAGGCAGAAGAATCACTTGAACCTGGGAGGCAGATGTTGCAGTGATCCAAGATCATGCCACTGCACTCCAGCCTGGGAGACAGAGCGAGACTCCTCCGTTCCCCCCTCCCCTCAAATAAAAGAGACATGGAGGTCAGGATCAGGAGGTCAGTGGTTAGATTCTGGCCACTAAAATGGATCATGCACTCATTCCTCAAATAAGTAGGTTGAACAGTCTGCAGTTATCAGTCAAGCAACAGTTCTCGTAGCAAGGAGCTCACAGTCTGAATCAGGATCTTGGGTTAAGCAGATATTAATTGTTAATTAATATCTTATAAATCCTTTCTCAATTCATGTCTTGAGGGACTGCTGGATGTTAGGCACTGTGCTGGGATTTTGGACAGAAAGAAGGAGCATGATATGACTCTTGCTGTCAAAGTGCTCAGGTCTAGCTAAGGAAAACCTGCCTGGAAATCAAGCAGTGGTGATGTGGTATTATCTTTAGAAAACAGTGGGGAGCCCCCGGCCCTTAGACAACAGAGGATGGGCAATGCCTATTCTGCTGGACGTCAGGGAAGGCTTCCCATGAGGTCAGGGAGGGAGCCTTTTAGGGGAGTGGCATGTGCAAAGATGTGGAAATGTGGAAGGGCATGATGCATTTGCACACCAGCAACACAGCATACCTGGTACAAAGGCAGATGCCTAGGGAGTAGGAAGCAAGTGACCAAGATGCTATCAGAAAATAGGATGAAAGACCCAACCTCAGAGACAGAGCCTAGTAAAAGGCAGATGCCACTGTGTTGAGCAAACAGGGTCCGAGGTTTAGTTGTCCCAGGGCAAGTGTTGCAGGGCTCTGTGGAGATGATCTTTGTTGCATGAATTGGTTTTGAGGCTAATCCCTACACAGCACAGAAGGTTCCTGACTGGATGTTCCTTTATCTCTTCACAAGTCACTAAGCCAGAATCTCCTTTGATTTAATAACATTCTAAATGTGATTTTTTTCCCAAATATTTTAAGGTTGGTTGGAGGACTGTTAATCTAAAATACAAGCGTGTGTGTGTGTGTGTGTGTGTGTGCGCTTTCCAAATCCCAGCTGTGTAGTCCTCTGTTAGGATTGTTAGGGGAGGACAGCACCCTGGTCAGCACTCTCTCAGCACAAAACACCCAACCCTGCTTTATGTGAGGTCATCTCACTTCCACCAACTCCCTGAAGAAGCACCACACAGATGTTGAGAAAGCGCCGCCAGCTGTTTCGTTTGGGTGTAACTCAACAACTTTCATTTCTTCTCTGGTGCGTTAGGACTCATGTCAAAATGGTTTAGAGTTGCGTAGGCCCCTAAATCCTGCCCGGGTTTCCTGCACTCCGTGTTCACTCTTCTCCTTCCCCCTAAATGCACCACACGCCCCTGCTTTTCACCGGGTTTCTCCTCACCTGTCACAGTGGGGAGCCTCATCATCCACCCGTTTGCTTGAATGGAGGTGAGATGGAGGGGTAGTGAGGAAGAGTGTGATCTTTGCAACCAGGTCTAGGTCCAAATCCCAGGTCTACTAAATCCACACGTGACTTTGTTTTACCTTGAATTTCAGGTTCATCTTCTGAAAATTGGGATATGGCATCTTAATTGTATGACTGGGAGGGCTGAATGATATAATTTATGTGCAGTGTCCATTAAAGTAATTGCAGTATTGTAGCAAACGCAAATATTTTTTCCTCCCCAAGAGAAAGCCCTCGGTGATCTCCTAAGAGTGGCAACATCTTTCTAAAACTGGAAGCAGAGATCATCATGGGCCATGGAAATTGGCTCATGAAGAAGCGGGTGTCCACATAGCCTTACCTGGTCCTGATGCAATGCAAGCATGACCTTTCCTTGAAGACCAAAGGAACTACTCTTGGACTGAAGATGAAGTATCCTCTGGTCTCCAGGGGATGTACTATCCTAAGCCTTGGACTCAGAGCCAGATGATCCAGGTGTAAACCCAAACCAAACAAGAATGTAAACCAAATAAGAATGTAGCACTGGGTTTCATAACATAAGTAGTTCAGTCTTTTCATTTGGGGAATTTACTCAGAGAGTCCTGGAGACATTAACTGACTTGCCTAAGGTCACATGTGGATTGGTGTTAGGGGTGGTTCTGGGACCTTTTGACCATATCACCTGGGGGCTCTCCATTCGCAGAAGAGCAGCCCATCATGGACACAACAGGGCCAGATGCTCAGGCCCATCTAAGAGTTCTCACAGAATCCTTTTCCAAATCCTAGATAAATGTATTTGGATTATTTTACTCCAACTTTATTTAGCCTGTTATAAAAGAAGTAGAAACTAAACTAACCAAACAAGCAAAATGCAGGCTTTGGGGATGCTACTGTTCACCCCAGAGAAAAGACTTTATTTCAGTCCTCCACTAATTAGTCATCAGGTGAGGTTGCTAAGAGTTGACTGTGTTGTGCTTATCTTTGGAAGACCTTTCTGTAGTGTAGGGTTTTGTGGCTCAAAGAGTCTGACAGACCTTAGTTTTAAACCCAGCCTCACCACTGTTTTACTGTACGGCTTGGAGAAGTCAGTCAACTTCTCTGGACCTCTTTCCTCATCTATAATCTGGGATAATGACTATTTTCAGACCTGTTTTTAAAAAGGAATTAATCTATTTTCTGTCATCCTAAAAATAGAAGAGCCATTATATTCCTTGAAGCCTTGTATCATAAAAGAAACTATTTGGGGTTTACACATTATTGATAAAAATGCTGCGAAGACCTTTGATTAGCAACTTGAATGCCTGAGTCAGATGACGAAATACACACCCAAATATATTTCTTTTCCAAATAATGTGTCTGTGATTGGAGCCATTCATTAGTCAGTACTTCATGTTTTTGGAACTTTGCATTAAGTTGGAAATTGTTTCCTAGCACCTACCATATGTGGCATGCCAGGGAGGCAGGACTAAAAATAATGCATTTTTGGGAGGCCAAGGCAGGTGGATCACCTGAAGTCGGGAGTTCAAGATCAGCCTGACCAACATGGAGAAACCCCATCTCTACTAAAAATACAAAATTAGCTGGGTGCGGTGGTGCATGCCTGTAATCCCAGCTACTCGGGAGGCTGAGGCAGGAGAATCGCTTGAACCCTGGAGGCGGAGATTGAAGTGAGCTGAGATCATGCCACTGTACTCCAGCCTGGGCAACAAGAGTGAAACTCCATCTCAAAAAAAAAAAAAATGTACATTTATATGAGAGTGGCCGACAGCTTATTCTGGAGATCATTGATTGCCTGAAATGTGGGACCTTCCAAAATATAGTCCTGCTCAGAAAAAGTGCAGAGGGGAGGTAATGAGAGCACAGGGTTGTAAGAGTGGTTGGAGCTGCCTTGGATCCTGCTTGGCTAATTATCAGTATCACAGCTTAGGGAAAAGCCACTTAACCTCTGTGAGTTGACTTCCTTCATTAATAATCTGAGGATGAGCATGCTTAGGGGGTTTGCTGAAGTCTAGAGATAAGGTGTCCTCCTGGACTCGGCGGCAGCACAGGGCAGTGATTCCATGCTTGGTAGCCAGCAGTTGTACTATTTTTATTTGAAAAGGGCAGTGCCTTTGAGCAAGAAAAGTTTCAGCAAGATTGTTATCCTGAGATGAGTATTCTTTGTGGGCCTGCCATGTGCCTGTGGATTCAGAGGTGTCTGGACTTTTCTAGGCTCTGTTCTTGCAGAACTTGGGTGTTTGCTTTTCCCGGTACTCAAAGACAAAGAAAGCCCAGGGAAATGGTGGCTTTCTGTCCACCAGAGACTGACATTGCCCTGAACCACATAAAGCAGCAGCCACAACTTTGAACTCACGACACTTTGATTACAGGTTAAGGAAGACATATAAGAAAAGGCAATTGATAGTAAAAATAAGCAGCCAGTGCTTTACTTCAGAAATAAGAGCAGCCGCCTGGGCATTATCGTCAGGAAAAGGTATGAGTGAGGAGTGAGTTGGGGTGGGAAGGGGAGACTGGAGAGACTGGGCAAGAACAAGCCCATCAGACAGCTTGCCACTAACTAGCTGGTTGAGAGCATGCCCAGATGCAAGCCAGCATTCTTATGTTCTGTTCAACATAACTTTATCAAGCAGTCTCTGCATTCTTTTCTTAAACATTGGGACTCTCTCCCTTCTCCCTTCTATTCAATTCGTTAATATTTATATAGTGACATCTATCAAACTTCCTGACCCAGATCTTCTTACATGGAACCCAGGGCTTTTTCTGGAGCTATAATAATGTTTGAATTAATATTAACAACTATAACCAAAGTTGCAGTAGCTTACCAGATGTGGGACTGAGTTCTCCCACCTACTGCTTCGTGAACCCTCACAACAAAGCTGTGAGGTGAGTTTACAGCTTCCCCATGTCTGTCTAACCGCAGAATCCTCACTCTACCTGCTCCTCACTTCAGCCAGTGAGGAGTTCTGCAAAGACAATTTGCTGCATGTGTGATCTTTTGGTTAAAACACACTCCCCCATTGTAATTACAGAATACATCTCCTAGTCAAATGGAGCCAAGGGAACTTTTTTGTTGTTGTTCTGCCTGAACAGTTTTGCAGAAATAAAGATTTGATTGATGAGGAAATGGAAATTCCTACACACATAATGAAATCCCTTGAAATCTCCAGAATGACTTCAGACACCTGGGAGTTTTCATATCAAAAAGCAATTAAGAGACACAGGGAGCCAAGAGAGGGAATCATGATTCAGGGTTATGATGGTTTATTCTCAAAAGAGACACATGCTGGTGGAAGGAGCTGGAAATTGGTCAGAGATCTTTTCTGTGACAAAACAGTTGGTGAGTGTGTTTGTTCCTCTATCGTCTCTCTCTCTCCATTTCTCTCTACCTGTCTTTCCATCTGCCCATCCATCCATCTGTATCTCCTATTTACCTACCCAACATCTACTTATCTCTGTCCCTCACTGTCTGCTTTTCAATCGATCACCTATGTGGCTGTTTGTTTATGGAGTTTTCGGTGGCCTACTTTACCTGTCATTGTAGCCCATGCATAAACCGTTACTTGTACTATATTATTTGTGGGTGTTTTGTTTGTTTCCAAAGGAAACAGAGGAGAACATGACATCATCCAAAAGGATAAGTTAGGCATCATGCATTTTCTGAGTACATACAGTATATACATGCACCTTGCATCAAATAGTCTCATAACTATTGAAGACTTTCTCTGGGCTGTGGCAAACTTTTGTATGTCTCCCTCACTCAACCTTATGAATTGGATCTTTGATCATCTGCATGTTACAGAGGAGGGAATAGTAGCTCACAGAAGTTAAGTAACTTTCCTAAGCTGGGAGGTGATGACTCAAACCTAGCTCTGTTTGATTTCACAGTTGATTCCCTTAACCACTACACTTATATCCTCTGGTGAAAGGTAGCTCGGTCCATCTATTTTTATAGTAACACTTATTAGAGTAAATGGTTGGGAAGGAAATGTCTGTTTGCACTTCCTTGTTACCCATCCCATACTCTGGCCAAGGTCAACTCCCCAGGGTTCCTACAATGCTCTCTAGGACTTGCCCTCCCGCATTTCCCCAAGCTGTTCCTCCACCTTAGCCATTTATGCCTAGTGTTCCATTATTGGAAAGCTAAGCATGTGGGAGTTATTTATGTCCTGCTGCTCAAGGTCATCGCCAAGGTCTGATCACAAAATTTCAAAAAATTGCAACCTCAGGCATAAATAGGTTAAATGCTGTCCCGGCTTCCCCAGCCTGGTCAAGACCTACCTGTTCTTAGGAGTGAGCCAAAATGACATGTAAGCTTCATCAGCATTCATTTAGAGTTGTAAAATGGGTGAAACCTGAATAAGTCAGGTGAGCTCATGTGTAGAGATATGCAACATGCACAAAATTTCTTTACAGGGCATCTCTGTCTACCAGCATCTCAATCATCTCTGGGTCATGGCCTACATTCTAAAACTGAAGAAGTATGCTGGGGTTCTCCAAGGAATATAAAAACACTGAATGCAGTTTTAGGCTTGTTCCCCGAGACAAGAATGATAATAAGGCCCTGATGAAAATTACTGACATCAAAGATAGCAATTTTTGCTCCAGCCATTTTGCTGTTTTTATTGGCTTTGTACTCTTGGCTATTTCTTGCAATATGAAGTCTCTCTCATATGTTCTACTACCTTGTAGGGACTTTTAGTTTTAAATTTGCTTCTTCCTTAAATCAACTCCTGTCTTCTACTAAAGGCAATCTGTTCCCACTCTGAGCTAACCTCACTCTTTTTCTTACCCCCTTGGAAGTCCTGAGGGGTTTCCTATGATTACGATTATAATTTGTGAAATTGGTTTTGTTCTCTGTTAGACTGTAAGCTCCTCCAAGTCAGGGACTAGTCCATCATTCCTTCTTGTGTTCTCAGCCACTGTTTTGGTGCCTTGTCCTCAGCAATGTTCAATTTACAGTTGAGCATAGCTGAGCAGCAAGAATTTGAATGATGTGGACACAAAGCTTGCAATGGCTTTTTCCATCACGATTACTGGCATGACTTGTGAATGTTTGCACTCTTCATGCTATTATGGGTCATTTTATGTACCCAAGTGACATTTCAGTGGGTAGCCATTATGTATGACTTGACAAATTTTGAGAATATTTTTGTCTTTGGAGTTTCATAACCATGACCTTGCATCCCAGTTTTTCTTGTAAGCTACAGTCTATGAGCAAGATAATTTTTGTTCCGAACTTCAGGTTCCTCATAGGAATATTGGAGGAGGAATATTGAAAGAATCTTTTTTGAATATTGTCCAGATAGAATGTGACAATGAATGTAAATCACCAACAGTCTTGCCTGACACACGGTTGACTTGCAAGAACTGGTGGCTTCCTTTGTTTTCACTCTGATATTCTGCTTATTATTGATATTTACAGAGTACCTGAAAGGAACAATAAGGTAACAGGAACAATCAGGTAACAGCCTACTTGTAGAAAGTATTTTCTTATCACTTCATATTAATATATATCCTAGAATTAAATTGTGTTCAATTATATGGGTATAATGAATTGGATGATGGGCCAACATTAGCAGTCATGAGATCTAGCACAGACTTTGCAAATCTTTGGAAGACTTCTTCCCCTTTTCTGTGTCTACTTTCCATTAGCAACATATGAATGTCATAATTATAATAATAATTAAATTACAGTTTTAGAAGGACTTGGTGCTTACTGTGTCTCCTACACTGTACCAGGTGTTGTACGTGTCTTATCTCATTTCTTCCCCATAAAAAATGTTAACATGAGAAACCAAATGCTCAGAGAGGTAAAATGAATTGTTTGGAGTCATGCACCATTAGTAAACTGCAAATCCAGCATTTAAAACCTGGTCTTTCTGAGCACCTGGATTCTATCATATGTTTTCACTTCATGCCTTTGATCCTTCTGCATGAAAGACTTGTGAGTTGTTTTGCTTTTCAACTCTTCTCCCACCTTCTGACTGCTTGGAACTGGTTGCAGGTTCTGGTTTTGCCAATCAGAAAAATTCTCTCTGCAGAAACTCCTGTCACAGTGTGATATTGCACGACAAATTTTCTGGTCTGAGGTTTTAAATTACTCGTGACATTTCAAGCTGTGCAAGTCGCTTGAAGGCCTGCTTTAACCAAGCTCATTTAATCAACCCATACAAATGCAAAGAAAATCAAATGCTCCCTTGAATCCAAAGGGAAGAGGACTGACACCTGTTGTGCATCCACTGTATCTGACATCTTGTAATGATGTTTCATATTGGCTCTCTAGAAGGAACTTTCGTTTTACCTGCAAATGGTACCTCCCTGGATGACAGACCAGCAGCAGCAACTTCTTTGAGCACAACATTGACACATGGCCACTCATGCAAACTAGAACCCCATCTGGGCTGACTCATTAGATAGGAACAACAGGTCCATCAGCCCATATGAATAAAAGCAGCAAAGGGAGATGCAGGGATGGGGAAGCACTTTTCAGTTTCCCAGCAGCTCAGCAATCTCATATTTTTTTTATATACAGTCACTCCAACTAAGCTACTTGTGTTGCTGGTCTGAGTTCCTTAAGGGGTCTCCTTCTAGGAGTACAGACATTTGCTGATGAATGTATTTAGGGTAGATATGCAAAGATAACCATAGCAGTAATAATACCCACCATTCGTTAAAGCTCAGTTTTGCTATACACACATTGATTTTGATTTCTATATCAACTCCAGAAGATAACTGAAATCTTCATTTGCAAATGAGAAAACTGAAGCTCAGAGAGTTAGTTTGCTTTAAGTTGACACAAAAAGCACCATTAGGGTTGTTGCCAATGCTGTTCACTTGCTTTGTTTTGTTTTAATATGAACGAGAAGAGGAGGCAATGGGAGAAGTTATAGCCATTCTGTTCAGACTTCCAAGTTTATGTACAAAAGGCATACATTTTATAGAGGTCATTCTTCCCTGCAGCTTGTAAGAGCTTAATTAGCTAGCTTTATTCAATGAGGATTCTTTGAGCAATATATATATATTTCCTGAAGGCTCAACAGTTTGAGTCCAACCCAACAGTAATTTTCTTGAAATCTTTCCAGATCGCCCATTTACTTCCTCTGTTTGGGTTTCAGATTTCCTTTGGTTAACAGAATGGAGCGGTGGTGGTGATGGAAGGAGGTGGAGCAGTGGTGCTGATAGATGTGTAAAAACTGGCTCTTCAAAACAAAGATTTATGATGTTTGTCCATTTGCATGCTATAAATACTCCCACCAAGGCCAATTTCAAGATACCAATGTGAAGTTAAAGCACCTGAAGGCGTGCACAATCAGCATGCAGCAACTATTTTTGGGCTTCTGCGGAGGCTCCATTTAAACACAATTTGATTGGACAAATGTTTATTAAGTGCCTACAACTCAGTGTTTTCATTTATAGCTTTGATATTTGTTATGTAACTTAAATTTTCTGATTTTTTTTTAATCTAAGGGGGTTAATGATTTCTAGGGAATCCTCTAGCCCTCAGAGGAGACACAGTGTCTAAAATGAGAAAGAAAGAAGAATATGGGCTTTGAAATCAGACTGTGTTGTTTGAATCCTGACTCTACTACTTATCCTGGGAAAGTTCATTTTTCCTTGAATTTTCTTTTATGTAAAATGATTGAACAGTACTTAATGCAAAGAGAATTTGTATGCATTAGCTAAGCAGTTACATGTAAGTTGCTTTTCAGCTTCCTGTAGATAAAACCAGGACTTTTAATTAATTCTTCCCCCGGTCAGGATAGGGTGTATTGTATAGTCGTTACGAGCACACACTCACAAATCAGATTTCTTGGGCTTGAGTCTCAGGCTCTCCAATTTACAAGTTGCAGAAACTTGGAAAAATAGTTTACCTTCTCTCAATCTTACCTTGTTTTTCTGAAAGGATATTAATATTTGTTTCCACCATACAGGGATGGTTTTGATGATTACATGAGATGATCTAGGAGCGGTGAGCATAGTGGTTGGAACACTGTCAGGTATCAAAGTAATAGGTGCTGATTATTCTTTCCATTCTGAGTTTCTGTGGTTTTGGTAATTGAGGGAAATCACTGGTTTGATATTTTTAAACATTTCCTGTGGCAAGAAGAAATAATTTTGTTTGGACTTTTAAGATTCTGCAAAAATGGCAAATGGCTTTACCCTTTGTCATTACTACTTTTTAGAGGTGAGTGGTCTGGCTGGAAATGTTTACTTTCTTTTAAGGAATTCCTCAATTATTTAAAAGAAATTGAAGAATAAATGCTATCTAATACTACGTAGATCTCTTACCTGACTTAGGAGTCATGTGACTGCAGGAGTTTGAAAAACCTTACTTCCTTAGCTGTATATGGGAATGACAATGTACAATTCATAGAATTTTCATCAGAATTAAATGTGATCTCTCGTAATGTGGATGCCACATAGTGCTAGACACAAAGGATTGAAAAATGGCAGAAAATGCAACTAGTTTATAGTTGGCTGGGACACGGGGATTTGCAGTTTCCGCTTTTGACCACTTACTACCCTCAAGTTTCCTGGACAGATATGTGCACAGAGAATTAAGAAAGAAGTGCTTTCCTGTCACCTGTGGCTTTGGCCCCAAGCCCTGTTGGAGAATACCAAGGAGTTAGGTTCAGCCACATGAAGACAGCCTTTGTTTTCCATTAAGGAACCTTCAATTATGGTATATAAAAAATATCTGCTTTACTTCTACACAAAAGTCCAACCTAGATTCTTACCTTTTAATGGCTCTTATGCAAGGCAAAGCTGAGTTTTCCATTTTCAGAAAAAAAAGGCAGTGAGAGAAGTCAGACTGTCTGTGTCAACTCTTCTGAATTTTCACCTACACAAAGTATGGCCCAGGAGGGTCCTGCAATCAGATCCCACAGTAAGAAGTGTATTTGGCTTCAAATAATCAAGCATATAACTTACCCTGTGCTTAACTAGCACAAGATACCACAAGAAACACAGAAGTAGACAGCACAACCATGTCACCAGGGACAGTAAGGACTCAGACTTCTCCTTCTGCTCTTCCATCCTTAGCAAATGGCTTTTTAATACTCATGGCTGGAGAAAGCCTGCTTTAACAACCACAATTATATTTTTGGATATATTCACAAATTGAGAGATGAGACAAACAGCCCAAGGGTCATTTCCTGTCTGCTTTACCTGCCAATGTGCACTTTTATTTCATTAGCCAAGAGGGGGTCATGAGGTTTCTCCTAGCTGCAAGGGAGTCAGCAAAGGGTGGGTATTTTTAGGTAGGTATAGTAATTCCCCTGAGAAAACCTGGCTTTGCTTTGTAAGGAAAGAGAAGTTTAGGGATAGTGAGCAGGAAATTCAGCATGAGCCACATAGAACCTTCTGGGTCAATAAGGAGAATGCGGGTAGAGAAATGCAGAGGATCATCACAGTAAACATTGGTGGAATCTGAATGAATTATTATATTGTGATTATATCAAAGTATCCAGACAAGTTCTGCTGAAATATTGGAGTGGACTTTCCTTGGAAAAGTATGTCAGTAATTGCCATTGAGGCCAATAAAATGCAACAGAATGGTTCATAGTCCTACAGTGGTGGGCGCATACTGTCAACCTATGAGTGCATACTGTGTAGTAAAAATATATTAGTCATTTCATAGGTTTTTTGTTTCTTATCTTTTGGAACACCAAGGCCTCTTTTATTGGCAGGACTTTGCAGGCCTTCCTGCTAGGGCGGAGTTTCACCTCCGCATCACAGTGTCTTCCCTTGTCAGGTGGGGGCTAGCTATGTGAGGCTGGGATTCCAGATGGTGCCAGGTGTCCTGCTGGCAAAGAGACTGGGAAGAGCAGTGTGACAGCTCATTAGGTGAGGTCTAGGCAAATGGCAGTTCTTCATAAAGATGGAGGTAGGGCAGGTTATGTTTATCATACCTGGCCATATAAGAAAATATTTCACCTCTCTAGTTATTTATAAATCCTCGTGCAATTTCCCCATAGCTGACTATCATTAGATTATGGGGCATTAGCTTTTTTAAAGGAGAGAAAGCCACTGATTGCATTATTGCTGATTCTGTCATGGTGTCCCACTCTTAGGACAAGACCGAGGACAGGACTGCCAGTATTTAATCGGGCTTTTCAGAACTCACTGGAAAAACCTACAGTATCAAGCAATCTGGAGTTACTTTTGACTCTAAATTGACTCAGCCTTTTGGGGAACAATATAGCACAGGAGAGGGTCTCCTCCCCTAGCCAGACCAGAGGAAGCTTAGCTCATATCCTGATCCTCTGCCAACTTGCCCTTAAGTAGGCACCACACTTGTCAGGTGTGGGGCAGAGGAGCTGTTTTGAGTCTCCACTAACACTGCTTATAGAAATGTGTACATGCTTTATGGGAAGCTGTGATCATGGCTACCATTTACAGAGTCCCTGCCATATGCAATGTTTTCACTATCATTTAAAAATAAAGTTCCCCTGCACATTCATATCACAGTGTATACTTTAAACATAAGGGAACTGAGCCTCTGCAAGTTTTGAATCCTTGGGAATTTGAGTCTATGTCTGCCTGTCTCCATTGTTCCTTCCGTGGTTCCCTCCTGAAGCTCATGTAGACAAGACCGGTTTTGAGAGAGTCATGCTCACACTTTCCAGTGACCTTTGCTGGCAGTCACAGCATGTGCAGCTCTCTTGTAATTCCTGAGGTGCAAGCAAGGACACTTCACTCCTCTTCACAGGGACCTCGACACTTGGGTGAACAGACAGAAAGAGGGGAGTCATTCCATTATCATGTGACAAGTGTGATGCTGGGTGCCCAAGGTGCCTTCATAAAGCCATCTTCATCATCATTGTTTTTATTATACCTATTATTAAAAGCACTCATTTAGACTCAATACTTGCCAGGCATTATAAGCACTTTGCATATTACAAATCATTTAATCCTTATAATGGCACTATGAGGAAAATTACTGTCATTACTATCCCCATTTATACCTGAGGACCTTGAGCACAGGGACACTGTGACAGTGATTTATTCAAGGTCACACAGTCAGAGGCAGGCAGATTTTCAGAGCTTACCCTCTTAATCAAAATGCTATATTGCTTCACAAGTCTCAAAGATAATTTTCGCCCAGACGTGTGGGCACACCCATATCATAGCCTACCATTTACATCTTGAGTGTGCTGTTTGGTATAATCATATACTGTATCCCGCAGGCATCCCTGAAACGTGTCCCACCAAAAGCATCATGCCTTCTCCCAGCTTCATCCCAGCTGTGATGCCAGAGGATAGACTGGGATCATGGAAGTGGGAGGCTGTGTCTCACACATGTCTTAGGGAATAGCAATGAAGACATTATATCTTTAATGAAATATGGGGTTGAGCATCATGCCATGCCCATGCTTGCCATGGATGCTCCTGTTCCTGCCTCACAATAATTCTGCAAGGCTGGTACCAGTATGGCTTTCCTCGCCCATGAGGAAAGAGAGGCTCAGGGAGGGAAAGTTACTAGCGTTAAGTTTTCCAACCTTGCTTTGCGGACCTGGGTGTTCAGACTCCAGAGTGTCTGTGTTTGACTTTTCATAATAATGATTTGTATTTTAGGTCATGTCAGATGTCCCTGAGTCAGAGCGGTTGTTTCATGCTATACTGCTATGAAAAATGATTTTGACAAAATGTCACAGATTTCTGTATTCCCATTATAGAATATTACTCCTCATTTTACAAAAGTTGCATGTGGATTCTTTATCACTCACAGAATTGTATAGTAGGATTGAATTGTAGAACACCATTGTTTGGGGAAATCTTTATTTTTAGAATTTTCACTTATTCATTCCTTCACCTGGCATTTATTGAATGCCAACCACATCAGTCCTCTTTTAGTTTCTGGGGATACAGAGATGAATGGTGCATGGCTTGTCTCCTTCAGTGGCTGGTGGTAATGGATATTTCTCTAATCAACTGAGAACAGATGTTCATTAGTTGCTTTTCTCTCTCTGGCACAGCTGTGAGACCTCTAAGGAATACAAAAGAAGTAAATAGTAGCATTCTTGTTCTCAAGGTGCTTTTGAGAAAACAATGAAATACATGAAACGAGAGACGATATTAGAAAATTAGTGATCAGAGCGAGAATCCAGCTGGGCCCCTGTGATAAGAGTGATGAGGAAATTGAGGTGGGCTTATAACGTTAAAGCACCTGGCTTTGCCTTCCCTAAAATAAGCTTGGTGCTAGCCAAATGGCCCTGCATTTTAATCCCTAAACTATCCATTGACTAGCTATGTGACTGTGGGCAAATTACCTAACTTCTCTGAGTCACAATTTGTGTGTTGTTAACGTGAGGATATTTATTCCCATCTGTTGGTTTTGTCATGAGGAGGAAATTTGAAAGCCTGTATTCATTAGTTTACAATTACTGCTATAATATATTGCCATAACCTAAGTGGCTTAAAACAACATAACATTATTATCTTAGAATTCTGCAGGTTAGAATTCTGAAATGTGGGCTAAAGTCAGTATTCCTGCTGGATTGTATTACTGCGTGGAGGCGCTAGAGGAGTCTCCATGCAGTAGAAGAGTCTGTTTCTTTATCTTTTCCAGTTTATAGAGGCTGCCTGCATCCCTTGGCTGGTGATCAGCAATGGCTGGTCACGTCTTTCTCACATTGCACTACTCTGTCCCTCTCTCTCTGTCTCTTGCCTCCTTCTTTCTCTTATAAGGAAAAGACTCTTGTGATTGCATTGAGTATACCCATGAAGTTTAGAATAATCTCCAAATTTCAAGGCCAGCTGATTAACAGCTTTAATTTCATCTGCAACCTTAATTCTGTTTTGCCCAACATATTTACAGGTTCTGAACATTAGGAGGTGTATGTCAGGGGTTGGGGGGTATTATTATGCCTACCAAATTATGTAAAGGGCATAGTTTAGTGCCAGTCATACAGAGGGAAATCAATAAAGGATGACTATTTTTGTTACTATATCCCAGAAGGAGTTCTGTGCAAATCTAGGCTACTGAAACACAACAGCATACTGCCTGAAGTTTTCCACATCCTAGCTTCTTTCCCCATTCTGATGAAACCAATGGCCCATCTTATTTTGCCATTTGATAATTCTCCAACAATTTAAGCAAACTGCTCCTTTCTTTATGATAACTTACTTGACCCCAGGTAGTAGGAGATGGCTCTAAGATGGTTAAAAGATACTTGGAGGCCGGGCCAGTGGCTCTCGCCTGTAATCCTAGCACTTTGGGAGGCCAAGGCAGGGAGATCACCTGAGGTCAGGAGTTCAAGACCAGTCTGGCCAACATGGTGAAACCCCGTCTCTACTAAAAATACAAAAATTAGCTGAGTGTGGTAGCCTGCTCCTGTAATCCCAGCTAGTTGGGAGGCTGAGGCAGGAGAATTGCTTGAACCTGGGAGGCAGAGGTTGCAGTGAGCCAAGATTGCGCCACTGCACTCCAGCCTGGGTGACAGAGCAAGACTCTGTCTCAAAACAAACAAACAAACAACAACAACAAAAAAAAAAAACTTGTAGATTTACTTACTGAGTCTGTGAACTTGCACAAATCTTTATCACTAAATGTTAATTTTCCCATCTTTAAGACAGAAATCATAGTAAGTACATTAAAGACATCCTATGGGGATCAAACAGTATCTTGCACATCATATATGAATATGTGGTTTGTGGATTTATGACTTGGTAGAAATTTCCCATGAGATAAAAGGAAATTACTAAAGCAGTTTTAGCATTCTGTTTAATCAGGACAGAACCTGAATGGGTCAACCTAATTGAAATGTAAACTTTCACCCTATTCCTATAAAGTATCTGAAGTTCAATATAATTAAGTTCTTGAAGTAAGATTCAGTAGCATCAAGGGCTTTTAAGAAACAATTCAAAAGCACTTTGGAATCAGCCATAAAAGAGACGTAGCTATACAACAAAATGTGCTTCCTATGAGGGGTATCAGGGAAAAGGAAACACCCATCTCTGGAGTTAGAATCCTGGTTGCCCTTTGCCAACTCTGTGGCTTCGGATAACTGGTTAGATCTTTCCAATGGCTCAATGCCTTCCTTCATTTACCCTTGAGCTGCTACTTGCTTTCACATAGGATTTGTGGGGGATCAACCAAGATTGCATATATGGAAGTTGCTAGTACAGGTCCTGCCACATAAATGCTTAATAAATCTTGAGCATAGCTGTAACCACTTCAAGTGCAGTGGGATGGGAGAGGGATGCATAGCCCCTGGCAATGACTGACTCATTGTATTAATATGTTCAGAGAAGGCACCCTTACAATGTGACAGTTGGTGGCGGTGCTGATGGGATTCATGTCCCTTTCCTTCTTCATGAAATTACTGAAATACATAGATCTTTTATTAAAGAAATACTAAAAGTAACATCTTGTATTTGTGTCAATCAGGGTTTGCCAATTATTGGCCCATGAGGATTGAGTCTGCAAATGTGTTTTATCTTGTTGACACAGTGCTTTATTGCTAACGTTGTGGCCATGGCTGCCGCTGCTAATTGTTTTTACTATTGCTGATGTTGCTGTTGTCATTGCCATTGATTTGTGAACAAATATTTAGCATTTTAAAGATGTTTTATTACAAAATTAAATTTCTGTCTTCCCCTGAAAAACTGAAAGATCTAGCAACACGCAGTCAATGTTTCTGCGGGGTCGTAATAAGCCACTGCTAAGTAGCAGCTGCTCCTGTGGCCAAGGCGGCCACTGCTGCCCTCACACAGAGGCACATGTCATGGTCATTTGTAAATGTGCTTCCACTGGGATTTTCTGATGGTAGGTTATTGTTTCTTGTCCCGTATATCCATCGAAAGCAGAAAATAAAAAGATAGATTTGGTGGAACCTAAGGTTTTCTTACAATTTCATTTTTGTAATTTGCCTGGCCCCTGTAGGCGTTTGCGTTTTCTCCAGTTGGTATGGAGCCTTATCCTTTCCAATAGATCCAGTCACTGTGATTTTCCTGTTGAACAGGACAGATGCCTTTTATGTTTTTCAATTAAATGCTTTATTTTGAGTTAGTTGTAGAATCACATGCAGTTTTAAGAAGTAGTACAGAGACATCTCATATAATGTTTATCTAGTTTCCTTAATGGTAGTATCTTGTAATGCTATGGTACAATTTCACAGTCAGGATATTGATATGGACAGTCAGGATACAAATTATTTTCATCACCACGTGGATCTCACATTTTATGTTGCTCTTTGATAGCCACACCCGCTTGCCTCTCTCTCCCATCCACTCCCCAACCCCTGGCAGCCACTAATCTGTATTATATTTTCATAATTTTGCAACTTTAAACTTGCCATGTAAATGGAAATATACACCTTTTTCAAATTAGCTTATTTTGCTGAGCACAACTGTGTGGAGATCCATCCAGATTGTTCTGTGTATGAGTTGTTCATTCTTATTTATTGAGGAGTAGTTTCCACAGTTTATTCATTTACTAAAGGACATCTGGGTTGTTTCAGTTTTTAGTATTGTGGATAAAGCTTCTCTAAACATTTTGAACAAGTTCTTGCATAAGTAAGTTTTTATTTCTCTAAGAGAAATGCCTAGGAGGGCAATTGTTGGGTTGTTTGACAGTTGTATGTTTAATTTTTTTTTTTTTTTGAGATGGAGTCTTGCTCTGTCCCCCAGGCTAGAGTGCAGTGGTGCGGTCACGGCTCACTGCAAGCTCCGCCTCCCAGGTTCACGCCATTCTCCTGCCTCAGCCTCCTGAGTAGCTGGGACTACAGGCGCCCACCACCACGCCCGGCTTACTTTTTCTATTTTTAGTAGAGACGGGGTTTCACCGTGTTAGCCAGGATGGTCTCCATCTCCTGATCTCGTGATCTACCTGCCTTGGCCTCCCAAAGTGGTGGGATTACAGGCGTGAGCCACCACGCCCGGCCGTATGTTTAATTTTTAAAGAAGCTAGCTAACGTTTTCCAGAGTGGCTGTTCCATTTTACATTTCCACCAGCAATGTGTGAGTGATCCACTTTGCCTGCATAATTGCCAGTATCTGGTGTTGTCAATGTTTTTTATTTTAGTCATTTTGATGAGTGAATTGTAGCATCTCATTGTGGTTTTTTTTGTTTTTTGTTTTTTGTTTTTTGAGACGGAGTCTCGTTCTGTCGCCCAGGCGGGAGTGCTGTGGCGCGATCTCCGCTCACTGCAAGCTCCGCCTTCCGGGTTCACGCCATTCTCCCGCCTCAGCCTCCCGAGTAGCTGGGACTACAGGCGCCCGCCACTGCGCCTGGCTAATTTTTTGTATTTTTAGTAGAGACGGGGTTTCACCATGGTCTCGATCTCCTGACCTCGTGATCCGCCCGCCTCGGCCTCCCAAAGTGCTGGGATTACAGGCGTGAGCCACCGCGCCCGGCCTCATTGTGGTTTTAATTAGTATTTTGTCTGATGATGTTGAATATCTTTTTTAAACATTTATTTTATTGTATGTATTTAAAGTATACAACATGATGTTTTGATAAACAAATATACAGTGAAATGATCATTATATGTGAGCAGAGTAGCACATCTACTGTCTTCCAAAGTGGCATTCTTTTTTTATTTTAAATTTTTCTGTGGTAAGTACATCTAAAATCTGTTCTCTTAGCAAATTTCAGTATATAATACAATATTATTAACTATAATCCTCCGGCTGTACATTAGATCTCTAAACTTATTTATACTATATATCTGCAAGTTTATACTCTTTGACCTACATTTCCCCATTTCTTCTTTCTTTCCCTTCTCCGTTCCCGGTAACTATCATCCTATTCTCTCTTTCTGCGTGTTTGACTTCCTTTTTTAAAAATGTTCTACATGTAAGTGAGATCATGTATTTTTTTTTCTGTATCTGGCTTATTTCACTTAAGCATAATGTTCTTCAGTTTCATCCATGTTGTTGATAATGGAAGTATCTTCTTTTTTTTTTAAAGGCTGAATAACATTCCATTGTTTGAGTGCATGTGTATGTGTGTGTGTGTGTACATTGATATGTATTCCACAGTTTATTCATTGATTCATTGCTGGGCACTTATGTTGTTTCTGTATCTGGGCTATTGTGACTAATGCCGCAATGAAGGTGGAGGTGCAGATCTCTCCATGAGGTGCTGACTTTGACGTCCTGTTGGTATACATGAGCAGAGGGGGTTTCTGGGTCATATGGCAATTTTATTTTTACTTTTTTGAGTAACCTCCATGTTATTTTTCATAATGGCTATACCAATTTACATTCTTATCAGAAAAGAATACAAGGGTTTTCTTTTCTCCACATTCTCATCAACACTGGTTATTTCTTGTCTTTGTCATGATAACTGTCCTAAAATGTATGAGGTGACATGTTGTTGTGGTTTTGATTTGTGTTTCCCTGGTGATTAGTAACATTGAGTACTTTTTCACAAACGTGTTGGTAATTTGAATGTTTTCTTTGGAAAAATGTGTATTCAGGTCCTTTGTCCTTTTAAATTGGATTATTATTATTATTATTACTGCTATTGAGTTGCATGATTTTCTTATACATTTTGAATACTAATCCCTTATCAGACATATTGTTTGCAAATATTTTCTTTTGATTGTAAGTGGCCATTTTACCTTGTTCATTTTTCTTTTTTCTCAAGATTGTATTATAGCTGTTTAATATCTTTTGTGGTTCCATACATATTTTAGAACTATTTTCTCTATTTGTATAAAAAATGCCCTTCGAATTTTTTTTTTTTTTTTTTTTTTTGAGGTAAGGTCTCCGCCTGACAACCAGGCTGGAGTGCAGTGTTGTGATTTCAGCTCACTTCCTCTTCAACCTCCTGTTCTCAAGTGATTTTCCCACCTCAGCCCTTCAAGTAACTGAGACTACAGACTACAGGCATCTGCCACCACACCCAGCTAATTTATTTATTTATTTATTTATTTATTTATTGTAGGGATGGGGTCTCCATATATTGCCTAGCCTGGGCTCAAGCAATTCTCCAGCCTCGGCCTCCGAAAGTGCTGGGATTACAGGCATGAGCCACCACTCCTGACCTGGCATTTTAATAGAGACTGCATTGATACTCTGTTTTGCTTTTTGTGTATGAACATTTGAGCATCTTTTCATGAGCTTGTTTGCCCTCTGTGTGTCCCCTTTGGTGAAATTTTTCTTGCGTTTGCCCACTTTTTAATTGGTGTGTTTGTTTTTACTACTGAGTTCCAAGAGTTCTTTATATATCCTAGATAATAGTCCTTTGTCAGATAGTCAATTCTCAATATTTACAGTAGTATGTTCTGTAAAGTCACCGTGAACACTGAATTAACAAATGCTGAACCACTGTTCCTGGGGGAAATAGAGGGTTAGGTTCCTGTGAGCCTCTGGTCACATTTCTGCCAAACTGATCAATAAATAATCTTGTTTTATGTGTTTCTGTTTAAAGATACCCCACACTTAATATGTACTGTTGATTCATTACCATTGATCTCAGTCAGCAGCACTGTAACTCATAGCTGAGTGAAGCTCATCTAACACACATCCTTTCTCCATGGGGCACATCACAGCATTCCTGCCCTTAGGAACACTAGACAGCCCTTTAGTACTATGCCTGGGGTCCATCTCAAACAGTGGAACACCAACAAAAAGCAAAGAGTACACAAATATGTGAGACTAAATAAATTGCAAAAGGGATACTTGTTTTTAGTATTGCTTAACCTCAGTTGGGCACCCGAGTGTCAGAAGATTCAAACTTTTTACCACTGTGTTCATGTCTGTGAATGACCACAAAGGTGCTGTGAGTGTTGCATTTGGGGCTAAAACAAATTTTTTTGAGTAAACAAATTCCCAAATACAGAATACACAGATACTGAGGTCCACTGCATGTGATTTGCAACTATTTTTTCCCACATTGTAGCTTGTATCTTAACAGTGTCTTTCATAGCACAAAAGTGTTTAGTTTTAATGAACTAAAATTTATCTGCGGGGTACAGTGCCTCACACCTGTAATCCCAGCACTTTGGGGAGCCGAAGTGGGAGGATCACTTGAGACCAGGAGTTTGATGCCAGCCTGGGCGACATAGCAAGACCTCATCTCTCAAAATAAACAAACAAGCAAACAAACAAACAAAATTTATTATGTTTTTCTTTTATGGTTCATGTTCTCTGTACCAAGTCTAAAAACTCTTTGCTTAATTCTGTGTTTAGAATATGTTTTAGGCCAGGCACGGTGGCTCACGCCTGTAATCCCAGCACTTTGGGAGGCCAAGGCAGGTGGATTGCCTGAGGTCAGGAGTTCGAGACCAGCCTGGCCTACATGGTGAAACGCAGTTGCTACTAAAAATAAAAAAATTAGCTGGGAATGGTGGTGGGTACCTGTGATCCCAGCTACTTGGGAGGCTGAGGCAGGAGAATCACTTGAACCCGGGAGACGGAAGTTGCAGTGAGCCGAGATCGCACCACTGCACTCCAGCCTGGGTGACAGAGTGAGACTCTGTCTCAAAGAAAGAAAAAATGAATAATTTTAAAACTTTTCTCTGTTTCCTAATAGTTTTATATTTTTCATTTAAGTCCACAATCTAGTTTGAGTTATTAATAGTTTCTTTATAAGATATGAAATTAAAGTTGAGGTTTGTTTGTTGGTAGTGGCTGTTATTTTGTCTATGGATAGCCAATTGCTTCAGGACAACTTATTTTAAAAGGCGATCTCTGCTCCATTGAATTGCTTTTGCACCTTTGTGAAAATCACATGGGCATATGTATGCCCTCATTACTGCGGGGTGGTGGGTGGAGGTCCAGGCTCCCCACATGGTCTCCACTTCAACTGAACAGGTGGGGTTCTCTTTGCCATCTGTTAGGGATGGAAGCCTGGCTCCCTGCTGAAGTCCTTCTCTTGGCAGGTTGGGTGGGGATGCAGTGTTTTCATGCAGTCTGGGGATGGCGGCTGTCTAGACTTCCCACTTTGCCTTTGCTGGTGTGGGTGGAGGTGGGCCCACAGTGTTTTCTGTTTCTTGACTGGAGTAGACAGCTGTTGCCTAAAAGTTTTCTGTCTTGCTAGGCTGTTCTCTTCCTGATCCTTCGGCTGGAGGGAGAGGGCTTTTTTTTGTATAATTTTCTTGTTGGTGGCTATTAGCTTTTCTGGCTTCTTGGCTTCTCCAGTATCCAGTCTGGGATATATGAGGAAACAGGAAATGCAGAAGCCTCACCAGCATGTCTCTCCTTGGGTCCTGAGGTTCCTAACCTGTCTGCTTTCCTCTCTACCTTGAAGCATCTTCATTTGCTTGTTTTCTGTATACAGTTAGAGCTTTTGTTGTGCTTAGTGAGAAAAATAGGGTAAAGTATGTCTGTCACTTCATCTTTCTGGAAACAGAAGTCATAGCAGGTACTTTTGAAAAATACTCATTTTGGCCGGGCATGGTGGCTTATGTCTGTAATCCCAGCACTTTGGGAGGCTGAGGCAGGTGGATCATGAGGTCAGGAGTTCAAGACCAGACTGACCAACATGGTGAAACCCCGTCTCTACTAAAAATACAAAAATTAGCCAGGCGTGGTGGTGCGTGCCTCTAGTCCCAGCTACGTGGGAGGCTGAGGCAGAAGAATTGCTTGAACCCAGGAGGCAGATGTTGTAGTTAGCTGAGATCATACCACTATATGCCTGCCTGGGAGACACAGCAAGATGCCATCTCAATATATATATATTCATTTTACAGATACAGGAACAAGTTCAGAGAAGTTATGTGATGTACTTAAAGTCACACAGCTGGAAATGTGTCACTCATGCTGCAGCTATGAATCCAGCGCCAGTGCCCTTTTCTCTTCATTTTTGTTCATCATTTATACATTAAAAACAAGCAAGAGACTGCCAGCAGAAACATTCTACGAGTGTATGTGCAGTGCAAGGATGTCAATAGCAGGGTGCTCGCCCAGCTATGAGCTCAATGAGCCACAGGAGACTGATGTGTTCATGGTCCATTTTCCTTATATTTCACTTTGGTTTATTCACATTCCATTTCACAATGGGTTTCAAATCAGTAAAAGAAGAGAACAATGATGATGCCAGAAATGTCCTCAAATGCTTACAAGCAAAAAGTCATTAATTGCAAAGCACAGAACTTCAAAAGATGCTTCTGTACTTGGGGCAAAAGAGGGCACATTAGAGAGTTAACTGACATCAGGAGAACCTGCACATTGTCCTGAAATGGTGGAATTTGAAAATGGGAGTGCTATGTTAAAATTAAGGAAGGTGAAATACACAGGGAAAAGTGCATTTGGCAACACTTCCAAGAATAACTCAGTGGCTGTGTTACTAAAGGAAGTGGTTTTTGTGTTGCAATATGATAGAAACTCAATTTATAGATGGATTCTCCACTGTGCGTAAATAACCTACTTTCCTATAACAATAACCTTTCTTGACTAAATAAAACCCACACCTCTTAATGAAACTGTGTCACATGACCCATCTCTTTCTTTTCTCTATTCCCATCACCTCCAACCTTGTTCAGTCTTGTGTGATCTCAAGTGAACTCAACTTCCAATCTCCAACACTGCCCCGTCACTTCCCTCTCCAACTCTGCTGATAAAATGCATTTCTCATTGATGCCAGATGATTGTGCATGCTGCCAAGAAACTTCCCTGATTTCCTATGGCTTTCAGGATTAATTCTAGGTATTTTTAGAAGTCAACGTTAAGAAGGCTGATCTTCAGCACCCTGTCCTCTTCTCTTTTCTTAGGTATTACCAGATCCGAGTGACCTTGAAGGTGTCTTCAAGGATCCCCCACAGACTGAGTGCCTCCATCGCTGGGCAGACAGGTGAGCAGAAGAATGGCAATGGGGCACTTGCCCCCAATGGCGAACCTCCCTTTGTCACTGCTCGCCAGGGCACAGCAGAGTGCAAGGCATGTAGACATACTCAGTCAATCTGTGGTGAATGTTGGATGGCGAATTTTGGAAATGGAAACCAACAGTTGGAGGTGGCCATATGTGTACATTGTGGCAAGGGGAACCTGGCTTAAGAAAAATACACTTTCCCAGGAACAGCCAGTATTTGGAGATAAACTGGCTGTGGAGGGTTGGTTAAAGTCAAGTCAGGGAGGACGCTGGTAGGAAATGACATCCAGCAAGTGGGTAGAGAAGCCTGTTAAAGGGAACCTGGGAATCAACTAGGTACAGAGGACTGAGTGAGTAGGCGGTGTCGGTGGCACTTTTCATACACCTTGAGGGGTCCAAGAGCAGTGCTCCCAGCTTGAGGAGAAGGATTGCCAAGGACAACTCAGATCCTGATCTTGAGAAGGCTGGAGTACAAAGTGGGTAACCAGGGCTCTGAGCAGGTAGTCTATCACAGAGTGTTGAGTCAGAAAAAGAGAACTTACCATGCCAGAAATAAAGACAGACATAATATTAACTAGTAGAGCTATTAGGAGTTTGCATTAGTAAATTTGGGAGGACTGTGTAGACTAGCTAGACCTTAAGAAGAAGGAGAGGCTGAGTGCAGTGGCTCATGCCTATAATCCCAGCACTTTGGGAGGCCAAGGTGGGCAGATCACCTGAGGTCAGGAGTTTGAGACCAGCCTGGTCAACAAGGTGAAACCCTGCCTATACTAAAAATACAAAAAAATTAGCCAGGCATGGTGGCGGGCGCCTGCAATCTCAGTACCCAGGAGGCTGAGGCAGGAGAATCACTTAAACCTGGGAGGTGGAGGTGGCAGTGAGCCAAGATTGTGCCACTGCACTGCACTCCACTCCAGCCTGGGTGACAGAGTGGAGCTCCAAAAAAAAAAAAAAAAAAAAAAAAGTAGAAAGACTTAAAGAGTAGGGTAGAGGGTAGGGAGCATTAAAGTAAACAGACAGAGCTGTGCAAAATCTGTTTAATTATAAAGTACGAGTAGCCAAGAATGTTGTAGAAATCCAGTTCAGTAGAGCTAAGAGTACTGGTCATAGCTACACTTCATATAATTCACTTGGAATTTGCAACGTGTTATGGTGAGAGGAATCACATGCAATTGAATACCCACAAGTCAGGAAAGTAGATGTGGTGGTCTGCTTAAATTTACCATGGAAGACATCTGGAGGGGGACCTGGTTCCCCAGGCCACATGATAGAACATGAGAAGAGGCCTGTGGTTTCAGAGCAATAGGATAACTCAAGTCTGTGATCTACAAAAGGAAAGACACTGATGGCCACTGGCTTCTCCCTTGCCTCTGAGCAGAGTGAAGCATTAAATAACAGTCAAGTTGCCGTATTTCCAAGGTGTTCCTCCTCTTTCCCTCCACCCCTCTCTCCTGGGAAGGAATCAGGCATCTGATAAGTAGGCCACCCATTCTTCTAGGTCCAGTGTAGATCCAGAGTGATTTAAGAATCCAGTAGTTCCCTCCTTTCCTATCATCCTGTGCTTCACCCCTTCCCCACCCTACCTTCCAACAGAAGAAGGTCCCTGATGTCCACAGAGAGAGCAGGGGATTTGGACCCTGCCCTGCGTGAACCAGTGTCCATATGTGTACATTGGATAATAACATGAGCAGCTTGAACTTTAGTTTCCTGAAATATGAGGATAAAAATGCATTCTTCATAGATATTTGTCTTAGAAATTATAAATAAAAAGGACACTTTCTATTTCACAGAGGTTCTAAATATACATATGTCAGAACAAGAACCAGCACAAGGTAAGTAGCCAGTTAGTCCTACCTGTGGTCATGTCATCAGGGGTTTGAGGAACCTGCTCTCAGGGTCAAGGTAAAAGCCTCGGAGAGGAGACCTAGAAGTGAAGCAGAAATAACACCACAGCCAACCTGATGAAAGCCATGCCCAGGCTCCCGTCAAGGACTCTGCTTCTTCCTTGTGACTGTGGACAACAGGAGCTTGGGTCCTGTCACCGGATGAGCCATCTTTTGGAGCTGGCAGGCGCCAGCTGTGAGGACCAGAGGGCTGCAGGATGCTCAGTGGTTGGCAGAGCCCAGCGAGTAATGGGGGAAGAGAAGGGCTTGAGATAGTGCTGCACAGAGACAAAGAAAATAAAAAAAAAACTATTTTCTTTTCTAGTATAGTTTAACAGAAGAATAATTATGATGAAGTTGGTATGCCTTGAGCTTTACAGTAGCACACTGTTTAGAACAGAATATTAACACAGTGGCCAGCAATAATTTACAATGAGATTGTGCCCCAGGTGAGGGATGTGCAGAATTTGTATTTCTTCTTCAAGGTGAATTTTCCAATTATACTATTTTTGGTTAGAGACCGCTGCATTATGAAGCACTCCAAAACTTGTGACTTTTAACAATGGCTTATTCTTTTATAATGTTTTGAGTTAGCCAGCCTAGGCTGGGGACATTTATGCACTACCTTCAGCTGAGATCTCAGCTGAGGATGGAGCAGCCAAGATGGCTTCACTCATCTGTGTCTGACCCCTTGGTTGGAGTGGCTGCACCAGATGAGCGACAGCTGGGCTTCTGTCTCCAGTTGGGTGGTCAGACTTCTTACATGATAGCTGAGTTCCTCAGAGAGAAAATGAAGAGGATTCCAGGCCACTTAAGGGCTAGATGGAGACTGGCCCAGGGTTGCTTCCTCCACAGTTCATTGTTCAGGGCAGGTGACAAGGCCAGCCCCAGGGGAACGGAAATAGACTCTCGCCGTTCATTGGAAGCACTGTCTGCATGTACAGTGATGGGAGGAAACTCTGGCAGTCCTATTTCTGGCCAACTATCCAAACATATTTTCCATTATCTGTATGCATTTCTGACGGGAAAAAAGAAAAATATATCTTTAGGCAAAAATATAGCATATTGGAAGAGAACCAGGAGGAGTGAAAACATTTGGACTTTAATGATGTCTTTGATACTCAGTATTTGAATGATCTTGTTGGAATAAATGATTTCATTTGGCTGTTTTGTTCCATGTATCTCTCTTTTTTTTTTTTTTTTTTTTACCACAATGGGGATAGTCATACCTTTTGCCTAGGGTTTCAGAGAGGATTTGAGGACATGATGACAAAGCCCCTAGCATAGTGCTTGATACAAAATGGGAAAAATAAAATGCAGCTGTTATTATTAATATTATCAGTTAATAAAAAGTCTTACCATTCAAGGGAAGTCAAGCATTCAAGGGAAGCTTGCAGGTGGAACCAACAGAAGTGTTCCTAAGGCAGAGGTGACAGAAGGGATATTTAAACAGGGTGATTTGATGTAAGTGAGACAGAGGGCCCTCATAGCATGGGTGAAGGGGTGCTGTATTAGTCTGTTTTCATGCTGCTGATAAAGACATACGCAAGACTGGGCCATTTACATAATAAAAGGTTTAATTAGACTTATAGTTCTGCACGGGTGGGGAAACCTCACAATCACCAGGGAAGGCAAGAAGGAACAAGTCACATCTTACATGGATGGCAGCAGGCAAATAGAGACAGAGTTTGTATAGGAGAACTCCTCTTTTTAAAACTCAGATCTCATGAGACCTATTCACTATCACAATAACAGCATGGGAAATACTTGCCTCCATGATTCAGTTACCTCCCACTGGGTCCCTCCCACAACATGTGGGAATTCAAGATGAGATTTGGGTGGGGACATAGCAAAACCATGTCAGGTGCCAAGGTTAAACAGGAGGGATGTTGCTGAACATTCAGTGTGAAGGTAAGATGGGAAGATGGACATCGATGGACGATAAGAGAGTGGGATACAGGAATGGCTGGGACAACCAGCTCAGGACCAAGACTGTGACCAGCAGCATTTGCTAATCTCTGTGTCCACAATGGCCTTAAAGAATGATACAGCCTGTGGCCAGGTGAGGTGGCTCACACCTGTAATCCCAGCACTTTGGGAGGCCGAGGCAGGCAGATCACCTGAGGTCAGGAGTTCAGGACCAGCCTGGCCAACATGGCAAAAGCCCATCTCTACTAAAAATAGAAAAAATTAGCCAGGCGTGGTGGTGCACACCTGTAGTCCCGGCTACTTGGGGGACTGAGACAGGAGAATTGCTTGAACCCGGGAGGCAGAGGTTGCAGTGAGCAGAGATCGCGCCACTGCTCTCCAGCCTGGGTGACAGAGTGAGACTCTGTCTCAAAAAAAAAAAAAAAAGAATGATACACTGTGACAGGCTTTTTGTATTATTGCTGCATTCCTGTGGACCCTTAGAGAGACGAGGTCTAAACATTCAAGGGAAAGCCAGGTTGTACAGTCTCATCTGGTAGTTTCCTTTTCTTTCTTTTTTTTTTTTCTTTTTTTTTCGAGACGGAGTCTTGCTCAGTCTCCCAGACTGGAGTGTAGTGGTGCAATCTCGGCTCACCACAACCTCCACCTTTCGGGTTCAAATGATTCCCCTGCCTCAGCCTCCCAAGTGTCTGGGATTACAGGTGTGTGCCACCATGCCTGGTTAATTTTCATATTTTTAGTAGAGATGGAGTTTTACCATGTTGGCCAGGCTGGTCTTGCACTCCTGACCTCAAGTGATCTGCCCGCCTCAGCCTCCCAAAGTGCTGGTATTACAGGCGTGAGCCACCACGCCTGGCCTCATCTAATAGTTTCTAAGAGGAGGCCTGCCAATAGGATGTGGCTTGCCAACAGCTAGTTATGCAGATAGAACAGAACATAAATTTTTCTTAGTAAAAGTGTGATGGGGATTTTCAGAAACTTCATTGTGTGTCTCAGTACTCAAATTGAATGCTACTTTCACTATTCTTTGTAGTAATCATAAGACATAACATATACACACACAAACATACATGCATATGTATACATATACATGCATGTGTGTATATAATTTCAAGTGGTCTTCCTATACATATAAATGTCTATACATATAAATATATACATGTATATATATGTGTGTATGTATAATTGATTTGGTCTGTCTTATTTCTAACATGCTCACTTATTATACTTGTCAGTCAAGCATATGACATTTGGATCAAAACTGATATTTATCTGAGTTCAACAAATTTTTCAGATGCCTCCTACAAGCCAGAAATTGTACTATGCCCTGAGAAATACAAAGATGAATGTTAATTAATTGAATGTGAGAGTTCAGGTATTCCAGGAAGATAAAACAGGTGTAAGACATTTTAAAATGTAATTATGCTTTCTTCAAAGGCTTGCTTATGTTTTGCGGGTCTCAGATTTGTTTTTTTCTTTTGAGTTCAGGGTTACAAATAATTGGTATGTCCATGTCTGTGTGAACAGATGTTAAATATACTTAGCCTTGGCTCTTTTCTTCCACCAAAATGTTGCTATTTAATATATTCTACAGCCTCTTCCTACCTAGAGATGTTATTTTTTTCCCTTAGGGGGCTGATCAGTTGAATCATGCTTGGGAGCGGGGTCTGTTCAAGTCGAGTGAGGCTGCAGCAAATGATTAGGCACAAAACAGGCATCTACTAGTCATTGCTCATCAAAGCAAGAGAAAAGATAGCACAGTAAATTGTGGAAACATATAAAAATTGCCATCATTAGTTTTTGTAATGTTTTGAGAGGTAATTTCCATTTCCATTAAGTAGAAGCATTTAAGAGTTTTACCATGTAGAGGGCGGGGGACCGACATTTATTCTTCAAATGAATCAATCTAATTTCTTTTCAGGGTCCATTAAAGCACCTAAATATCAAATATGTCTGTTTTCATGGAGAATTCTAAGCAGGTAAAACACTGCAGCCCCCAGGCTCTAAGTACCAGCCTGGGGCCACAGAAGAGCCTACCCAGGGCCGGCAGGGTGGCCGGCAGGGTGGGTGGCAGAGTGGCCTTCCTGATTAAGCGAAGCACTTAAAAGGGGCTCTTCCATCTTTTTGGCTTCCAGGCAGGTCACAGCAGTCAACTCAGAAATGCCAAGCCCAGGGCCCTTTCCTTCCACTTCGAGCAGGCCAGGAATCTGCTCTGTCAGGGACGTGGGTGACCACCCCACTTCCTTTGGGCCAAGCCAGCATTGCCACTGTATCCTTTGTCCTTGAGATTGTGCCATGATACCTGCTGGCCAACTAGGGCCCTCCTTCAGGAGCTTCCATCAGTCTCCGTGCAGTCTTGTGCCTTGACTCATCTCAGCTCCTGTTTTTGCAGTTCCTTCAACTTTGAATGCCTACCCCTTCCTTTTTCTTTCTTTCCCACCTCTCCTCCCAATGGACTTATAGAAAGAATGCATGCAGCCTTCAACGACCAGGTGGTCTAAGGGCAGTCTCCTGCCCCTGTCAGAATTAATAGTTACTCAACTGAACGTCCTTCGCACAAACTATAGGCATGCAGCACGTAGCCCCTTCCACACCCCACCTGCATTTCTGTGCTTCTTCTACACTATTTTAATGTGTTTCCAGTCCCCAGAACCTGGGGCTTCCCTGTGGAGGACCACTCCCAGACAACAGGAAGCATTTTGTCCAATAATTAAACTTTCCTGGGAGTTTGAATCCCATCATCCCCCATCCTCACCCCAACCCTTGCTGCGAACAAATGGCTACTAACACAGGGTCATGGAAACCCAGCTCCCTTGTCTCAGGATGGGAGGTAAGGCTCACTCCCAAGTTGCCTGATGGGCTGAAGTGCCCTTCTCAGGACCTCTGAAATGTACCCAGGCCTGTCTTCCTCTCTTTCCCTACCCTGGTTCTCCATTCCCCATCTGGGTCTCACTGACAGCACACCCATCATAAGTTATTTAACAATACATCGTTTTCTGCTGCCTTAGCATCTGTGTCCAAAAGCTGCTAAAAATAGTATAGCAATTAGGAAGTAGGGTTTGAAGTTGGCCAAACCTGAGTCCACCCAGGTTCTTGTAGCCCTGAACCAGTAGCTTCTGTGCCACTCTTCAGCTCTCTATAAATGGGAATAGCAATGATAGGAATGACCCTGTAGAAATGTTTGAAGGATCAGTGCAGGTAACATATGTGGGTACTCGATAGATTTCCTGTCCTGTTGGGAGCCCACATACGCATGGATTCTCATGCACAGGTGCACGCACCAGGACACCACAGCCTTGCACCACCCCCTGCCACATCTGGCAGGAATAATCTCTTAGAAATCACATTTGTTGTGATTTCTTTTCTTTTTAAATTGGGATTAGCATAGTGGCTACTTCTTTATTTTTTTATTTTACTTTAAGTTCTGGGATACATGTGCAGAACGTGCAGGTTTGTTACATAGGCATGCATGGGCCATGGTGGTTTGCCGCACCTACCAACCCATCTCCAGGTTTTAAGCCCCGCATACATTAGGTATTTATCCTAATGCTCTCCCTCCCCTTGCCCCCTGCCCCCTGACAGGCCCTGGTGTGTGATGCTCCCCTCCCTGTGTCCATGTGTTCTCATTGTTCAACTCCCACTTATGAGTGAGAGCATGCAGTGTTTGGTTTTCTGTTTTTGTGTTAGTTTCCTGAGAATGATGGCTTCCAGCTTCATCCATGATCCTGCAAAGGACATGAATTCATTCTTTTTTATGGCTGCATAATACTCCATGGTGTATATGTGCCTCATTTTCTTTATCCAGTCTATCATTGATGGGCATTTGGGTTGGTTCCAAGTCTTTGCTATTGTAAATAGTGCTGCGATAAACACACATGTGCATGTGTCTTTATAGTAGAATGATTTATAATCCTTTGGATATACACCCAGTAATGGGATTGCTAGGGCAAATGGTATTTCTGGTTCTAGATCCTTGAGGAATTGCCACACTGTCTTCCACAATGGTTGAACTAATTTACACTCCTACCAACAGTGTAAAAGCGTTCCTATTTGTCCACAACCTCTCCAGCATCTGTTGTTTCCTGACTTTTTAATAATCCCCATTCTAACTGGCACGTGTTGTGATTTCTGTTAAGATACTTACCCAGCATAAAATTCTACTTTTGACAGTTTGCTGTGTATGAGGCGCTGTTGACAGCGAGCTTGGTGGCTGGCGCTACTTTCATGGGGCCCAAAGACCAGGGTGTGGACAGAGAGATTGTGTGGCAATTACAACGTGAGCGATGTGGGCTTGGGAGGGGGGAGGCCCCAGGGACTCAGGGCTCAGGAGGGCCTCCTTGGCAAGGTGCCCTCTTTTGTGAGGCACAACTGACTTGTGGTGTCCTGATTTCTGGTGCAGGTCATCAAGGCAAATCTTCATCTGCTCAAAATGAGAAGGGTCCCCCCAGCAGATCTTTATGACTTTGGCTCACTTGGAGTCAACAGCCCTGCCCTGCATTCGTTCCCTAGGGGATAAGGCTCCAGGGTCCCCTGGTTAGCTTGACTACCTTCTTCTTGCTCAGGCAGTGGCATTAACAGCTGCTGCATGGGAAACTTCACCCAGTACAATGAGTTTTAAGCAAACAAATCTAGGGATGAGGGACAAGTGGAGGGCCCCTGAAGCATGCATCCAGAGATGTAGCACAAGGCTTCAGAGGGGCTCGCCTTGTGGGTGGAAGAGAGAACAACCTCTGTCTCTAGAGTACCACTTACACAGATTCTAGAATCAGAAGCCTGGGCCCGCATTCACACTGGATGACCTCGGACTCCTCACCCCCCTCCTTGGAATTCATTTTTCTTCTCTGTAAAATGGGAATAATAATAATAATAATAATAACACTTCCTTCATGTGGTTTTTGTGAGAATTAAAAATGTCACACTGAAAAGGGAGTCCGACATGAGGAACCCTCATCAACACTGGCTATTTTAGTTTTATAACAGAAGGTGGGGAAGTTGCATGGACTGGAATGTTAGTCCTGACGGAGTTTTACTTGTTCAAAGCTTCTTGAGGGCCTCCTGTGTGCCAGGCACTGGTCCAGAGCTCTCTCTGAACCCTGAGATGCCCAGCTGCGATGTTGTCTTCCACAGCACGGAACTGTTCTTGTACCAAAGGTTTCAAGCAGGGGTTCAGCATGGTATGAGGCCATGCACAATGAAAAGGGCGTTATAAAATTGTGTGCATCTATTTGGAGTCATCCAGGTCTTTTTAACATGAGAAAGCTTTTTTGTTCTTTTGATACTTAGAGATATAAGTTAATCTTTCATGAGGAAGGTGATGCTAAGATGCACACTCCAAGTTGTTGGCACCATGTTGCTTTCTTCAATGCTGGCTGGCTGGTGCCTAGCAGAGGGCCTGGGGCAGAGTAGGCATCTCATGTGTATTTGTTGAATGAGTGGATGAAAAGCCACATCTGAAGACAGAGCTCGGAGCAAAGAACAAAAGGAAGTGGAAAGCTGAATGTCATGCCGTTAGGAAAAAAAAGAAAATTGAGCTCTTGAAGGCCAGGCAAAATAGGCTGTTTAGGTAGAAAGAATATCAGTGGAACACCATGCTGTTTAGAGTTCTCATAGTCATTAAAGCGTTACTTAAAGAAAAAAAATCCTGATTGTTTGGAGAAAACAAAGTAACCAAAAGAGGCAAGACGACCGCTTTCTGTTTTGGTCAGAAGGTTTCTGATAGACTAAGAATGAAGTATGATGCCTGGCATTTGAGTTATCCTCATGGAAAATATTTAGGATCAGTGTGGGGAGAACTGTTCTGTACCCCCTCAAACCACAGCATGTGGGTCCACATCGCATAGTGCAGAGTTCCTCAATGTGTGGCCCAAGGTCCTGACTCACAGAATCCCATGGGCATTTGCTAAGGTCAGTTTCTTGATCCTGACTCCCAGATCTCCTAAGTCAAAATTTAAAAGTAAAATAAGGCCGGGTGCAGTGGCTCATGCCTTAATCCCAGCACTTTGGGAGGCCGAGGTGGGCAGATCACAAAGTCGAGAGATGGAGACCATCCTGGACAACATGGTGAAACCCCGCCCTTACTAAAAATACAAAAAATTAGCTGGGCGTGTTGGTGCATGCCTATAGTCCCAGCTACTCGGGAGACTGAGGCAGGAGAATCGCTTGAACCTGGGAGGTGGAGGTTATAGTGAGCTGAGAAAGTGCCACTGCACTCTAGCCTGGCAACAGAGCGAGACTCAGTCTCTAAAAAAAAAAAAAAAAAAAAAAAAGTGGATAAAATGGCACGGGAAGAAAATATTGAAGAGGAAATTCACATGGGGCTGCACAAGATAAATTCTTTGCTCTCCTAGAACCTTGGAATTCTAAAATTGTAGCTAATAGGTTGATACTAATGATGGATAATTACATGATTTAGTCTTTTCTTCTTGGTGGCTTAACAGTTATAAGAAGAAATTCTGTAGTCTTAATGCTTTAAATGTGAAAGCCACATCTTTGAGGACCTTTGCAGCAGAGGACTTTGATTCTTGACCTGCTCACAGATGCATTTTCATTGGGTGCTGGTGGAAAGCACTGTAATCTTGAAAAGGAACAGATTTTATTTCTGAGCTAGGGAAGCTGTTAGGCAAATGGAATACTGGTTGCCATAAACGGCAGGAGGGCAGTCTCCAGGCTCTGCTGAATGTATACCTTGGCTAGGCCACAGGCTCGTTTTTAACCATGAGTATTAACTTGTGGATTTTTTTTTTTAATTATTCCCAAGGAACACACAGTGGGAGGGACACGGGTATAAGGACCTCTGAAATGTGAAATGAGAAAGGGGAGTGTTCTCAGGGTAACAGTCCTGCTCACAGAGATTCCATACACCCCACACTGGATCCCTTAGAGCCCTTTAAAAAATAGTGCCTGTAATCCCAGCTACTCGGGAGGCTGAAGCACAAGAATCACTTGAACCCGGGATGTGGAGGCTGCAGTGAGCCGAGATCTTGCCACCGCACTCCAGCCTGGGCGATAGAGCGAGATTCCGTCTCAAATAAATAAATAAATAAATAAATACCACTCTCACTTTTGGTGATCCCACTTCCTAGCAATTATATTAAAATATACCAATTTTAATTATATTAAAATTTCCCACAAATGAATCAGATAAATATGTATTATTTTTCTACAACACGTGTTTTCAAAATTAGTTACCTCCTGGTAACTAACTCTTTATTCATAAGCATTTGTGATTTTTCTGCATACTTAAGAAATGTTACAAAGTAAGAAAAGCTACCTACAAGGTCTCTGCAAATGCACTGACATTTTCATAGAGACTCATGAGACCAATGGACTATCATTTTGAGGAAATTCAATTAAGCATTATTAATTTTGACTCTGCAGCTTAATTTTTATATTTGGATCGTGGGTGTGTGTGTGTGTGTGTGTGTATGTGTGTATGTGTATGTATACATGCATGCGTATCTCAACCATTCCCTAAGCCACTGGGCAGCTTGCAGACTCCAGGTAGCCTGCCGTTGGCAGCCAAGGCAAACACAAATAAAATGGTGAGGCCTGGTGAGTGGGTGTCAGTTCTGGTGGAGTTGGGTCCACCTCTGCTGGGCTCATTGTTGTTTGGAGGGGGGAGTTCATCTGCATAATAAAAACATGAAATTTTCTCTTTCCTCATTTAAGAATTACTTTTCATGATAGTGGATGAATTGGGCCTTCTTTGATAGGCAACAGATAGTCAAGGATTATTAGGAGGTAACTAATTTTGAAAACACATGTTGTAGAAAATAATACATATTTCTCTGACTCATTTGTGGGAAATTTTAATATAATTAAAATTGGGTATATTTTAATATAATTGCTAGGAAGCGGGATCACCAAAAGTTAGAGTGTTTTTTTATTTTTTATTTTTATTTTATTTATTTATTTATTTATTTATTTATTTATTTATTTATTTATTTATTTTGAGACTGAATCTCACTCTATCGCCCAGGCTGGAGTGCGGTGGCGCGATCTCGGCTCATTGCAACCTCCGCATCCCGGGTTCAAGTGATTCTTGTGCCTCAGCCTCCCGAGTAGCTGGGATTACAGGCACCGTTTTTGAAATGGCTCTAAGGGACCCAGTGTGGGGTGTATAGAATCTCTGTGAGCAGGACTGTTACCCTGAGAACACTCCCCTTTCTCATTTTGCATTTCAGAGGTCCTGATACCCCTGTCCCTCCCATTGTGTGTTCCTTGGGAATAGTTTTTTAAAAATCCACAAGTTAATACTCATAGTCAAAAATGAGCCTATGGCCTAGCCAAGGTATAATAAGAGGTGGGGTCAGGGTTCTAACTCAGACAGTCTGGCTTGTCACTATTATATTATTGTATCCTGTAAACCATGAGAAAAAAAATCCAGACTTCTTAACAGGTCCTGGTTCGCTTGGGGTCATCTCATTGCTGGGTTCCTCTTACACTTATCTTCTATCCCTCTTCCCTGTCACTCTTATTCATTCTTGAATGCACCAAGTTCATTCCCAATTCAGAGCTTCTGAACTTGGGTATGTTTTTGTCTGGCACTTGGTGATTTCTCTCCCAATCTTTGTCTAGCTTGTTTCCTTAATTAATTCAGGTCTTTGCTCAAATGTCACCTTCTGAGAGAGGAATTCTTGCTCAGTTTTTTCTTTGAATAGATTGTCTGTTTCACTTGTTGATACGCAAGTCCTTACTCTTTTTTTCTTTAGGTGACTTCAGTTAATTTATTATATATGGGCTTAGTTATTTTTCGTCTGCATCTCCTCTTGAATTTAATAATAATGTTACTTTCAGCAGATCACTCCTACTGAGTGGTGTTTACATGCCAGGAGTTATTTGTAATATTTCATATGTATGCTGTACTTAACTCATCACATCTTCCCTATGTGATAAGTTATATGAATAGGTCCCTGTTTTGCAGAAGGGGAAATTTAGGTGTAGAGAAAGCCACTGACTTGCCCAAGGCTCTCCAAGTATTAAGTCGTGGAGGTAGGATTCAAGTCCAGATGGTCCAGCTCCCGGGTCTGGGCAAGTGTTGTTTGTTCCCTTCTGTGCCCGTGGTGTTGGGAACAGGACCTGTGGCAAGCATCTGCTGAAGGAGGGAATTCGCTCTGTTGATAAATGGCCCTGCCATGCAGCTGGCCCAGCAAGATGGACCTGAGCTTCATCCTGACCCCCTTATCCACCCTCACTTCTGCCTCTAATCAAAATTTTAAGTCCTATCCATCAGAGCTGTCTTCCTTCTTGGATGTTCAGCTTCCCCTTGTGCCCCTGGCACTGCCTGATGCAGAACCAGATTCCTTCCTTTGCTCAGCATCCTCACTATCCTCCTTCTCTTCATACTCCCAGCTCTCATTGGACGTTCACACTGATGCAGCAGTGACAAGATTAGACTTTTAGGGGTCTTTCAGACAGTGTTCCACGGACTGACCTCTAGGTTAACTACACACATGTTATTTCAGTTGCTTTTCTTAAATATGTTACATGTTTTAAAAAATGCAATGAATGAAATGTTTGTCTTATTATTTTAGTAAATATTTATACAGTGAAGACCTATTTTAGGAATATAACTTCTAGTGTCTGGGTTCAAATCCTGGCTCCACCTCTAAAATGGTGAGACTTTGGGCAAGCGCCCAGTGCCTTAGTTTCTGCATATGAGCATGATAGCAGGAGTAGACCCTGTCTCGTGGGGTCATGTTGCAGATTTACTTAGGTCATGCAAGCCCTTGTCACGGAATTAATATTCAAACGGCAGCGGCTCTGCCTGTCCTTCTCACCGTCATGGACTCGTGCTATATTTCTTAGCTGTTTTTGTGTAGACTTCCTTTCTTTCCATATTTCAACTCTGTGGCATTGAGGGAGTGACGTAGCAGATGCATACGTCTGATCACGTGACATGATGCAAGCAGACATGCCCCTCCATAGCACCTGTACATGAGGGGCCCAGATGCCAGGCCTGGCTGGGTCACATCGCTCAGCACAGAGTTGTGCAATGACATGAGAACAGATGGCATCCCAGGTCATGACAAATTGGGCTATGTGTGATTTCAGTGCTTACCCTGAGCTCCCCATACCTCTCATTCGGCTTTAGTATTCATGAGGAAGGGAGTGTGAACATTTGCTAGATAAAGTAATGGGACTTTGAAACAATAATTGATCCCAAATTTTTATTAAAAAAATCAATTTTAGGGTTTTTGAATAATAGCAAGAGAAATAGTTACCCTGGGGGGTAAAAATGAATAGCAGAGCCAAAGATTTTGAAAAGGGATGGGATGAATCAAATATATATCACACAAAATACGTATGTACAAACAGTGATGCTTGTAGATGTTAGATATACTCTATCTTATGCTGTCAGAAAAATAAAAAACTCCTTATCTAAGGCTCCATAGCTCTTGATTTCTAACTTGCATGTCAACCAGAATAGCTTCATGGTTTCACTGATTTTCTTCAGCAAATGCTACCCATTTGGACTATATAAACTAAATTATTTTCATAAAATTATGTTTGTCTGCTTTACAGATTAGACTTCCATGTAAGATTGAGTTGGGGGGCTGGGAAAGAAGGAGCTCCATTGCCTAAAAATAATTCAATATAATAAAATGCATAAACAGCCCAGCACCGGGGACTCAGCTGGTTCGTTGGAAGATCTGAACTGATGTTAATTCATGTGGAGTCACCAGCAGATACACAGAGGTTAAAGCCAGATGGGAGGATAAGTTTGAAGGTGGAGATTCTGTGAAATTTGAAAGGAAGCCAGCCGAGGCCTTCTGAGGCTGTGTGAACATTCAGGGGTGGGCAGATAAAAACAAGTTGATGAGGATGCCTGAGGAGGAATAGCCAGAGAATTAAGAGGAAAAGACAAGAACCAGAGAGGATTTCAAAGAAGTCTCAGTCCACAGTGAAAAAAGCTATAGAGAGGCATTTGATATAGACTAAAAAGCATTCATTAGCAGCAAATATCTGAGCCTTATTTTCAAGGTCTCTGAAATAAAACTTTTGAAATCATCCCGGATGCATGCCTTCACTCAGGCTGGACTGCTTTCTGTTTCTTTCAGGTAGAGGCTGCCTTTGCTTGTTCTGTGACACCTGACAAATGTGCTTTTGCCCCTCAATTTTTTTATTTATTTCCTACCAGATCATCAAATTCTGCAGCTCAATTTTCCACTCCCACTTACACAAAGCCTTTTATCTTCCAGGCAGGAATAATCTTGCTTTAAAAGACATAATCTTTCCTTAATATTTCATCTGAACATTCCTTTCTGCTTCCTAACCATGGGTTTGTGCAGATCACAGATTGGCCATCTCTGCTAATGTACACGAGAAGATAGGATGCTTGCATGTGTCTCCCTCTGTCTCCCCTCTGCTTTGCCTCCTCACGCCTTCATTTCCTTCAGAACTCTGCTCACAGGCTACTCCCTGCAGGAAGTGCCCCTCGTCCTGGCTGGCAGGCACCTCTGTTTTGTGGCAATCAGGACTTTAAGTGTGCATGTATTTGTGTAAAAAATATCCAGTTCCTCCCTTGGCCCCTGCAGATTCAAACTCAGTGAAGTCAGGGACTATGTTTTATTCCTCTCTCTTCCCAACACAGGATCCAGTTCCAAAGCCTAGTATTCATCAAGGCCGGCACCCATATTCTGTAGATAAGGAGATGTTGGCTCTCTGCAAAGTTGTAGCACAAAAGAGTCAATGTCAAAGTCACCGAGAGAACCAACATGATGGGTTCCCAGACCAGTGCCTTTCCTAGCAGTTTAGATGATTCCTTTCTCCTTTTTGCACAGATGGAGGAATCTGCCCCTCAGTAGGAGTCTTTATGAGCTAGACGTCAGCCCTTCCTGTGCTTGTGCATTGAGGAGCCTGGGCAAGGGATTCCTACCCAAAAAAAAAAAAAAAAAAAAAAAAAAAAGCACCAGCAAGGGTGGTATTGACATTTGAATCAGGAATGTGTGAGGAATTATCTCTCATGACCCAGCTCTTCTATGTGGCCAGTTTACCTTCATTGAGAACAGACTCTGAAGATTATTGCCTTGAAGTATTTGACTATGAACCAGAGGAAATAGACTTATATGGGAAATACAGCAGAGTTTCAGGGCCAAAGGAATTTAAAGATTAAATGGGAAACTTGCAGATGCAGAGTCATGAAATGAATTGATTAAGGTCACTAGTCAGTAGCAAAGCTGGTATTCTGACTCAGGAACATGAAATCTAAAGACACTTTCACCTTAAACAGGTTTCTTTTTTTGTTTTATCATGAGAAAGAACTTCTGTTTCTTTGCAGTTTGAATGGTCAGGAATTTATTTAAGATCCCAGAGATAATTTTTCAATTAATATCTTTTTAATGTTATGGATTGTAAATATGTTGCTATTTCATTAATTATGTTAAGAGCTAAACCTTTTAAATTACCTCAGAGTTTTCCATTTAATGCATGTGGTGCGATTTCTTTAACCATTCTCCTTATATTGAATATGATTTCAATGTCATTTCTTATGAATGATGATGTGGACAGCTTTTTGGTTTGTTTTGTTTTTCTAGCTTTATTGAGGTATAATTGACATAAAAATTGCATATTTTTAAGGTCTACCACTTTTTAATTTTATTTTAAAAATATTTTTTATTTAAGTAGCTTTTGGGGTACGGTGGTTTTTGATGATATGGATGAATTATATAGTGGTGAAGTCTGAGATTTTAGCATACCCATCACCCAAGTATTGTACATGGTACCCAGCGTGCAATTTTTTATCTTTCACCCCCTTCCACTCTCCTCTTTCTGATTCTCCAAAGTCCATTATACCACACTGCATACCTTTCCATACCCACAGTCTAGCTCCCACTTATAAGAACATACAGTATTTGGTTTTCCATTCCTGAGTTACTTCAGTTAGAATAATGGCCTCCAACTCCACCTGAGTTATTGCAAAATACATCATTTTATTCTTTTTATGGCTGAGTAGTATTCCATGGTGTGGATATAGCATATTTTCTTTACCTACTCATTGGTTGATGGACACTTAGTTTGGTTCCATATCTTTGCAATTGTGAATTGTGCTGCAATAAACATACACATGCAGGTGCATTTTTTAATATAATGACTTCTTTCTGTTTGGGTGGATACCCACCACTGGGATTGTTGGGTCAAACGGTAGGCCTACTTTTAGTTCTTTAAGAAATCTCCATACTGTTTTCCATAGAGTTTGTACTAATTTACATTCCCACCAGCAGTGTATAGCATTTCCTTTTCACCATATCCATGCCAACATCTACTGTTTTTTGACTTTTTAATAATATTCATTCTTGCAGGGGTAAGGTGGTATCTCATTGTAGTTTTAATTTGCATTTCCCTGATGATTAGTTACATTGAGCATTTTTGCATATGTTCGTTGGCCATTTGTGTATCTTCTTTTGAGAAATGTCTATTCGTGTCATTTGCCCACTTTTTGATGGGATTTTTTTTCTCACTAATTTGTTTGAGCTCCTTGTAGATTCTGGATATTAGTCCTTTGTCAAATGCAGAGTTTGCAAATGTTTTCTCCCATTCTGTAAGTTGTCTGTTTACTTTGATGGTTATTTATTTTGTTGTACAGAAGCTTTTTAGCTTAATTAGGACTCATCTATTTATCTTTGTTTTTGTAACATTTGTGTTTGGGTTCTTTGTCATAAAGTCTTTGCATAGGCCAATGTCCAGAAGAGTTTTTCCTAGGTTGTCTTCAAGAATTGTTCTGATTTCAGGACTTAGATTTAAGTCTTTGACTCATCTTGAGTTGATTTTTGTATAAGGTGAGAGATAAGGATTGATCCAGTTTCATTCTTCTACCTGTGGCTATCCAGTTTTCCCATCATCAATTATTAATAAGGATGTTTTTCCCCAATTTATTTTTTGTAGGCTTTGCTGAAGATCAGTTAGTTGTAAATTTGGCTTTATTTCTGAGTTCTCTATTCTTTTCCACTAGTCTGTATGTCTGCTTTTATAGCAGTACCATCCTGATTTGGAACTATAGACTTGTAGTATAATTTGAAGCCAGGTAATGTGATTCCTCTAGATTTGTTCTTCATGCTTAGGATAGCTTGGGCTATTCATGTTCTTTTTTGGTTCCACATGAAGTTTAGGATTTTTTTTTCTAATTCTGTGAAAGATGACGGTATTTTGATAGGAATTGCATTGAATCTGTAGATTGCTCTGGGCAGTTTCAAATGGTCATTTTCAAATATTGAAATGGTCATTTTCACGATATTGAGCTTTCCAATCCATGACATGAGATGTGTTTCCATTTATTAAGGTCTGCAATGTGATGATTTGATATATGTGTGTATTGTAAAATAATTACCACCCCATTGGCTATTTGGACTCTTTTATGAATTTTATATGAACTCAATATGAATTTTAAAACAATTTTTCTAGTTCTGTGAAGAATATCAATGGTAGTTTTAATAGGAATAGCATTTAATCTCTAAATGGTTTTGGGCAGTATGTCCATTTTAATGATATTGATTCTTCCTATCCATAAGCATGGAATGTTTTTCCCTTTGTTTGTGTTCTTTTTGCACAAGATTGCTTTGGCTATTTGAGGTCTTTTGTGGTGTCATATGAAGTTTAGTTCTTTTTTCTATTTATGTGAAAAATACTGAAATTTTGTAAGGGCTTACATCAAATCTATAGGTTGCTTTAAATGGCATGGACATTTTAACAATATTAATTCTTTTAATCCACGAACATGAGCTATCTTTACATGTATCTGTGCCCTTTTCAGTTTCTTTCATTAGTGTCTTATATTTTCAGTGTATAGATCATTTACCACCTTGATTAAATTTGTCCCTAAGTATTTTATTGTTTTTGTAGCTACTATACATGGGATTGCTTTATTGATTTCTTTCTGAGGTATTTGTTGTTAGCATACAGAAACACAACTGATTTTTTAATGTTGATTTTGTATCCTTCATCTTTACTAAATTTTTTTATTCATCCTAACAGTTTTTTGATGGAATTTTTAGGCTTCTCTGTATATGAGATCATGTCATCTGCCAACAGAAACAACTTTACCTCTTCCTTTAAAATACGGAGGCCCTTTTCATCTTGTTTAATTTCTTTGGCTAAGCCTTTCCATACTGTGTTCAACTGAAGTGGTAATAATGGACACCCTTGTTTTGTTCCTGATCTTAGAGGAAAAGCTTTCAGCTTTTCACCATTGAGTATGATGTTAGCTGTAGGCTTGAAATATATGATCTTTATTCTTTCTTCTATACCTAATTTGTTGAGAATTTTTATCATGAAAGGATGTTGAATTTTGTCAAATGCTTTTTTGCATCTATTGAGATGATGATATGGTTTTTGTCTTTCATTCTGTTGATATGCTGTATTATATTTACAGATGTTCATGTGTTGAACATCCTTGCATCTGAGTAGATTCTACTTGATTATGACATATGATCCTTTTAATGTGCTGTTGAATTAGGCTTGCTAGTATTTTGATCAAAATATTTGCATCTATGTTCATCAGATATATTGGTCTATATATTTTTTTCTTGGATGGCCTTATCTTGTTTTGGTATCAAGGTAATGCTGGCCTCAAAAAATGAGTTTGGAAGTGTTACCTCCTATCCTATTTTTTTGGAAGAGTTTGAGAAGGATCGAAATTCATTCTTGTATAAATGCTTGTGTGATGGTCATTTTATGCCTAAGTTCTGCCAGTGTCTTTGTCTCTTGCCTTAGAAATATCTTCCATTAGTCAAATGCCTGGTCAATAAATATGCTTATAGGTGACTTTTGAGGTTCCAATCTTTCACTAAGACATGCTATTCTATTAGTCTAAATATAGCTACCTTGATCCAGCCAGTTTTCAGTCAACCTGTTTGTTCAGATTCAGGCTATTGTCAGCTAGCTCTGCATGTGGTGTTTTTGAAAAGTTTCAAAGAGCTGGTAGTAGATATTTGATAATTTTTCAGATCCCAAGAACATACGCCAGGGTATGGAGATGCAGAAAGTCCCCTTCCAGGTCCCTGAGCCTCCTGGTCACTCATCTATGGCAGGCAGCATGACATAGTGAGAACTGGGCAGGAGTTAGAGGCAGGAGAGGCTCAATCTCCATGGCTGATTGTGTATGTTTGCTCCCTTGCCTGGATTTTGGGCTTCATGAGAACAAGGGATAGCAGGATCTTAAACAAGTCAATCAAAATGTCTCAGCTGCAGTCTCCTCATCTCATGCGAACACCTGCTTCCTAAATCCGTGTTAGCACCAACATCTTCCTCCCACTTTTGCTTTCCCAACCCACCCCAATACCCTTGCAACCAAATCCCTGCACTAAGTCTCTCTCTGCTCAAAATATCCAGAGCAGGTTCTGCTCCCATAACCCAACACTGCTACAATGAGAAAATAAACCATCAGGAGTAAAAATCAAAATAAATAAGTTACAACAGAATCAAATTGGATTTTTCAAAACCAAGTTTCTATTTCTCAAGTGGGGTCTTTCCTCATGAAATCAAGAGAAAATAACAATAATTCAAGCAAACAAAACACACACACATACACACATACCCTAACATTTCAGGAAGAAAAAAGGCAAAAGTTAAAGATAGACACATTGAGACCGCTAAGTTCTTATTTTAAAGAAAGAAAATCTGGGCATTCACTGCTCTAAAGGGACTGAGAGGTGACATGGCTAAGGCATGGATTCAACCTTCTTTGTATCGTTTCTCTTCTGATTGAAATCCAGCTCACCCTCCCAGCCTTCATGAATCCCCCTCTTCAGAATCACTGAGTCCTTGCTCCTCTAACAGATATCTCCGACCGCACCTTCACTTCCTTAGCTCTGCCTTCCCTGCCAAGGGTGGGCAGGCTCAGAAGTTCAAGTATCCTTACCCAGCTCATAAGGGGGACTCGGTGATGATTCATGATGTGGACCCCCCATGCAAAGCTCTATTGAGCACTCACTGAGAGGCAACCCTCTGTTTTTCAATGCTCATCTCAAGGCTCTGGAGAATGTCTTCCTGACACAGTGTTTTTAGGCTCCACATTTGGCCTGGCATGATTTGACAACTACGTTTCCTGTTTGTGATGTTCTCACCTTGATATAGTTGATGATCTGTCATGTCACAGGCAACTCTGATGGTGCCACTGGGTGTGTTGCCACTTGAGTATTGGATGCACCTTAATCACTAAATGAGATAAAAATGAAAACAAGCAACAACAACAAAAGTCCCTTTTGCTTGCACTCAGCAAAGACATCCAACTCCCAGGATGATTGGGATGATTGGGATGGACAGGAACATGGGTGGCAACGTAATATGCTGGTGGCTTTAGGGGGCTCAGCCTCCTAGATAAGACATAACTGGGGCAAAAGAGAAATGCAACCACAGATTCCAAAAGTAGGTCTATAAAGAGAGGTCTTAATGGTGTGTTAGTAAACAGTGCTGAGGAGTTAGTTGAAGTATACACAGGATGACTCTGAAAAAATGCAAGTTTCCTCCTTGCGCTAAGCGGGTCTCCTGGGAAGATACCACCGAGCTGGAACCACTTCTGAGAAATGTCCAGGGCCACAGCTTTGGGGCTAAAGCAGACAGAAGTGGAGTGAGGGAGTGCAAGCCCCAGCAGAGCTCAGTGAATGAGTTTATTGATTGAGTAACTGAACAATTCATTTGTCACTGCATCAGTCCCTCAGTCAGTAAAGATTCTTCCTTCAACAATTCTGAGGGGCAAAGATGAGGCAGAGAATGAGAAGAATATTCTCCATTATTCAGAGATTGTGATTCCTATTGGGTGGGCATACATGGCAATTGTAAACTCACACATCCTGATGGCAGAGGCTTGGACAACCTGTCTGCAAGAATCTCTCTCTTTTATTTTACAAAAAGGAAAATAGAGGTTTCCATCTACAGAGAAACTGGACCTGTGGCCAAGGAAATGAAGATAAAATGTCCAGAGGAAAACCGGGCTAACAGTGGGTAATGAGAGACTTGTCAGGGAGGTGTGGAGAAAGCAGAAAAGCAAATACATTGTGTTTTCAGATGAAACTGGCTGGGCAGGACCCTGTTTTAGGCAGACTTCCAGCCTGCATAGGCAAGCGTTGTCATCAGAAGGACATCTGTGTATACTGCAGACCTACTGGGTGCACTTAACATTTCCAGGCACTGCTCCAAAGCTCAGCAAGTTAGATCATCTTTAATACATGCTCTAGAACATTTTTTAGGAGATTTTATTAATGGGTGGTTTGTTTTTGAGGAATTTTATCTTTTTGCTTTCTCCTTAAAAGAAAATTATCTTCTTAAAAGAAAAATACTTTGATCTGCTTGTACTCTTTCTTCATCATAAATTATTTTGATTATCGAAATGGACCTGGCTGACAAGGCTTCTCCAGCCCAGCACTGCCTGTCTCTTTGGCATCAACTCACCCTGGCATGTGACAGCCCAGTGGACTTCCTCCGTTTCCTCAACATCTCCTGCTTTCTCTTACCTGCACACCTTGCCAGGAACTTTCTCCTTGGCATGATCATTCCCTGTCTCTGCTTTTCCCTCTGTCTCCCCCACCTTCCTTTCCTCCAGATCCCTCAGAATGTTTTATAAACCTAGAAGGGCTTCCCTAGCTCTGAAACCTTGCCCTGCACACTTCCCTCACAGCACCCCGGATATCCCCAAGGCCACATCTACTGCATGCCTCTTTTCTCTTTTTCTCAGGTAGATTTGCACCTTTGTATAATAGAAATGACTCCTTAATGTCCATTTATTCAATGACAGATTATAAAACTTCCTAGTCTGGTAATTTGATGTACCTCTTGGTCACCACCATCTTCTCTTGTTGTGCTTGGTACAAACTGGGCACTCAGTAATAATTTATTTCATGAATGAATGAACAAACCTTATTGGTTTCCCTCAGCATGCACGAGGTCTTATAATGAGAGGTGGGATAATAAACGAACCAACACTGATTGGTTATTTCCTTAATGTTGTTTTTGTACTAATTTTGCTACATAAGTGATAATTATGTGGTAATTTCATTACTTCCTTCATTTGGTTATATAATAGGACAAAATGCTCCTTGAGCATGTTACAAATAAGGCTAAAGACATAATGGATTATTACCGGAATCCAAGACCTAAAGAAACCATTGCTAACTTGTTGGTATGTATTATCTGCATTTCTTACTGTGCGTCAGTGACTAATAGGTAACGTGTAGATTTTGGTTTTTGTACTTTAACACAGTCTGTCCGTATGTACTACTGGGAACAGTGGTGTCTTGCAGCCAGCTTGTGTTACTCACAAGAGCTGACTGTGGACATCCCATCTCCTTTAGTGACTTCATTTCAGTAGCTTTAAATTGGCCATGGTGGGGCTGTGTGTGCCAGGAAATCAGCAAACACTGCAAATCAGGTCTGTTTGGGGGAAGCCAGTTGTTAAACATGTCCTAGCCTGCCACTGTTTGGGGACTTTTCCAAGTGATGATGATTCTGTAACCATTTCTGTCCATGCCTCTTTGTGAAAACATGTGAAAGGTTTCTCTAAGGGAGATACCAAGCAGCCACATGGCTGAAGTAGTCATAGGGTATGCAGATTTGAAAAAAAAAAAAAAAAAAAAAGACTTCCAAAATGTACTTCAAAGTGTCAGTTTCAACTTCCACTAGCAGTTTATGGAAATATTTATTTATTGAAACCAATCAAGAAGGGTAAAATATAGCACTGTTTTAGTTTACATTTCCCTAATTACTAAGGAGGTTGACCATCTTCTCATGTTTATTGGCTATTTTTGTCTTCCCTTTCATGAATCTCCCATCTACAACTTTTGCTTCTTTTTCTTTGAATAATTTACTCCTTCATTATATAATTTTATTTCCTGTCTTCTGCCAACCACATCTTTGATGACAATTTTTGGGTATATCATGTAGAAAATGTCTTCCCGTAGTCTGTAGCTTGTCTTTTAAGTTTGTTTTAGGCAGTTTTTGTCATACAGACATTTTACACTTTGAAGTTTAGTGTATTGAAGCTTTTGCCTGTAAGCTTGTTTAAAATGGTCTTTCCTACTCATGTAAATATTCTTCCCAACTGCTCGATGCTGTAGCTAACATTCTCTTTTGCAGGTGGAAGAACTGAGGTTCAGGGAAGTAAACTGGTGGGCCTGGGATTTGTGTTCAGGCCTCATTGGCTCCAATATCATGGTGTGCTTGAGCCATAGCCCCAGGCTACTGTCAGCATGGAACCTCGGGGGTCCCTCATGAGTGACTCTCCTCCCGAGGCTCCCTGCTGACTGAGTGTGCCTTGGATGTCCATTTTGTAATTGGACATGTTTCAAACACACAGAAATCTCCTGCTGGAGTCTTGGGCCTTAAAATGGCACCAGGACAACTCTTTTCCCCACGTGTCTCACCTCTAGTCCATGAGCAATGCTTCCTTTGCCTCAACAAATTCTAAATATCTGAGCATATCCTGATGCATTAGCCTTCCTCTTGTTGCCTGGGATTGCCTTAGCTTTCTGAGGAGTGAAATATCCCTGTGCCTCTGGTCCCCAAACATGGGAATCTATACCAAGCTTTCTGAGTAGGCCGTCTATACGTGGATAAAAGGAGGCGATACTTCTTTGATCTCCTCCATTGGAGATGGTGTAAACAGAGACTGCATAGCAAAAGCTCTCTCCAAACATCTGCATATGTCTTCTTTCCAAAATGCTTTAATCTCCTTCTACCTGACACCATGTTCCTCCACTAACCTGACCCAGGGGTCCAAGAGCCATGGTTTTCACCCACTCCTTTGTGAGCTCTGCTTCTGAATCTGCTCCCTCACATTGGTTTGCAGAGTCTGTTCTCGTATCTATCCAGCCACAGTTTATATAAATGCCTATTTTTATTGTTATATAACAGGTCCTTCCCTATCTACAACTTAAGTGTTCTATATTTTCTTCTATTTTTATTTATTTTTTAACATTCATGGCACTAGAATGGAATGGTTACTTGAGTGTTTTGTGGGTTTTATGTTTTTGTTTTTGTTTCTGTTTTTGTTTTTCTATAGTGTAAGTTCTATGAAGACAGGAACTCCGTTCTCTTCACTGCCATAACTCTAGTGCCTGGTGTATCTCAGTTACTCAATACTTAAGTTTTGAGCCAATGGACAGATAGGCGGATTCAAAGATAAGCAGATGAATGAAGAATCTCACATCACTTCCACACTCCATTTTAGGAACCTTTTGCTTTCACCTAAATCCTGTTCGAAAGCTTCACCTGAGCAAACATTCTGCAGTATTGATGGCTTTGGTTTAGAGCAATTCAGGTCAATATTGTTAAAGTTTAAGACACAATAAAAGTCATGACTCTGGGAAATTAATGCTCTTGTTTAACTCCCTTGAAGTAAGTGTACTTTGCTCAGCTCTCTGAAATATGTGCCAATGGCTGACCCGTATTTTCATGGATTGGTAGTAATGGCACTAATAAATTTCTCTTGACTATACAACTGAATGCACTGGGCACTGTGCTAGATTTTTTGTTGATATTATTGTATACGTCCTCATAACAATCTGTAGAGAAAGGTATCTCTGTCGCTACAGAAGGAACCTGGATCTCAGAGAGTTTAAAAATCAGTAGAGCCAAGGCCAGGCGTAGTGGCTCATGCCTGTAATCCCAGCACTTTGGGAGGCCGAGGTGGGCGTATAACCTGAGGTCAAGAGTTCAAGACCAGCCTGGCCAACATGGTGAAACCCTGTCTCTACTGAAAATACAAAAATTAGCCGGGCATGTTGATGGGTGCCTGTAATTCCAGCTACCCAGGAGGCTAAGGCAGGAGAATCACTTGAACCCAGAAGGCAGAGGTTGCGGTGAGTCGAGATTGCACCACTGCACTCCAGTCTGGGTGACAGAGTGAGACTCTGTCTCAAAAAAAAAAAAAAAAAAAAAAAAAAAAAATTAGTAGAGCCAATATATGTTTTCCAGTTTGATTTTTAATTTCATTTCATCAAGTGAATACTTTGACTTCTCTATATTTTTATTATTTTTTGTAATGGTCCGATGAGAAGGAAATGCTTTGAAAATGGTCAATGAGTTAATGCCTTTATAATTTCATTCAAAATTAATACTATTTTTTTAAAGTTCCACATTCAGCCAATATCTGTTGAGCAACTGGGTGCTAAACAGTGTATTAGATCTGTTTGAGCCAAACAAACCTCCCTTTACAGAGGCCTTAGTTTAATACAAAAGGCAGTTACTATGTAAATAATAACACAAAGGTATTTCTACACCACTAGCTTGTATCCAGTTGCACAGACACACCACTAAGAGGTATGTCTGACCACGTTAAGGAGATTAGGGAAGACTTTCCAGGGAGGAAGAGATGCCTGAACTGAGAGGTGAGGGGCGAGTTGAAGCCTCTGGGTCCACAAGGAAGGGAAATGCCATTCCAAGCAGAGGGAACAGCATGGGCAAAGGTAGCTTGTGACAGGGAGGGGCTGGCAGGCCAGGGAGGCTGGAGAACAGTGAGCTGGAAGGAGTTGGATCCTGGAGTGATATGGAGATGGAGGGGTGGGAGAAAGCAAAACTGGCTTTGAGAAATACATTAGGATTTTTTTTTCTTTATCCTAAGTGGAGTGGAAAGATGCTGAAGGGCTTCGGGCCGGGAGCAACTTGATCCATTTTGCATATTGAAAAGATTCTTCTCAGACAAAACTGTGGAGAAAGTCTGCACAGGAGTCGGGCTGAGCAGAAGGAAGGCCACTGGGCAGAGTGGTCCAGGAGTGAGGCAAGGAGAGCACGGACAAGGTTGTGGTGGGTGATTGAGAGGGAGAGAATTGGAATTACTTGTTGAGGGATTACACATGGAAAGTGAGAGAAAAGGATTTATTGAAGGTGACCCTCAGATTTTTGCCGTATGCAAGAGGTTAGATTATAGGGTCATTCACTAAAATATTTTTTAATTCTCTTTTTCTAGTAGTGATAAAAAGTTTTTTTTAACAGATTTTATTTTTTAGAGCAGTTTATATTGACTGAAAAATTGAGGGGAAGGTCCAGAGATTTCCCGTATACCACCCACACCCTATACACACATATGCATGCTCAGTTTTGTCCAGCTCACTGTTCTCCAGCTCCCTGGCCTGCCAGCCCCTCCCTGTCACAAGCTACCTTCGCCCATGCTGTTCCCTCTGCTTGGAATGGCATTTCCCTTCCCTGTGGACCCAGAAGCTTCAACTCACTCCTCACCTCTCAGTTCAGGCATCTCTTCCTCCCTGGAAAGTCTTCCCTAATCTCCTTAACATGGTCAGACATACCTCTTAGTGGTGTGTCTGTGCAACTGATTACAAGCTAGTGGTGCAGAAATACCTTTGTGTGATTATTTACATAGTAACTGCCTTTCGTATTCGACTAAGGCCTCCCCCATTATCAACATCTCCCATTAGAGCGGAACATTTGTTACATTGGTGCATCATTATCACCCAAAGTCCCAAGTTTATATTAGGGTTCATTCTTGGTGTTGTACATTCTGTGGGTTTGCACAAATATGTAATGACACATATCCACCATTAGAGGATCATGCAGAATAGTTTCACTGCCCTAAAAATCCTCTGAGCTTTGCCTATTAATCCCTCCACCTCCCTTAACCCTGAAAAACCACTATTTTTTTTTTTTACTGTATCCATAGTTTTGTCTTTTTCAGAATGTCATATAGTTAGAATCATGAGTACTTAGCCCTTTAGATTGACTTATTTCAATTAGTAATAAGTATTTACATTTTTTCCATCTTTTTATGGCCCAACGGCTCATTTCGTTTTGGTTCTGAATAATATTCCATTGTATGGACGTACCACAGTTTATTTATCCAGTCACCTCCTGAAGGACGTCTTGGTTGCTTCCAGGTTTTGGCAATTATGAATAAAACTGCTATGAACTTTGGGAGGCTGAGGTGGGCGGGTCACGAGGTCAAGAGAGTGAGACCATCCTGGCCAATGTGGTGAAACCCCGTCTCTACTAAAAATACAAAAATTAGCTGGGCATGGTGGCACGTGCCTGTAATCCCAGCTACTCAGGAGACTGAGGCGGGAAAATCACTTGAACCCAGGAGGCGGAGGTTGCAGTAAGCCGAGATCACACCACTGCACTGTAGCCTGGTGACAGAGTGAGACTCTGTCTCAAAAACAAACAAACAAAAAACAAACTGCTATGAACTTTTATGTGTGGGTTTCTACATAGACTTGTGTCTTCATCTCCTTTGGGTAAATGCCAAGGAGTGCAACTGCTGGATCACATGGTAAGATGTTGCATAGTTTTGTAAGAAACCACCAAACGATCTCCCAAAGTGTCTGTGCCCTTTTCCGTTCCCACATGTCGTGAATGAGAGTTATTGTTGTTACCCCACACCTTTGCTAGCATTTGGTATTATCAGAGTTTCGAATTTTAGCCACTCTAATAGGTGTGTAACAGTATCTCGCTGTTTTAAGTTTGCATTTCCCTGATGACATATGATGTGGAATAACCTTTCATATGCTTATTTGCCATTCCTGTATCTTCTTGGCGAGGTGTCTGTTAAGATATTTGGCTCATTTTTTAATTGGGTTGTTTGTTTTCTCATTGTTAAGTTTTAAGATCTTTAAAATATACTGTAGATAACATTCCATTATCAAATATGCCTTTTGTAAACATTTTCTTCTAGCCTGTGGCTTGTCTTTCCATGTTCTTGGCAATGATTTTTTTCTGAGCAGAAAATTTTAATTTTAATGAAATCTAGCTTATCAGTTCTTCTCTTTTTCAGGAACTGTGCCTTAGGTGTCATAACTAAAAACTCATTACCAGACCCAAGGAAATCTAAATATTTCTCTGTATTATCTTCTGGGATGGTAGATTACTTTTGAACATGTTAAATGTATGGTATCTTTGAAAATCTAAGCATAAAATTTGAAGTAGCCAATTTAACTTATAGATCTTGAGCTTAGAGGAAAAATCTGTTTTAGAGACATAATTTTCATTAAGCGGCTATGTCCTAGATGTCATTTTATGTGTAGGACTTGGAAAATGCACAAAATAGGCAGATTTTCTGCTCTCATGTTGCTTACATTACGGTTGGAAAAGAAGATAATCAGCTGGGCACAATGGTGCATGCCTGTAGTTCCAGCTACTCAGGAGGCTGAGGCAGGAGGATCCTTTGAGCCCAGGAGGTTGAGCCTGCAGTGAGCCATTAATGTGCCACTGCACTCCAGCCTGAGCAACAGAGTGAGACCCTGTCTCTAAAATAATTTAAAAATTTTTTAAAAAGGAAGATAATCAGTATAACACAAACAGTAATATGTGCCATGAGATAAAATAAACCACCCTAATGGGGATAGAAAGTGACATTGGAGTGGGGAAAGGCATGCCAATTTACAGGGAGGTGACCCTTATAAGGAGAGAGAGAAAAGCTATCAGAGGGTCAAGAGGAAAAATAGTGAAGCTTCATTTCACGGCGGCCAAGGGAGGGTATTTCAAGGGGGAGGAGTGGAACAACATTGGAGAATACTGCAAAGAATCCAAGTATAATGTGGACTAAAAATTTCCTCGAGCTTTTAGAAACATGTAGGACACTATTTACCTCAATAGGATTTTTTTTTTTTAAACTGATGCTAAGGGGACGGAAATCAGATCTGGGATAATGAAGAGTGAGTAGAGCAATGGAGAAATGAAAACAGCCAGTAGAGACATCCTTTAGGTAAGTTGGTTGCCACCCAACCAAGGTATCTAGGAAGAGCTGCGAGATTTGACTTCTGTGTATATTTTATTTCTAATGAGAGAATGGTGAATATATTTCAACATTATTGGGACGAATCTGGTTTAGGAGGAAATGTTGGATATGTAAAATAAAATAGGAAAAATAGTTGAAACACTCTAGTTGCAAGCAGACATGGAGGATCTCCAGGGACTATAGTAGTTTAATCAACTTGAGCAATCTGCCTATTTTACAGCCTTCAGCCTGTTTTTTTTCCACCTAAAATCCTGTGTGGAATGTAATCACCTAATTGGGTGGAAGCAGCTCCCGACAGCCCTGGCAACTTGTAGATGAACTTGAGTGAACTTTCTTGGTTACCATGCTAAAGCCTCCACCCCCGGAGGAGCTGTAGCCTCATTATCATAACATGCAACCTCTGTGCTTCTGTGCTGGCATGATGACTCACTGTGTCTGCACCTCTGAGCCCCCTCCTCTGCATGCGATGATGCACCCTCTCCCCTTTCCACCACCCCAAAAAACCCTCCTGTCACTTTCCCTTGGGGAGACACTGCTTGGAAAATACTCCTAGTGCTCTCCTCCCTTGTGACAAGTGATGTAACTCCTATCGATCCAAACCTGTGCTCTTGTGGAGATTTGTCTGTTACTTGCCAGGCAAATGAACCCCATTCTTTTTTGGGTAACACAGTCATTAAAAAGTTTGCTTTTTCCAAGCACTGTGCCAAGTTCTGTGGCTGCTGGGATGAACCACAGCACTACTGAACTCTAAGGAACTCATACAGACATGCAAATAAACAGCCGCATAATAGCAAGAGATGATGAGGAAGGTGGAGGAATGAATGCTTGGTCACGGGGATAAGTGCTCCTTGTGCTCAGCCCCCAGCAGCATATAAAGGGCCAGCCGATTGTGGCCCTGGAGCCTAAACAGCAAACTTGGTGGTTGCCTCTGCACCATAATGTTGACTGGAAGGTAAATGAGCCCAGGAGAACAGGCCATCTGGTAGTTGAATCTAAAGCTGCAAAAAGTGCTTCTGAGGATGCAGGCCTAGGTGTTCACTGATACTAGAGCCAACGGGCTAAGCCTTGGCTGACACTCAATCAGGTGACACTACAACTTTCAGATAGTGGATGTAGAATTTTCTCAGACACAAGGAGTCAAGAGAGCCCCTTGGAAATAGTTTTTTGGTACCCTAGTAAGCATCAGGGCAGTTGGGGGTAGCAGAGAGGGCCGTGGGTGCAGCGGGTAGATTCGGGATTCCACTGCTGGTCCTTGGTTGGATTCTCCATCTCTCTGAGGCCCCAGTTCCTATTTGTGAAATGCGTTTATAAAACTACATGACTTTCTTTTAGCTCCCAGTCCCCATATTGGTTGCATGAGTTTTCAGATATAGGAGTGAGTACTCAGCCTTCTTTTGGGGATAAGCAAGTTCCCCAGACTAACACTCAAGTGCTCATTTGGCAACTTTTTGAGCATCTATTTTATTTAAAGTACTGATCTAGGTCACAGGGAAGAGACTCAAGTGATTGCTTAATGTCTATGCCCTTAAGTAGCTTACAGAACAATAGAGGGTGAGAGGGAGTAGGTGGGTGGCAATAAGGTGACTCTAAGATGGGTAAAATAGGAGGTGGACTCTGTGAGACACAGGAAAGGTGTAAAGCTAGATGAATAAACAGGCGGAAGATATGTGTTTTTAATAATAACGATGGGCATCTTTGTCTTATCTAATCTTTCATGATTACTTTATATGTGAAGATAATTATTCTCAGAAAGGATAAATGATTTGCAAGTGCATGGAAAGCCTGAACTTAAATAAAGATCAGTCTGAGTCAGAGCCTGTGCAGCTTATAAGTGCTAAATTCTGCCTTCCAGTTGGGAAGATCTTCATAGAAGAGGTAGCATTTAAGAGGTCACTGAGAAACAGGCAGACTTTTGAGGTGAGGATGATGCTATCAATTCAATAAAAAAGACTAATTATGTGCCTCTTATGTCAAGCACCTTACTAGAATCCTAGAGCTCACTGGTGAGTTGTGTACTTTTCCGTCTTGGAGAAGCCCACAGTCTGGTTACAGAAAGACACACAGAACTGCTGCTCGGAGGAACAAGTATTCTACAAGAGCTGGTGCAAAATGCTGTGGAAACAGACGAGGGAGCAATTACTCTGCCTGTGGCACTGAGGGAAGAACTTCTGAGGAAAGGAAAAATACACAGTCTTTATGGATGAGAAGAAGAAAGTGGAAAAAAGAATGTCAGAGGAACAGAACATTCAAAAAAGATTTACGGATTGGTCATTTGGGCAAGCAGTGTGATAGGACTTCTGAGAATTATCAATAATTAACCAGGTCTAATCAGCAAGAAGCTTAGATTTGGCATGGTGGAAATCACTATGAGCCAGGACCAACCCTCCTTCTCCCCAAAAGTCAAGGAAGTAATTAAAACACTGAACAATATTGCTCGTGTATAGTGAGTCACAGGCATTGATTTGTATCATCTCATTTGATACTCACAACAACCCTGTGATTAGATATTATAGCTCCATTTTACAGAAAATGAAGTTTTTTAAGAAAAAATCATGTTCTCCAGACTGGCCAACGTGGCGAAACCCCCTCTCTACTAAAAATACAAAAATTTAGCTGGGTGTGGTGGTGGGCACCTATAGTCCCAGCTACTTGGGAGGCTGAGGTAGGAAAATCGCTTGAACTGGGAGGTGGAAGTTGCAGTGAGCCAAGATGGTGCCACTGCACTCCAGCCTGGGCGACAGAGCAAGACTCTGCCTCAAAAAAAAAAAAAAAAAAAAAAAAAAAATCATGTTCTTATAATAGGAAAAATTATGAACCTTTCAGTTCTCCCCCAGTACCACAGTGGTCTAAAGCAGCACTGTCACATCCCTCAAGTCATCCTGCCCCATCTGTTTAATTGAGCAAACACATATTGCTTTTGAGGATGTAGGCATAGGTGTTCATTGACACGAGAGCTAACTGGCTAAGCCTTGGCTGACACCCATGCAGATGACACTGTGACTTTCAGGTAGTGGATGTAGAATTTTCTCAGACACAAGGGGTCAAAAGAGCCTTCTGAAAGTTGCAGTATCACCTGGCTGGGTGTCAGGCCAAGGCTTAGCCAGTTAGCTCTCGTGTCAATGAACACCTAGATCTACATCCTCGGCAGCAATTTTTGCAGCTTAGATTCAACTACCAGATGACCTGTTCTCCTATGCTCATTTATTGTCACATCAACGTCTTGGTGCAGAGGCAAGCATGAAAGTTTGTTTAGGCACCAGGGGCACCATCAGCCAGCCCTCTATACGTTGCTGGGGGCTGAGCACAAGGGGCATATACCTGCTGTGGGGTCAAAGGGCAAGATTCAACAGGTGACACTAATGAGGAAATCATAACATTTATTCAAGAGAGGAGAATAATATTGGGGATTCTTCAAAAGCAAGGAGCATCTTGTGTCTACTTATCCTGCAAGGTCCCTGGAATTCTCAGTATTTCTGATGAATGGAGTGTGTGTATTGGAGGGATGCATGGAAGAGATGGACAGCATCTTCTGCCTGCCGAGTGTTGTTGAGCAGTAAATGCATATGATCCAGAGGTGAGAATATTCACACTACTCTGGGACAGGCAGAGAAAGCTTGCTGAAAGCGTGACAGTTTGAAATGTGTGGGATCTTGCATCATTTCTCAAGGCCCTACTCCCTGAAGTGTCAGCACCAATAAGTGTGTGGTTACCATACACTGGCTATGCCTGAGACTGGTCCAATTGTTGACTCGAGCTAAGGGGCTTACATGCAGAAGTTCAGATAAAGAAACATTCCAGAACTTGGTTGAAATGTGCGGTTAAAACCCTTCTGTTCTGCATTTGCTGTGTAGAGTTGAAAGTTAATTACTTGACCCAGCCAGGGCCAAGTCTGAGTCAAGGTGACCCATCAGAAACCAGGTCACCCATTGGCCTGGGACTCTGAGGTATGCAGGCAACTGGAAGAGTGCATGGGTATCAAGGACTAAGGAGGTTTGAGCTGGAGAGAGGGAACCTCTCCCTGAAGGAATTCCCGTGTCCATGCACAGACAGACTGTGTATCTGCAGTATTTGGCACAATGTATTAGCAGCAGAGAGAGGAGCTGAATAAGGGAAGGAAAAATGTCAGCTGCAAGAGCCTCTGCTGTCCTGGAGGACAGGAGCTCAGGTCACTCTGAGCTGCCACTGGAGTCTAGAAGGAGAATAAATGAGGTGAAAAGCTGTGAAGCTAAGAAGACAAAACTCGAGCTGCAGACACAGGTCTTGGCAGGACTGACCTGTGCATGGCATGGGGATACCTTGCTCATTTTAACCAGGGGCAATATTCAGCCAGTGCATCTGATAGGAGCAGTTGTTATAACAAGCACTGCTCTGAGCTTTCCAAGTCCTCCCTCCCAGACTACAGTGGCCAGTTACCTTGGCCCCCATTCCAGACCCTCACCTTCTCTATCATTCATAGCTAGAGGATTTACACCAGGGCAGCCGGTGACCTGCAGGCCCTGCTCACCGCCCTGCCTGGCAGGCATTCGGACTAGGTACTCTCTGTGCTCCCCAATTTTGAATATCCTGCCCTGCTCCAGACTGCAAGTGCAACCCTGGTGTGTGGGTGTGTGCCCTAATGGACAGAAGGGAGGGGACCAAGAGAGGAAAGGGGAGACAGTACAGATGAGAATGTGCTGTGGTGGAGACAGCTCATTCAGCGCTTGGGTTGGAGGGTGCCTCAGAACTTGGAGGGAGTTGGAGGGACTGAGGCTATGATCTGTTTCTGGACTGGCTGGGCTTATCTTAGCCTCTGGAGTGGGCAGGCCCTGCTGGAGGGATCTGCCATCTCTGTGGAAAACAAAGGCAGAGCAACCACCTGTTCTCCCCTAATCAGCAGTGACTCTGGGGCTCCCTGCTATTTTTTGTAGTCGCAACTCCGCCCTATATTCTGTGACCTCCAACTAAGGCCAAGGCCACGGTGGACTAGCAAACAGCTCTGTGCTCCTTGGCACATCCTGGAGACCGTGACTGGGTGGGGACACTGCAGCTCTGACAAATATTTGATTAGCTGCAATTGCGACTATACTTAGTTCTCCTAGGGAAGCATATGGGGAGGCAGATGGTTCAGGAAAGCCTGAATCACATCAACAAGGCTCTTTGCCTCCAATTTGCTGAGTCTCCTGATGACTTATTAGCAGGACGGGTTTCAGGATTTGAAGGTGGGGCCTTGGCTGTACCCTTCTCAGAAAGCCCCATGTTGTGCATTCTGGGCATCCTTTGTGCTGGCCTTTTGCAAGGGAACCTGGATCGATGTGGACTCTGGGTCATCATGAGGACATAGCGGGAAATAGAGACAGCCTCAGTGAGCTAACTGCTCTGTCCAAGATTCAGCTCACCTCCACAAATGTTACTACACCCACTGCCAAGTTCTCTGTGATCAGGCCACTTGGAGCTTTGGTCAGTCATGCATTCTATAAATATTTGCCGGGCCGGGATACAGCACAAAGCGTCAGCTCTGTGTTCAGTCCTCACTATGGCTGCAGCTCCCACACTCATCATTTAGGGCCAATTAACCATAGTAAAGACTTTAGATTTCATTCTAAGCGCCAGGAGGGGATAATGGCGTCTGGTTTATATTTATTCATTTTATTTACTTTTTTTTTTAGAGACAAACTCTCGTTCTGTCACCTAGGCCAGAGTGTGGTGGCAAGATCATGGCTCACTGCAGCCTCGAATTCCTGGGCTCAAGAGATCTTCCAACCTCAGCTTTCTGAGTAGTTAGGATTATAGGCACACACCACGGTGCCCAGCTAATTTTATATATTCACAAAAAAAATTATAGCGATAGGGTCTCACTGTGTTACCCAGGCTGGTCTTGAACTCCTGGCCTCAAGTGATCCTCCCACCTTGGCCTCCTGAAGTTCTGGGATTGTAAGAATGAGTCATCGTGCCTGGCCAACATCTAGTTTATATTTTATATTAGTAGACAAATAGGTGGTAAGAGCAGAAGCAAAAAGTAAGGTTTTCAGTATGCAATATTGAGAGAACATTTTTTGAAAGAGATAGGAAGGATTCGATTTGTCAGAACCATGTTTTGGGTGTGAATCCACAGGATGTGCTGTTGCGGGAAGTCAGGGACCCCAAACAGAGGGACCGGCTGAAGCCATGGCAGAAGAATGTGGATTGTGTAGATTTCATGGACATTTATTAGTTCTCCAAATTAATACTTTTATAATTTCTTATGCCTGTCTTTACTGCATTCTCTAAACACAAATTGTAAAGATTTCATGGACACTTATCACTTCCCCAATCAATACCCTTGTGATTTCCTATGCCTGTCTTTACTTTAATCTCTCAATCCTGTCAGCTGAGGAGGATGTATATCGCCTCAGGACCCTGTAATAATTGCATTAACTGCACAAATTGTACATCGTGTGTTTGAGCAATATGAAATGTGGGCACCTTAAAAAAAAAAAGAACAGGATAATAGCAATTGTTCAGGGAATAAGAGAGATAACCTTAAACTCTGACCGCCGGTGAGCCGGGTGGAACAGATCCACATTTCTCTTCTTTCAAAAGCAAATGGGAGAAATATTGCTGAATTCTTTTTCTCAGCATGGAACATCCCTGAGAAAGAGAATGTGCAGCTGGGGGTAGGTCTCTGAACTGGCTCCCCTGGGCGTGGTCGTCTCTTATGGTTGAGACTGCAGAGGTGAAATAGACTCCAGTCTCCCATAGCGCTCCCAGGCTTATTAGGAAGAGGAAATTCCCGCCTAATAAATTTTGGTGAGACCGGTTGGTCTCAAAACCCTGTCTCCTGATAAGATGTCATCAATGACAATGGTGCCTGAAACTTCATTAGCAATTTTAATTTTGCCTCCGTCCTGTGGTCCTGTGATCTCGCCCTGCCTCCACTTGCCTTGTGATATTCTATTACCTTGTAAAGTACTTGATGTCTGTGACCCACACCTATTCACACATTCCCTCCCCTTTTGAAACTCCCTAATAAAAACTTGCTGGTTTTTGCCACTTGTGGGGCATCACGGAACCTACTGACATGTGATGTCTCCCCCAGATGCCCAGCTTTAAAATTTCTCTCTTTTGTACTCTGTCCCTTTATTTCTCAAGCTGGCCGATGCTTAAGGAAAATAGAAAAGAACCTACGTGAATATCGGGGCAGGTTCCCCGATAATGTGCCGATGATTGGATAGAGGAAGTGAGTGGAAAAGAGGAATTTAATGACAAGGAAGTATTTCACTAGTATGGGTAAGACAGGAGGAGGAACATATTTGGGAAATATAATCAAAGGTTCTGTACTGGAAACAGAGGGTTCTGATCTTTATTTGACATCAAAGAAATCACATCAAGCGGTGAAGGATCAGGCCCACTCAGGAGAGAGATAGGGCTGGCATTATACATTTGAGAGTGCTCAGCTTGTAGGTGGCGTAGAGAGCCTTGAAAGCCTTGGAAATGATGCTAGGGAAGGAGCACAGCTAGTAACGGAGAAAATAATTGGGACCATGACCTAGGGTTCTACAACACAGAGAGGTGGGAAGTGCAGGAGGAGCCTAGGAATCCAGAAGGGGCAGGAGTGAGTGAGAGAGAAACTGAAGAGCTGCAAGAGCTGGAAGAACAGGCGAGGTGGGCATGAGGCATCATCTGGCTCCCCAGTGTAGTCGGATTGTTGTTGTCATTTTTGCCTGTAAAAGAACTAAGGCCAGTGGAGTTGAAATCTCACCCAGCATCTCCCAGCTAGTAAGCAGGGAGATGCTCCATGCTCCATTCAGGCAGTGCCCACTGCCCTGGGCCAAGCCTGCTTTCTTCATAGTGTCAAAGGGTAATTAAAGATTCCCTTTGGCTGGAGGCGGTGGCTCACACCTGTAATCCCAACACTCTGGGAAGCCAAGGTGGGCGGATCACGAGGTCAGGAGTCTGAGATCAGCCTGACTAACATGGTGAAACACCGTCTCTACTAAAAATACAAAAATTAGCCGGGCATGGTGGCATGCACCTGTAATCCCAGCTACTCAGGAGGCTGAGGCAGGAGAATCACTTGAACCCTGGAGGTGGAGGTTGCAGTGAGCCAAGATCACGCCACTGCACTCCAGCCTGGGCTACAGAGTGAGACTCCATCTCAAAAACAAAACAAAACAAAAAAAGATTATTTTCCACTCCTCACTTCCACTGAGACTTCTACTAATATCTGGTAAAATTCTATGCTGGATAATTTGTAATAGCCATGTCAGCTCCACACTCCTATTAATCCAGCAGCATGTTTATTCACTCCATTTGTCTGAGCCCCTATTATATGTTACATCTTGTACCAGGTACTTTCATAGGTCATCTCGTAAAACCCTCAAAACCCTGAAACAGTATTGCTCTTCCATCCCCAGTTCACAGATGAGGAAACTGAGGCTTACACTGGGTAAGTTCTTTGTTCACAGGTATACAGTGTATAAATGGCAGAGCTGAGAGTAAACCCATGTCTTTTAACTCAAATCTATGTGCCTACACAAGCATGAGGTACAACGCCATACACTGGACTCTGTTATTGAAATCCAAACTGAAATACCTGAGACCACTCAGCAGTTATGACCAATCGAAGGAAATCCAGTGGGTTTCTGTGTTGAGCAACTAAAGTGTACTAGAGGCAACACACTGGCCTTTTACTTTTGAGATTATAGAGCAATACATGTTATTAGATAATAAAGTGTTATCAAGTGCTGGCCTTACTGGGCTTATTCTAATAGTAGGTCACAATGGTTTATAATTAAGTAATTAAGCCCACTCAGTGTTGATGAGAGAATGCTTCCTGTTAAATAGCAGCAACAGCCTTTCTCATTTTCAGTAGGTTAAATGGTGCTTTTTAGTGGGCTCTTTAGTTTAGTTGCCCTCTTACAAATAGGACTTTCTGCCAGAGCATGGTATCTGCTTTGTAAGTTGAGTTTTCTTGTAGAGTAGGCTAGGAGTCAGAAATTCTGGATATTAGAACTATCACAAACTAGAACTATAACAAACATTGGGTAACTTCCAAAAGTCATATCCCTCCATTTTTGTATTTATTAATAAATTGATTGGTGGATTGATTCGCTAAATATTTGAGTGTTACTGATATGCAAAGCCTTTTGTTCTGTCATTCTCAGATTTTTTTTATTAAACAGAAATTGATGGATAGTGCATTTGAAGTGAGGAGAGAAAAAGTTGGGAAATACTGTACTAAATGTTGAATAAGATTCCTCATCATTGTTTTATCTTTACCAGTGACAGAATTATGTCTAACATATTGCCTGTGTGGTTGTTGAGTTAAATAATGAATGAATGAATAAACAAATTAAGGAGTAAAATTAAAAAAAAAAAACATTTGGAGTCATCATTGTACCATCAACTATATTTGACATTGAGGATGTAACAATTTCTATGATCATTAGTTTCCTCATGAATAAAATGAAAACTCATATACCCAAGACCATACTCAACGATGTAAGGAACATAAAGTATCTAGAATTTAGACCAGTAAATCTCAGGCTAGCTTTAATTGAGCAATTTGCAATTAACAAAACCATTTTGTATGTATTATATATTATAGAAAAGTGACTTTTCCAATCATATAATTAATAAATAACATCTATGATCAAACTCAGTTTGTTTTACATAATTTGCCGCCTCAATCAGAATTTTAAATTAGCCTATATAAGGCATTCTGACTAATGCAACGTGTGTGGAAAGATGAAACATTCATTTACACAAGGAGATGTCTGTGGAGTCGGACAATGATGGGAATATTCATTCGCTATTCCACAGACACAGGTGTAAAACATAGATGTCCCAAAAGGAACCCTGTGAGTGTTCAATGCTGAATCCCAATGTTTTGCCCAAGACCTAGTGCATAGCAGGTGATTAGTAAATATTCAATGAATGAATAAACACATTTTATAGCAAAAACATACAAACATAATAATCTAAAATTATAGGTGAGGCATAAACTTATGTCCATGTGCATGAAAACAAAATATCCAATACTCCATGTGCAGCAGGGTACTTTAAGTAGAAAACAAGAAAAATGTTTTATATTCTTTGAGATAGAAATAAAAATGACAACCAAAATACAACTCTTTATTGATGTGTCACCAATTTGATATGCTTCAAAAATTGAAGGTACAAGCAGAATTGCATCTCTTCAGATATTTCAAGTAAGTGCTTGTAGATCTCAATGCCCTGTTAGCAGAAATGCCACTTACTTTTCCCATGTCACATCATCCAAGAAGCCCTGGGCTGACACAATGAAGTGTGGTCATTTTCTGAATGCTAGTTTAGGATAGAAATGAATCTCATCAGTCCCTTGCTGCTGGGGCATCTCATTGGCACACAGGGTCTCTATTGAAGCATAGGTCTTTAGAATTTAGAGGAAGCTTGAGGGTGTTCAAAAGTGAACCCTTTGCTGCTCCAGTTATCTGCACAGGCCACTAGGGCCTCCACCCTGAGCTCCCAGGTTATAACTCATTAGAAACTGCTATGATTTAAACGTTTGTCCCCTCCAAAATGTGTGTGGAAGCTTTAATTGCCATTGTAACAGTTTTGAGGTGAGAACTGTAAGAGGTGTTTGGGCCATGAGGGCTTTACCCTACTGGGTGTGATTCCTGCCTTTGTAAAAGGGCAAGTTCAGCTCACTTTTGTCTCTTGGCCTTTCTGCCTTTTGCAATGGGATGATGCAGAAATAAGGCCTTTGCCAGATGCAAGCACCCTGATATTGGACTTCCCAGCCTCCAGAACTGTGAGCCAATCAAATTTTGTGCATTATGAATTACTTAGTCTGTGCTATTGTGTTATTGCAGCACACAGTGAACCAAGATATTGCTCTTGACAGCACAATCTTTGTTTCAGGTTAGGTGGGTCCTCATCTTTCCAGCTCACAATGTAGCCAAACCAACCTTCTACCCATGAAGCCCTGAGCATTTCTGAACATCCAGAGTTGTCATTCTGGGCCCCAGCTTTTCTCAAGATAGCTTCATTTCTGGGAACAGGTTGTGCTGTGTGATTGACACTAGTATCACCTTGGTTGGGAAGGGTCTGTCCCAGTCCAACAGTATCCCTGATTTTCAACCTTAAGAAAAGTCATCAAGACCATGGTTGCCTATCTCCCAGGAGTTCCTGGTTTCTTATCCATATTTTTCCACTTGCCCTCCAGTGATGGGCTCTCCAGGAAAGTAGCAACCTTGGGGGAGTCTCAAGAAGTCATGTATTGGACCTCCCTACCCTGGCATTGAAGGCTCGATGACCCTGTGAGCTAGGCAGCACATGCTCAACTACAGGAAATTATTCTGGTCCTTCTCTGGAAAAACAATGAATACCTTTTTCAAAGTGGCTTTCTCTTCTGCCTATTGCTTACAATCTTTGGAAAAAAAATAAAGTTTGGCTTCAGGGTGACTTTCTGTCCTTCCCGTTCCTAGAAAGGGTCCGAAAATTCACCCTACCTGAAGAGTCTTAATCGTTGTCATCTTCAATCTATGAAGAAATCTGTTTGGATTTTGATAATTTTTCAGTAAAAAACATACTTCTTCACTCACCATTTTGCCTAAGCCTCACATTCATTATGGAAATTAAGTAAGGCATGATTCTTGTCTCATTGGAGCTCGGATTCTGTAGTCCTGCCTAAGGCCACACAGCTGGAAAGTGGGGACAAGTCTAGAACTTATATTTCCCTTACTACAGGAGCATTTTCTAAACCATATGAAAACCAACATTGTGACTTTGAGGAACCCATAGTCTAATGGGGCTTTTCCACTTCTGTTGGCTCTAATATGTTGGAAGATTCTCTGAGTATATCCTGAGTTTAAAGGAATTCACACAGTCCAGACCTCAGCCAGCTGGCTTCAGGCCTGGGGAATTGAAAGGGTTGTCTTCTGGTGTTTGGGCACAGAACTGATTCTTTGGGAATCTCCTACATGCAGGCAGAGCCATGGCTATGTTCTTGGAATGAGATTGAGGTTTAGTCCACAAGTAGATGGTCCCTAAGGGTGCTGTTGGTTTGAGCATTGGGCATAGAGTCCCTGTCAGAAGAATAATACCTGTATTTTGTATTCCACACTCACAGATCCCTCTGGGGCTGCTGGGAACTCCAGCTGAGGGAATGTCATCATTTAAGGTTTAAACATTTAAAGGTGCATAGATCTATAAAGTATCAATATCATTCATTTTGTGGGGGGAGAAGAAGAAACTACAGCACCTAAAAGTCTTTTTTTCTCTTGCCATCTGGCCTGAAATTCTGTGTTAAGTTGTTTGGAACGTATTCTTTGTGCAGCTGAAACCTGAAGAGTTCCTCTTACCTCCTCTGCTGTATTCTCTTTTCTCTGCTCCCCTCCTCTTTTTCTTTCACATTCCCTTTCCTTCTTCCACCCATTTTCTTTTCATCTCTTTTTTCCCCTTAAAGTTTCAACTCTTGTTATGCGTGGTACCAAGGCTGACACCCACAAAAGAAGAAGACAGATATGTAGGAAGACTCTAGTCTACACCTTCTCATTGGACCCCTTGAGTAGAAATCTTGTTGCCTAAAAATACATAAAAATACTCTAAAATGAAAAGTGGCTATTTACCACATAGCTAGGAAAGACTGCCATCCCAAAGTATGAGTTAGTCTTTAAGGGCAGAGAGAGTATGTACTTTTGCTGTCTCTGGGTGCTGATTTCACCAGCAAGGAGGAGTGAGGATAGTGGGTCGGGTATCCAGATGTGGATTGTTGTTGAAGAAGGGAAAATCCCAATGGGAATGAAGCAGGGAGTGTTGTCCCAGTGATCTCCACAATCCCAGGGAAGTGTCTTGCGATTGGTGAGCCTTCCCTTGTAAAAAAAGACACCTGTTCTATGCGATGCCCTATTTAACAGTGGTGAGGAGTTGACCCAGAAAGCCTCCTAAGGTATGAAAAATGCCTTATCCCAGGCTTAATGGGTCACCTCGGGATTTGGTGACTTTCAGTAAATACCCATTAAGCCCTGTGGTCTGTTTGCCAATCTGCTCAAATTCAGAGGCGCTTAATCTCCCATAAAAATGTGGCCAATGATAATATATTCAACAGAAAGTACTCAGAAGTTTCTCTGCAAACACAATTAAAAAATCATCATACTGTATATTGTATGCCCAGAGCGTGCCTGGTCTTAGGAGCTTGATCTATTTTATCCTCTTTGTGTCCACAGTGATCCCACAAGGTCAGTGTGGCTGTGTCCATTTCTCACATGGAAAGCTGCTGTTACAAGAGGTGATGTCACTTGCCCAAGACAGCAAGTGATTGAACTGTTTTGCTGGCTGACCCTCCTGGTGGCAGACGGCTCAGGGCTGCTCTGACCTTCAGGGTATTCACCCCATCCACCCGCTGCCACATTGTCATTCTGGCTTATAGATCAGTGGGGCCTAGACAGTGATAGAGAAAGAGCTAGTGTAGCAAGTAAAAACAGAGAGGCATCTGCACACATGAATCATTTTTATTTAATAGCCGCATCAATTTGAATACAGCAGGTCTAAATAGAACTGCATTAGGCCAGTAATTTTATTGCCTTCATGACAAAGTGCAAATTAGAGCAGGCACATCTGAGTAGCCTTGGAAACAACCTGGCATTTTACATATTTTGTATTCCTTGCTCAGAAGCTACAAGGTAGGTGTTTGTTTAGATGTGACTGCATTGGGAGGTGACTGTGATCCTGTGTCCCTGTTTCAAAGAACTCTTTGACTCATCCAGAGACAGTGTACAAGGTACTTAGGATTTTTCTTTGCTAGTTGGGCTGTTTTTTTTTTTTTTTTCTTGGCTCCCATTTCAGTCAAACTAATTCTTTCAGTACTGTTTTATAGAGTCCCCACCCTTTGCTAGGAAATAGATGCATTTTATTCTTTCACTGGAGACTTCATTTTCTCTCTTACTAAAGAGGTAGATGTGAGGATGAATCTACACAATGCTTCATTATATAGCAATGCTCCATCTCAGTCTGCTAACAAAATGCCATAAACTGGGTGCCTTATTGACCACAGAAATGTATTTTTCACAGTTCTAGAGATTGGAAGTTTGAGATCAGGATGCCAGCATGGTCAGGTTCTGGTGAGGGTCCTTTTCCAGGTTTGCAGAGTGATGACTTCTCTCATTGTATCCTTGCATGGTGGGAAAGGTGAGGGGAACAGACCTCTGGCCTCTTTTTATAAGGGCATTAATCCCATATATGAGAACTCTACCCTTAGGATGTAATTACCTCCTGAAGGCTCCTCCTCCAAATATAATCACATTGGTGAAAGATATGCATCTTGGGGAGACATAAACATTCATAACAAGTGCATATTTAGGCACCTGCCTCTGCTTTGAGCCTTTGTCTCTTCATCTGGTGTAAAATTTACCTTATGGGTTTGTTATGATAATTAAGGAAAGTAACCACAATTGAAAAGCACTTTAGAACTTGTAAAATGCCATATAGTTGTTCCCTATTATAAATAGGTAATCAATAGGTAATCATTGCCTTATACAAATATTAGTATTATTTACTTTAGTATGTATATATACGCATATGTATGTGCGTGTGTGTATGTGTGTGTATGTGTGTGTGTGTGTATATATATGTATTTACATGTATATCCAACTGTATAGTTCATGTGTGAAGTAATTTGGAGGAGTTCGTCCATTTGTTCCCCCACAATAACCCTGGGCAGTGCTATTTATTTTAGAATAATATATATATATGTATATATACGTATATATATACACATATATACATATATATACATATACATATATATACACACACATATATTTTTTACACGTATCTCCAACTGTATAGTTTATGTGTTAAGTAATTTGGAGGAGTTCACCCATTTGTTCCCCCAAATAACCCTGGACAGTGGAAGCATTGCATAGATTTGTCTTGTTGAAATATAACTTAACTTTGAAGTACCGTTTAGGGATATAGTATATCTAGAATGCACTGGAGGATACAGAGCTAAACCAATTCCTTTAAAACTTGATATACAGCATAATAGGATTAGCACATTTTCCTAAAACGCAAGACAGAGTGTTCTCATGACATGCATGATGTGCAAGCAGCACCTTTGAGAAGGGAGAGACTCTATGGGCACTAGGAAGTCCTTGTAGAAGGAAGGGTGTTTTCTGTCTTTTACTCCCCGTTCTTCTCCTCATTGTTTCTGGGAGAGGAGGTTTATGGAATGCTTCACAGAGAAGGGGACAGGTGAACAGGTGAGAAGTTGAGCAGGCACTGCATAGCAGCCCAGGAGCATTGCCCACGGCATGAGTGACTTAGCCAAGATTTTATCGCTTGTAAGGGATGGAACAAGGTTTTTCTGAGATACCAGCCTGACTCAATAAACAGAAACATTCATATGGTGAGGTCTCATTTACTGTGATTTTAAGCTTTGGAAATTGGAAGGCAGCTTGGGGCCATTAGCCTACTTGAGCAGGAAAGACACCTGACAGGGCTGCAGGTACAGGACAGTATTGGAGTTCATGGGTTCCTACTGATTCTTGTTTTGCAGAGAGCAGCAGCCTGCATTCAGCCTGTGTCCATGACAGCACCGTGCACAGCCGGGTCTTTCAGATCTTATACCGGAATGAAGAGGTACCCATAAATGATGCTGTGGTCTTCCGAGTTCATTTACTCTTGGGTGGTGAAAGGGTAAGTCATGAATCTACCACCAGCCACAAGTAGCTGTTCCCTATCATGGCTGTTCTCTCTCATTGCTAGGTAAATGTTGAAAGAAGAAGGTATGGGTTTACTTTGAAATCTGACAGAGATTAGTGCTTTTAGTGCACTCATGCACTTATTTATGTATTCGTTGTTTTACTCATTTTTTTATTCATATATTTGCTTGTTCCATGTAGTCTCAAGTGCAAACAGTCTCCATTGACTCATTTACTGGGTCTCTTCTTCCCTCCTCATTTGCCCAGTTGCACATCTGTTCAGGCCCTCTGTCAATGAGTCAAGCAGCAGGTGGTTTTGAGTAACTACTTTTTGCAGGGCTCTATGTGGGACCCTTGGGTAAGGGACAGAACCGGAGAAGGCAGCAGGAACTCTACCTTGAAAGGGTTGATAATTTTGCAGGAAAACAGATATATAAGCAAACACCTTGGCAGGTGATGTGAGAAATGATCTCTGTGGAGATGACAAAGCTGGGTTCATCAAGGCTTACACAAAAGAGCTGGCCTCAGATGCACATGCTGAATTCACCAGAGAAAGAAAGAGGAAGGGCATCGAACAAGGGGAAACAGCATCATTGCAAGCCCCGAGGCCTTGGGGAGCTCGCTTTATTAGTTGGAAACTTGATTGAAAATTTCCTATTCATCAGATTAACAAATTTCAAAGGAATATCTGAAGCTCAAACTTTTGATCTGCCTCCCCCAGCCTCACTGAAGTGTACCTGTTGCCATATTCGAGCTGATTTTTTTCTGCTAGAATATATCGAGAATTATATGAAAGAGTATTCCTATTTTAGGAAGTTCTAATTAGAAATCCCCTACTTGCATTCCTCATGTGGTGTGCACAACAGCTCCTATTGGGCATCTATTATCTTTCTCCTCTCAGGCTTCTTGGCTTTTTGTCCACATCTTTTGTTATCTAGGTAGTGACCAGATTCCTCTTTGTGGCTAAAATTGAAAAGCTGTCACTCATTCTTTATTCCTTAACCTATCTATTCTTTCAAAAATTTATTGAGTACTCACTAAGCACCTACTATGTGCTGGAGGTAAAAATAGTGAACATGACATATCTCTGGCATTTTGGACTTGTTTTCTAATATTAGATCAATATATCACAATGTAATTAAATAAATCGATCATGCATATTCTATTACTGAGCCTTCTCACTGCTACATACTCAGCTCCCTAGTCTCTGAGACACACTCATGAGGGAGATAAGAGTATAGGAGTTTGCACCCTCACTGGAGGCCCCGTGAAGCTACAACTGTACCCAAAGTGGAAGAGACCTCATGATGGTCCTGCTGTGCAAGACTGGCTGTTGTCTCATGACAGATACTCAGATAGTGAGAATGTCAAGAACTCAGCACAACCTTCAACACAACCTTCACCCAAGATGATTATTCCCTGGAGGACAAGTGACAGACAGAAGAGGCCTCCCAGAGAAGCCAATGCAGAACTGAGACCCAACTGCGGAGGAAGATTCAGGCATGCCATGAGCTCAGGGAGATATCAGCTCTGGAGGAGAGCACAGTAAGGACAAAGAGCCTGAGGTGGGAATGACATTGGGGTGTTTCAGGAAAAGCACTAAGGCTGAGGTGACTTGCACAGAGAGGGAGGGGAAAGGAGCAGGAGATGAAGATGGAGCAGGGAGGCCCAGCATTGTGGGCCATGATAGGGAATTTAGGGCTTATTCTTGGGCAATAGAAATCCACTGATTTTGTTAGAAGGGTGCAATGGCACAATTTTTATTTTAGAATTTTGTCGTCCCTCTCCCAGTCTGCAAGCTCCACAGGATTGTATCTCTCTTTGCATCCTGAGTGCCCTAGTAGCCATAGGACTACACTGTGGATACCCAACATGGAGTGAATGACTTAGTTGTTGAATGAATGAATTTAACTTGTAATCCCTTCTTTTTAGGCTCTTTGCAAGCTATTCTTTCCAAACAGGGATGAGCATCCACCATGTGCCCTGTTTGATGGCCCTTGACTCTCTATATCATGTCCAGACCACAGTTGCCTGCTTCAATACCTCAAGAAACACACACCTCACTCATTGGAGCCTTCAGTTAACCTGACCCTGTCTCCCTTATGCCATCACAGTGACTGCAAATACTTGATCTGAAATCAAAATTTAAAAGAACAAATGAAACTCCTATTAGCCATGCTGGCTAGCTTTCGACTACTTGGCCGTTTCCCCTCTCTGCTGTCCCACCTGCTATGTGCCCCAAGAGACTGGCTGCAAGAACTGCTCAGTCGTGTCTTTACCTTTTGGTTTCCATTGAGTTCAGCCTATGAGAGCTTCTGCAAGTGACTACGAGGAGAATGGGTCCAGACTGTTCACTCCCCAGGCTCCTTCCCTGCAGGGTCCTGGAGGGTTGGCTGTGTCCGGCGGTGTGCTGGAGCCTGCTTATATCAGCTTTTGATAGCCACGGGTACGGACCACTTTCCAACTCCTTATTTAGCGACTTCACATTCATAGCTTGATGAAAACATTTACACCGGAGAAACTGCCAATGCTACAAAACAGTGTTTTGTTTTTTTTTAATTTTAATTTTTCTTCAGAGAGCCAGTTGTTAAACCTTTGCCAGCATACCATTTGCTGTGTCCTTCTTCCAAAGGCCCCAGCTCCAGTCACGGAGACACACTCCATGTAGCTTTCTCTCCAGTTCTGATAACCGCTGTCTCTGCTTGACTCTTCAGGCCTAGGATGATAAGGAAGTCCCGTAGTTACTAACCTTGAGAACTCAGCCATTGTTAGTTGCTTTTTTTTTTTTTTTTTTCTGAGACAGAGTCTCCCACTGTCGCTCAGGCTGGAGTGCAGTGGCATGATCTCAGCTCACTGCAACCTCCGCCTCTTGGGTTCAAGTGATTCTCCTGTCTCAGCCTCCTGAGTAGCTGGGATTACAGTGGCCCGCCACCATGCCCGGCTAATTTTTTTTGTATTTTTAGTAGAGACAAGGTTTCACTATGTTGGCCAGGCTGGTCTTGAACCCCTGACCTCGCGATCCACCCGCCTCAGCCTCCCAAAGTGCTGGGATTACAGGTGTGAGCCACCGCGCCCAGCCGTTAGTTGCTTTTTCTAAATCTTCCACACACTTTGTAAATCACCCCTTTGATAAACTGTACCTGGAGTCCTCATGTTGAGTGTATCCTCTAATTCCTTCCTGGACTCAAGTTAATACCTTTAGTTTAGGAAACAATACCATTAGGTTGCCTAGAGTGGTAATAAACTCCCAGTTAAACAGACTGCAAGCTCAAGGTCCACTTCCCCAAATCCCAATAAGAAAACAATGCTCCATTTTTTCCCGTGGGCCTTTGCCCTTGGGACATTGATCTCAAAGAGCTACCCTGGCAGAGTGCTAATGACAAACCAGTGATGGAGGCTGGGTTTGGGCATTATTCAGGTATCCTGGCCATTGCTCCATCTTAATTCCGTCAGAGAATTGTTCTTGTCCCTGACAATTTAAAGCCTTCAAGTTTGACCTTCCCAACCCTCAACCTTAGGTCGTGTGAGGTTGTAGCCAGCCTTAGTTCTCAAGTTGAATGGGGAGTCTATTTCACATTACATGTTGTTTTCTTCTTCCTATCAAATTTCTTTTCTCTGTAAGCTAATAAATTATTATTGTGTTGGGGGTAATCCATATGGCAGCAAACAATGGCACAGCTAATTGTTATATACAAATCAGGGATAATAAAAGTTAATTGGATATGTCTGTAAACACTGTATATTTGGAATGGATGCATTTCCAGTTAGTATCAGTCTGCTTATGACAACCAAAACACTGCTGATAGCCAGTTGGCCAGAAATTATGTTCACGGATGCACATAGACATCATTGTGAACAACAGACATTTATGAAATGCCTATTCATCAAACACATGATTCCATGTGCTATAAGAAATTCAGACATGAAGATTCAGTTGTGCAATGAGGTCACAGATAAGTACAAGAGATGACCATGGACAGAACTAATCACAAGTTAAGGTGTACGAGGAGATGTTATAATAACAGTTGCAAAGAGTGAGTCTGGAGGTAGTGTGTGTATTTTATTTATATACTCTGCGTAATCCCACAGAAGATTTGGGAAGCCTTACAAAATGCATAGAATAGTAAAAAGAAAAGTTAGCAATGGAATGGGGCAGAGTGGAGGAAAAATACATACAGGAAAATAAAGGCTGGGGTAAATGTATTGGACCAAAATGCACAAACACCCTCTGGATATTTGATAGTGGTGACCCATGTATTTAGTGCTAAGCTCCTAGCAGGCAAAGCAAAGAAGAAGATACAATTATTAACAACAAAATGCTTGCCACTCTGAGGAAGAAGAGGAAAAGATTACATATGAAACACATTTTATGAGCAAGATTGCATTTTCGTAGGCTTAAAAAGGAAAAGCATTTTCCAAAGTGTGATTCCTTGGTGCACCGGCATCACAGTCCCCTGGCAGTACTCATACAAAATGCAGATTCGTGAGCCCAGGCCAGACCTGGTGATTCAGACAGAGGTGGGCTTGTTTTTTTCTTTTTCTTTTTTTTTTTTGCTGGAAGCAGAAAGGGGGCTGAGTTGATTCAGAGTTTTTGGATAAGTAGAAAAATGGGCACGATTTCCACAGTAACCAGTTGTTAAGAGCTCCTGAGACAGAAGACAGCAAGGCCCATAAAAAGCAGTAAAGTAGAAGGCAGATTTGGGAAAGAAAGCATTGTTGCTAAGGGGCTAGAAACTGGCAGGGACACAAAGCTAGAGAGGAAGGTTGAGGACACAGCACGGAGAGCCACAGAGACTCCGCCAAAGGTCATATTTTTCCTTTTTAAAGGTAGGAGTCTCCTTCAGGACAGAAGGAGGAGACCTGGCATTTAGAAAGGTCAGTCTGGCAATAATATAGAAAGTGGGGCCCAGGAGACCAAGGGCATACAGGCAGTTGCTGCTATAGTGCATGGTGTCTTGGTGAGCATCATGGCAGAGGTCGTAACTGTGTAAATGGAAACTGTGTGAGTGGAAAGGGTGAGCTGCCTGGCCACCAAGTGCAGCCCTTAGGACTGGGTTCAGGTTGAGCATTGGCAGGCATCATGTAGAGAGGAATGATAAATGGAAGTTGACTCTAAGATTTGGCCATGAAATGGGCTTGGAGTTACTGATACTCCAGGGTAGTTGGGAGAAGAAAAGCTTCTACTAGGGAGTGAAAGGAGTTCAGGATGAGTTATAAGAACAGTCACAAGGATCTTAGCACTAACAGCAGAGGCAGTGCCCCTTTCGCGGGGGCACTAGCTGTGGGGGGTCTGTTCCTGCAAGCCCGTGATTCGGCGATGGATGAATAAACATACACTGACACAGATATTCTGCTCTGCCAGTCCAGCTGAGGGGCCCAGCGGCTTACAGGCTCCAAGCTGAGTTCTGTAAACAGTTGCGACTCAGCCCTGGTCAGTTAGTGAGGCTCATATTTATTCAGTAAGACTAATTAACAAAAGTTATGAGTAAACACCACTAGAGGGTAAAGATTAAAGGCCAGGTTCTCAGGCCTAAAGCAAACACAGTTTGTGGGTAATAAACTTCTGCTGACCCCTGAGTAGGAGGCAGTAAAGTATCCCTAGTAGGACAAAGGTTAGTCTTAAGCCCATATAAGTAAACAGGTTAGTAAGATAAACTTCCCATGTTCCTTTGTACTTGCACCCTAATCTTTCTGGCTCCTGCAAAGAGACCCTGGCTGCCTTCAGCCAAGCAATCTGAAGCTACGCAAACTCTCAGGCCTTCCAAGAGAGTTTTTGACTATTACTATAGCTATCTTTAATATTTTTCCCACCAGCCTGATTGAACTCCAACAAACAGCATCTTATACCTATAAGGTATGTGCTGTATGGCAGGCACTGTGCTGATTTTTTTGTCTGGAATACCTCATTGAATTATTGCAACAAGGTGATGAGGTGTTTTACTACTCCTGTTTTACAGATGAGGATACAGTGACTTAGAGAAGGCGTTTATCTAAAGTCATACCACCCGGAAGTCGTAGAGCCAGGGTTTGAACCTGGGCCGTCCGATCACAAAGTCTGTGTTTGTGACCAGTGTGCAGGATGGGCACTATGTGAGGCTGATAGAGGAATGTGTCCCTCCTGTGGCCAGCCCCCATGGTTGAAAATGACAGCAATAATAATAGCTAACCTTTGTTGAGAATTGTCAGTTCAGTTGTGAACAAAGCCCTTTGTGTACGTTTTTAAATTTTAGTTCACACGATAACAATGCTTTGCAAGTAGGTGTAATTATTTTACTCCCATTTTATGGATGAGAAAACAACAGAGAGGTTGATTGGCCCCAGGTCTCATAGATATGAAATGATAGAACTAAGAGTCGTACACGTGTATCTGGGTTTCAGAAGCTGCCCTCTTAGCCATCACGCTGTGACAAAGCTCAAGTTAGTAGCTAAGAATGGAGGAGAAAACAAGAGAGTCACCATTATGAGTTGAAACCAAGCAGTGAGAGAACGTCCAATCTAGAACACACATGTGACCATGGGAGAAGGCCAAAGAAATGGAGCCCTTGACAGCATTTGGGATGTGGGACTCTCACTAGCTGAGTTTGGGAAAATGCCTTTACCACAGGGAGCCTCAGTTTCCTCATGTGTAAATGCAGGACAGTCTTTCCTAACTCATAGTTTTATCCACATTAAATAAAATAGTATATGTATAATGATAATTTATTACCTGCCAAATAATAACTCTTCTGTAAATGCTAGCTTCTTATATTATTTCTACTAGTTTGCAAAACTGCTTCCTGGTCGTGAGATAAATGACCCTTGAAAGGAGATGATGACTCTAATTGAGATAAGGCAGAATAAAGGAAAATCATTGTGTGTATGGTGTGTGTGTGTGTGTGTGTGTGTGTGTGTGTGGTGTGTGTGTCTTTTTGAAGGGAGGGGTAGGAAGTCAACAACCAACCATGAAATAAATGTTTAGAAAAGGCAGTGACTTCATTCTGGAATATCTTGCAAATAAGATTCATTAAAGCATTGTAAAGTCATAGCCCAGCTCAATTTAGCCACAGCTTATCCAGGAGAATGATTTCTCTCCCAGTTCCTAAGGAAATTGCAGCAAGTTTAAAATTGGAGTTTACTTTGAATTTTCATTACCCAGGCATATGCGTGCTCAGAAGGTAGTTGGGAAGCTTACTTTGCCAGTCTCTCTTCCTGGTGACAAGAGGCTGCAGTGCTTTCCTTGTGTATTTGAGGCTAGATTCATGATTATGCAAAACAAAGCTAGGAAAGGAAGTTATTTATAGCACTTGGATTCAGCAAAATGTTAACTTTTAAATGCTTTTTTTAAATAACAAATTTTAAACCCTGGAGACCTAAAGATAAATTCCATCTGTATATCTCTCCATGAATTATGCTTAACCAGGAATACATTTCCAAAGAGATCTTTGGTTAAGAGATTTCCATCCCAGGAAGATGAGATTCTTGCAAAGAAACAAAAACCAAAAAAGGTGGGGATTGGGAAAGAGCTTTATTTATTCCGCAAAGATGCATTGATACTTTCTATGCAGCAGACACTATTTCTGGAGCAAGGGATCAAGAATGAATTAAAACTAGTCTCTCTCTTAATCATATAAGGATTACTGGGGACACTACACAAGAAAATAGCCAGGGGCTTTTAGCTGCAGGCCAAATGCGTGTCAGTGAATACTGTGAATGGTGGTAGACGGGACAGCAATTACCTGATCTGAACAGTTTCCAAATGAGTTTCTAAATGCCAGCCCAGCACTCCCAAGTCCAGGGTTTTGTTTTGTTTTGTTTTGTTTTATTTTTTTTTTTATTTTTTATTTTTTGTAGAAGCTGAAAACCCGTAATACAAATATGAAATTGCCTGAATTGTAAATGTTTGCAATTTGTTCAAAACATTTTCAAAAATACTATGGGGTCTAAACAAGACACATCAGCAGACAATACTTGGCTCACAGGCTTCCAGGTTGTAACACTGCCTCCAAAATTGTAATAGGCACCGTTAAATACCAAGATAGACAAGACATGGGCTTTGTGGTTACGGATGAAAAGGGCTTCATCCTGCCTGTGAATGAGGAGGAGACCAAGTCCTATCACAGGTGTGCAGAACTGACGCTGGGTTGACCTCTGAGTAGAGGTGGTGGCGAGATCTGGTATTTAGCAAGTAATGCCCCCTTGAGTTGGGGGTGATGTGAGAAAAAGAGAACTAGGGGTACCATCTTCCAGGTGTATATGAGAAACTGACACGAAGAATAAAGATTCCTGTGTTTAAAAAGCATGTTTTTTTTTTCTTAAAGCAAAGGACAAAAGCAGCCATGAGTAGGACATAAAATGCCAGTGTCTTAAAGTGACAATGGTTAAATACAATGGATTTCAAGACAAAAATGAAGAAGCTGCTTTCTTATGAAGCTGGGACGCCTGAAGAAGTGACCACTTTCCCAAACATGAGCTTCCTCCTCTGGACACGTGGGCAATGGTGCCTGCCCTGAGAGGATGCCTGAGGGTTAGAGATGACATTGCTCTGACTTAATCCCATTGCTAGCCAAGTGGGATTTCACTGCGAGTTCACTGCTCCATCCTTCCCAGAGCAGGTGCTACAGAACACTTTACTCTTGCCCCAGATGGGATTCTAGATCAAATCCAAATGAGATTCTCAAAAGCCCTGCAAAAAGGAAACTTGTTTAGCATTTTTTTTGCAAACTGACTTCTCCCAAACTGGGTATGTATATCCCTTCTATTTTTCTTTTTGTGTAATACTCTCAGATATCCTGTTCACCCAGAACTCCATGAAACATGCATGGAAATTCTGCTTTCAGCATAAATGACATTGATTTTTGGACAAGATAGTGTTTCTCTACTTTGGGAAGTAGACCAGCTAAGTATTTCATTTGGACAAGATTTGACTCCTGAAATCCCTTGGACTTTGTTTCTTTTGCAGATGGAAGACGCACTGAGTGAAGTAGATTTTCAACTCAAGGTGGATCTGCACTTTACGGACAGTGAACAGCAGTGAGTGTCATGGAAATTATTGAATTGTAGTAGCACAGTGCTCTCCTCCCCGCTTCCCCACTCTTGGGATAGCCTCATAGCCTTGAACCTCAGAACGTCTCTCAGATCAGCATCTCCTGATAAGCTGCAATGTCCCTGACTCAGGGGTGCGGGCTAAGAAAGTTTGTGTGGTCATTTCAAACCACATACGTTTTAGTCAGGCAGCTCAAATGCATACACAGAAATCTCATAACTTATTGGCTTTACTAACTGGCACTTTCTCATGTCTGACACCTTCACACATCTTACAATGTGATAGAAATTGGGGGTTTTAGATTAATGACCCTATGAGGCTACAAATGGCAAATCCCCTTCTGAGTCAAAGGAGATTCTTCCAGGATTCTACATCTTTGTGCGACATATCTGCTATTATGTTTCAACTCTGAAACTTGAAACTCCATTTATCTATAACCTGCTCATTAAATGCAGGAGGCAACTTTCTTCTTTCTTGGAACTGCTTTCTTTTAGCTTGTTCTGTGACCTCTTCTTCCTACCCTGGGCTGAGCTGTCAGGCCAACTAAGCTGGGATATTTCAGCTAATAAGTAAGTCATCCTTTTTTAGGTATGAAAAGTCCAGTGAAGTATAATACCAGAACTCTAAACCTCATCCATTGTATAACTTCTTTCTGTTGCCTCCTTTCTCTACCTCACCTCCAGATCCAGGCTTCCCTAGGGTAGAAAACTCCCAGTGTAGGAACAGGGCATGGTAGGGGGCTTCATATCCCCCCTTTCTTTCCCACTGCAGTTTGCAGGCTTTGCAGGGTCAGGCACAGTAAGGAGGGGAACAGTGGAGGAAAGGGTAGGGGTTCAGTTGTAAGTGCGATTGTCATATGGTAAACCCTGAACTGCCCTTAGGATGTTCTTGTGAATTCCTTAGAAAGAGACTGCTTAGGTACCCCCTGGCCAGAAGACAGTCACACAGCCCCATCCCTGCAGTTATCTGATGTAGTGATGCCTCACAATAGCTGGGTGACTCATTCCTTGCAGTTAGCTCTTTGGGGGTGGATACTTTTCCAAAGCACACACATCTGGCCCATGGGAAAAGGACACAGACACTTTAACCCTCATTCCACATATGTGGAGAACCTCCTCTGCCAAGCCTGCTCGTTCTTGTTTAGACCAGTCCAGCCACCCTCAGCTTCTCTCCTGATGGCCTTTGCAGAATGAGTTGAGCACCAGGAACTGCATTCCCACTGTTCTAGGGGAGACAGGGCAATCTCCCTTGAAGACCTCCTCCCTTGGCTTAGGCAAAGGGAGGAAATCTCCTTCTTTCTCTGTTAGCAGAATCTCAGCACACACTGACCACTATCTGCAAATTAAAGTCAATTCTCACTTCTGGTTTCTGTAACCTCTCCAACAAATGTTTCCCCTTTTCCTTTGGAGAATGGGGAATTGGGAAGCTGATGAGCCAATGCTGGCAGAACTGTTCCCTTTATCCCTTCAAAGTTCAGACTTGGCCAGGGGCAGTGGCTCATGCCTGCTATCCCAGCACCTTGGCAGGCTGAGGTGGAAAGATTGCTTGAGCCCAGGAGTTCAAGGTTACAGTGCGTCCTGATTGTACCACTGCACTCCAGCCTGGGTGACAGAGCAAGACTGTGTCTCAAAAAAAAAAAAAAAAAAAAAGTTCAGATTTCTTCTCAGAACTTCTTCCCCTTCTCAAGGACTGTCCTGTCTCTGAAATCTGTCTAATCCATTATGGGACTGTTCATAACATGGGCAGCTGAGTCCAAGGGGATTTGAACCAAAGATGGATGTCTACTGAAGTGTCAGGGACTTGATCATGTATGGGAATTGAGAAGGGGCATCCGCTGATGTCTTGCCTGGTACCTGGGCTGGCAGGAGTATCTACCTTGTTCGTGCCACAGTCTGGGTTCAACTTCACAGATGCCTCACTTTTGTCTCTATCTGGACCCCAGTCCTCTGGCCACCTGCTTTTCTCATTACATCTGCTTTCTCCTTAGCAGGATAGTGTAGAGACTTGAGGAATCCTACCTGCTTCATCCCATTGCCAGGACTTGTTCTAGCACCATACTGAACTCAGAAGCCCTAAAAGAGGCTGGCCTTCTTCCCAAGCTATAAACTCAGAAGTAAAGCCCTGACTTTATTGTGCTCCTATTTTCCCCTAACCATCTGGGGTTTCTGTCATTAACGCCTCCATTAACCCACCCCGCCCTATCACTCTGTTCCACTTCCTTCCAAGACATTCATTCATAGCTTTATGGTAGACATTTCCAATTCATCACAGAACCCTGCTGCTAACTCCAAGCTCAGCCTAGAAATCAGCCTCCAACCTGCCCTCCATGTGATAAGTCACAGTGTATACAGTACATGAGACCTTCTGTTCAACAAAACAGTAGTTAATGGAGAGCCTTTATACAGGAGATTGGTTTATTCAAAGTGTGTAAAACTCAACAACTATAAAACATTGGAGAAGTCCCCACACTTTCATAAATCTCAGTAGTTTCAGTTACAAAATAGATGTCATTATAGAATACATACCTCATAGGTCTGTCTGATGATTAAGAGAGACAATATATGTAATAGGCCAAGTACGCAATCTGATGAATAAATGTCTTCTTCCTCTTTATGGCTTCCTAGTTGGAAGTGAGGCCAGGCTTCAATGTGTTGCTTCCTCTCCTGAGCACTTAATAATAATCAGAGCAAGGGATTTCATGAACTATAAGATTAGCTAAGAGGAACAGGAAGCCAGAGGCTGGGAAAGATTGAAAATGCCACATTTTTTAATTTTCATAAATTGAGTTTAAGGATGACAAGGCATCTGTGGCATATCCTGGGGTGGACATTAGGCTCTGAAACATGACCAAATCATCTGGCCTCTTTAGCATCAGGTAAGTCTGGGTGGGAACAAAATGGAGAAGCAGAGCCTCTCATATGAGGGACGGAAGAGCTTGTGAAATTTGTCTTGTCTGGCGGCTCTCAATGCAGGCAGGAGGATTCTGACCCCTGGAGACATGTGGCCATGCCCAGAGACATGTTTGGTTGTCACAGCTCGGGAGGATGCTTGAGGGGAGATGTGAGCAACAATAAGGGCGGGGCTTCACTTCTGACTTTATAGATCAGAAAGAAGGCCAACCTCTTCTAGGGCCTTAGAACAAGTCCCAGGGATGGTGTGAAGCAGACAGGATTGTCACACTTAGATATTGCCATCTAGTGAGTAAAGGCCAGAGATGCTGCTTCACATCGTAGAGTGCACAAATCAGCAGTGCCCCCTCCCACCACAAGAAAGCATGATTCAGTCCCCAAAGTCAATGTTATGAGGTGAGGAAACCCTGCTTTATCCTAACCTCATATTTGTACTTGTTACTCTGCAAAGACCCATCAGAACCTGTTTGCACAGGGATGGGGAGCTCACTCCTTCACGTCATGGCCCATTCTGCCCTGAATAGTTCTGCTGATCGGGAAATTCTTCTTTATTTCAAGGAACAATTCATCCCTGTGCATCTGCCCTCAGTAGACTTCAGTTTTATCTCTTGTGACCACCCAGACAAATCCCAAGTCTGGATGGCAGTTTAGAAAAGAAGCCTTCTTGGCCAGGCAAGGTGGCTCGCACCTGTAATCCCAGCCCTTTGGGAGGCCAAGGCAGGAGGATCACTTGAGGTTAGGAATTCGAGACCAGCCTGCCCAACATGGTGAAACCCCATCTCTACTGAAAAATACAAAAATTAGCTGGGCGTGGTGGTGCACACTTGTAATCCCAGCTACTTGGGAGGGTGAGGTGGGACAATTGCTTGAACCCAGGAGGCAGAGGTTGCAGTGAGCCGAGATTATGCCACTGCACTCCAGCCTGGCAGCCTGGGTGACAGAGTGAGACTCCATCTCCAAAAACTAAAACAGAAACCTTGTTTATATCATCTCCAGGTTAAATACTAGGGCTCTTTCTGTGTGTGTTTTTTGTTTGTTTAATTTTTTTGTTTGCTTTATTTCCCTTATAAGAACTCAGACACTCTCCTATCAGTGCAGTCAAGTTTATCACCATCATTTCAGAGCTTAGAGACCTCCCTGCACCACCACCAGGACCTAAGTTTTAGCTCCATTTTGGATATATCTATTTCAGAGCACAGGAGAGCTACCACCTCTCCATTCTTAATTCTTTACTCTTACTAATGTGGCTTAAATTCTTGTTAACATTTTTGCCATCTTTGCGACACTGACATGTATTTAACCTCCTGTTGTTCAAGCCCTAGGGTTATATCTGTGATTCTTGGGAACCTGTGTCTGACTGGATTCAAAGCAATAGTGAGCAGTAACTCAGAAACAACTGTGAATCAGGAAGACCTGGTCCAAGATTACATTTTTGCCTTGTGGCTTTGATTAACTCTTGTTGGCTTTACTTCCTTTTCTACAAACAGAATAATGCCAATAAATACCTCCTGTGATTGCCATACAGAGTAAAGGGGAAAGTACCATGTTCAGTTCATAATAAGCTCTCAACAAATTGTAGCCTGAATTAAAAAGAATGTAAATGTTAACACCTTGCTGAGATTCATGGCCTAGACCCTTCACCCTCTCCCCGACAGGTTTCTTTCTGGTACCAGGGGACCATTATTCATATTCAATCTATGGAGTCACCCTGAGCTCTAAAAATTTAGCTGGCTATTTCACTTGGCCTTTGTTTGCGCACAAGGAACAAGGGTTTCAAGGAAGCAAAGCCTATGGTGTTGGGTCTTAAGAGACTGCTCCCTTCATCTCGCCCTTTCTGTGCTTCATTTCCTTATCTATGGATGGAGGACAAGCATTTCCTCTCTGCTCTTCTCATGAAAGATGCTCCTCCCAGGTTTCCCTTGTGGTCTGCTTCAGAGAAATTTGCCCAGCCCAAATGACTGGTTCTCAGGATTTGAGATTAGCACTGGGTCCTCCTGGGGGCGAACGTGGCCCCAGGTTTTATTTAGGCAACAACCAATGTTCTTTTAATCACCAAAGATGCTGTTGGGTCGTGTGCCAGTTGGTTTAATCTCTTAGACTCAGATACATGTCAATTACAAAATATTGGAGCAGACATTGGGGAATCCTTGATGAAACTAGTCAGACTATCTAAGCATTGTGCTTTGGGAGTCATTCATTCTTTTGTTCGTTCAGTCAGTCAGTTGTTCATTTTAATTCGTATTTATATTCTCAATACCTGCCAGATACTAGGCTAGGTATTGGGACTATAAAGACGCATTAGTCATAGTCCCTTAAGAGGTAGGAATCTGTTAGAAAACACAGGGTCACACAGTCAGTGCAGCGTTATGAGGAGAGCACTGGACATCTGGGCATCTGTTGGGGAGATAAAGAAGTGGAAAAAGTAGGAGGCTTCAATGTTGAAGAGTCTTTAAAAGCTAGTCTGGGCTTCTTATCCATCACTGACACATGAACTTGATGTCCGTGACAGTGGAGCATGTCACCAGATCTGTTGTGTAGCAGCTGTGTGATATCTAGTGATACCTGTGAGCCATGGTTTTCTCATCTGCCAATGGTGGGAAAAATGATTTCTACCAGGCAGAGCATTTGCAGGATTGAACGAGATGATGTATGCATGGTGCTTGGCCCATGGAGAGGCTTAATACAGACATGCTAGGAGGACAGCAGGGGCAACCCACCATTTCTCACGTGAGCTCACATGCTTGCCTTCTAGGTTGAGGGATGTGGCTGGGGCACCGATGGTCAGCAGCCGAACGCTTGGCCTGCACTTCCACCCCCGGAATGGTCTGCACCACCAGGTCCCGGTCATGTTCGACTATTTCCACCTGTCTGTGATCTCGGTGACCGTCCATGCTGCCCTGGTGGCTCTGCAGCAGCCATTGATCAGGTATGAAGTTCAGAGGCAGCCCTGATATGTGGGAGCCACCTTCCATTGCAGGTGTGGTAGAGGGGCAGGGAGTTTTCCAGGAGAGATCAGCACACGCAAGGGAGTTTCTCTAAGGCTGCAGGTTTAAGCTTTGGGCCTCACTGAGGAGCATGCGAGAGAGGAAGGAGGAGGTCCCAAAGGGAGACTGGTGTGGAACCCGGAAGTCGAAAACCTGCAAACTATGGCTTACACCAGGAAGACTTGGAGTCTGGCTTCACATTTTTCTAACTGTGCCTTCTTTGAGAAGTCATCTAATGTTCCTGAGCCACATAATCCTCTATGACAGGAACACTAATGTGTGTCCCATCTACGTAAGATTTTAGTGAATCTCAAATGAAGATGGTACCAGGCACATGTTAGGGGCTTAGTTTTCTTTTTCTTCCCCAAGTTGTTATTTGTTCAAATGTAGAAGGTTCATTCATTTGTTTGTTTGTTTATTTACTTATATGAGATGGAGTCTTGCTCTTGTTGCCCAGGCTGGAGTACAATGGCACCACCTCGGCTTGCTGCAACCTCTGGTTCCTGGGTTTAAGCAATTCTCCTACCTCAGCCTCCCGAGTGGCTGGGATTACAGGCACCCGCCACCACGCCCAGCTAATTTTTGTATTTTTAGTAGAGACGGGGTTTCACCATGTTGGCCAGGCTGGTCTCAAACTCCTGACCTCAGGTGATCCACCCTCCTTGGCTTCTCAAAGTGCTGGGATTACAGGCGTGAGCCACCACACCCAGCCCATTCATATGGTTTGATTCTTCCCTTCAGTGAATTTTCCCAGAACATGTTCCAGATCATGTGAAGCACTGAGGTTCTATGAATGCCCCAAGTAGAGGGACAGAACTGACAGCATCTAGCATATTGTACCATGCTCACCTGTCTTCATATCTACTCCCAGCATGGCCAGATAGGTGCATGAAATAATTTCAAAACATTACACATGCACATGGGCAAAAGTTCCACGTGTGCAATGTTTATGCGTAGAATGTTGCAGCATGGTGTTTCCAAAAGGGATCTTTCCTGATTTCCCTTTTCTGAATGGCTTCTCAGTGCTGACAGTTTAGGTGCATGTACAGGAGACTAGAATTTTCACTACGTTTGCTGTTCTTGTCCTGAAGCCCCTGTTCTCTGCTGGGGTCAGAGAGTAGGAAATTAGTTACCCAATCTGACCCATGCCACGTGACCAGGAGCTGCTGCCCCTGAAGGTGTGATCCAGTGACCACGCCCATCTGCTGGGTTCCTTTCCTGGCTCCATTATTCTTTCATTCAATGGGTATTTACTGGGGGCCTGCTGTGCTCTAGGGAAAGTGTAAGTGAATATGCAGTACATTCTACTATGGAATATAAAAATACTGTGGAATACATCTTTCCCTCAGTGAGTTCACAGTCCAGTGAAGTGGGCCCATTCGCATATATGAAATTATAATATGGTAAATGCCGTTGTGGTAGAGTTTGGTAGAAAATGTTACAAGATTCACAGTTATAGAAACAAAGGACAGCAGACCTGACCTTGGGAAGTGACAGGAGACATAGAATCCAGAAAGCAACAGAGAGTACTATCATCCTGTGAAGAATATTCCCACAGGATATTCCCTAGCTGCTAATGCACTCCAAGGCTTGGCAAATCACATCCTCAACACAGAGTTAAGGGCATGATCTGTCTGCCCTCTGCGAGGTGAGGCTAGTAAGGTCAGGTCCTGGGATTAGCAGGCTGTCTCTGCTGAAGATGAGGCAAGAGAAGGTGACAGACAGCCTGGGGTAGGAAAGGCAGAGCTTCCTGCAGTGGATTCTGGGGCCCTAGGATCAAATTGTTCTTTCATCGGCTGGAGTCAAGACCATCTTATCATCTAGCCCTACCACTTACTTTTTGGGGATCCTTGGATAAGTCACCTAACTTTTCTAGCATCTGTTTCAACATATAAGTCAATGAATGAGTCAAAGGAACTTTCATTTATTTTATTTTACTTTTATTGTTTTTTTTTTTTTGAGACAGCGTCTCACTCTGTCTGTCACCCAGGCTAGAGTGCAGTGATGCAAATTCAGCTCACTGCAACCTCTGCCAACTGGGCTCAAGTGATCCTCCTGCCTCAGCTACCCAAGTAGCTGGGACTACAGGCAGGAGCCGTCATGCTTGGCTAATTTTTGTATTTTTTGTAGAGACAGGGTTTCACCAAGTTGCTCATACTGGTCTCAAATTCCTGAGGTCAAGCAATCCACACACCTCAGCCTCCCAAAGTACTAGGATTATAGGTGTGAGCCACTGCACCCAGCCGAAATTTTTTAAAAATGAGATGTGATACTAACCCGACAGGGATGATGAGGAGGTGCAATGGGATGAAGTATATAGTGCTGCATGTGGTGAAAACATGCTTGCTTCAAGGTGGGTGTCACTAAGCTTTAGCCACTTCTAGAGAGGCCATGTCTGGAAGCTCTGAGATAAATCAAGTCTGGCATCATTAAAGTCTCAGAGTGTGGCAGAAACACATATAGACCAAACTGTAATTCTGAGCAATACCTGTTAAGCAAGGGATGTGGGAACCCAGTGTAGGGTAGGAATTAAAGGGATGGTTTTTAGGATTAGACAAACCCATGTTGCAAATCTGAGCCCCCTGCTTGTTAACTCTGTTAGCTTGAGCATGTGAGTTTCAGTTTCGGTACATACCAGAAAGCTTTTAGAATGATTAAATGAGACAGCACATGTAAAAGCCTTGGCCATTCATTCAGTCGATTTTTATTTAGCACCTCCCATATTCCAAGCCCTCACCTAGGCCTCATGTCTAGCACATAATAAGCATTTAGTGAATGCTATGTAATTGTTAGCATGGGAAAGAAGCAATTCTACTTCAGGGACATGAGAGAAATCTTTCTAGAAGAAACATCCTTTGTGCTACATCCAGAGGATAAGAGACTGTGACAGTGAAAAGTGAATTTGGGATGGTAAATTGGAGTTATAGTTTAATACAGTAATTAATGGCACATTAAGGAATTGAGAATTTGTTTATTGTATAAAAAGGAGGCACTGAAGGTTTTGAGCAGTAGAGTTACCTGGTAAGATCTATGTTTTGTAAAGACTCCAGCAGCTTTGAGTTGGTTAGACTGGAAGTTACATCAGATTGGAGGCCGGTTTGGTGATGCAAAGTGTTTATGCCAACCGAAAGGGCAGAGAGCAAGTGTATTAGTCTGTTCTCACTCTGCTATGAAGAAAGAACTGACAGTGGGTAATGTATAAAGGAAAGAGGTTTAACTGACTCACAGTTCCACAGGGCTGGGGAGGCCTCAGGAAACATACAGTCATGGTGGAAGTGGAAGTAAACACATCCTTCTTCACATGCCAGCATCAAAGAGAAGTGCTGAGCAAAAGGATAAAAGGCCCTTATAAAACCATCAGATCTTGTGAGCACTCACTCACTATCACAAGAACAGCATGGAGGTAACTGCCCTCATGATTCAGTTACCTCCCACCAGATCCCTCCCACCACATGTGAGGATTATGGAAACTACAATTCAAGATGAGCTTTGGGTAGAGACATAGCCAAACCATATCATTCCACCCTAATCCTTCCCAAATCTCATGCCCTTGCGTTTCAAAACACAATCATGCCTTTCTAACAGTCCCTCAAAGTCTTAATTCATTCCAGCATTAACCCAAAAGTCCAAGTCCGAAGTCTCATCTGAGACAAGGCAAGTCCCTTCTGCCTATGAGCCTGCAAAATCAAAAGCAAGTTGGTTATTTCCTAGATACATTGGGGGTACAGGCATTGGGTAAATACAGCTGTTCCAAGTGGGAGAAGTTGGCCAAAACAAAGGGGCTACAGGCCCCATGCAAGTCCAAAATCTAATAAGGCAGTAATTAAATCTTAAAGCTCTGAAATAATCCCCTTTGACTCCATGTCTCACATCCAGGCCGTGCTGATGCAAGAGATGGGCTCCCATGGCCTTGGGTAGCTGTGCCCCTTGACTTTGCAGGGTACAGTCCCCTCTACTGGCTGCTTTCATGGGCTGATGTTGAGTGTGGCTTTTCCAGGTGCATGGTGCAAGCTATTGGTGGATCTACCATTCTGGAGTCTGGGGGATGGTGGCCCTCTTCTCATAGCTCCATTAGGCAGTGTCCCAGTGGGGACTCTGTGTGGGGGTTCTGACCCTATATTTCCCTTCTGCACTGCCCTAGCAGAGATTCTCCATGAGGGGTCTGCTCCTGCAGCAAACTTCTGCCTGGACATCCAGGAGTTTCCATATAGCCTCTGAAATCTAGGTGGATTCCCAAACCTCAATTCTTGACTTCTGTGCACCTGCAGGCTCAACATCAAGTAGAGGCTTCCAAGGCTTGAGGCTCGCACCCTCTGAAGCCGTGGGCTGAGCTATACCTTGGCCCCTTTTAGCCACAACTGGAGCAGCTGGAACACAGGGCACCAAGTCCCTAGGCTGTGCACAGCAAGGGGGCCCTGGTCCCAGGCCCTCAAAACCATTCTTTCTTCCTGGGCCTCTGGGCCTGTGATGGGAGGGGCTTCCATGAAGGTCTCTGACATGCCCTAGAGACATTTTCCCCATTTCCTTGGTGATTAACATTGGGTCCCTCATTACTTATGCAAATTTCTGCAGCAGGCTTGAGTTTCTTTCCAGAAAATGGATTTTTCTTTTTTATTGCATCATCAGGCTGCAAATTTTCCAAACTTTTGTGCTCTGCTCCCTCTTGAAAGCTTTGCTGCTTAGAAATTTCTTCCACCAGATACCCTAAATCATCTCTCTCAAGTTCAAAATTCCACAGATCTCTAGGGAAGGGGCAAAATGTTGTCTTTGCTAAAGCATAGCAAGAATCATCTTTGTTCCAGTTCCCAAGAAGTTCCTCATCTCCATCTGAGACACCTCAGCTTGGACTTCATTGCCCATATCACTATCAGCAATTTGGTTAAAACCATTCAACACGTCTCTAGAAAGTTCCAAACTTTACCACATCTTCCTGTCTTCTGAGCCCTCCAAGTTTCTAGGAAATTCCAAACTTTCTCACATTTTCCTATCTTCCTCTGAGCCCTTCAAACTGTTCCAACCTCTGCCTGTTACTCAGTTCTAAAGTCACTCCCACATTTTTGGGTGTCCTTATAGCAACACCCCACTCTCTGTGTTACCAATTTACTGTATTAGTCCATTCTTATGCTGCTGTGAAGAAATACCCAAGATTGGGTAATTAATAAAGAAAAGAGGTTTAATTGATTCACAGTTCTGCGGGGCAGAGGTGGCCTCAGGAAACTTACAATCATGGTGGAAGGGGAGGCAAACATGTCCTTCTGCACATGGCGGCAGCAAGGAGAAGTGCTGAGCAAATGGGGGAAAGCCCCTTATAAAACCATCAGATCTCATGAGAACTCACTCACTAGCAGGAGAACAGCATGGAGGTAACCACCCCCATGATTCAATTACCTCTCACTGGATCCCTCCCACAACATGTGGGTATTACAAAAACTACAATTCAAGATGAGATTTGGGTGGGGACACAGTGAAACCATATTAGCAGGCTTCACTCCCATTTTATAATGGGGTCCCTGATACTATTCTATTGAGAATTTGGGAATCTTAGAAATCTTAGTAAAATGTTTAACCTTCCGACAGAAAGAGTCTTTTGCAAGTTTGTCTGCAGCAACCTTGCTGGAGTGAAACACAGACAGAAATTCACAGTAAGGGCTAGACTTCTTCAGGGTTGGGGGTAAAAATAGAATTGTCTTCTGTCCTCTGGATTTTGCAGAAAGAACTTCTATCAGTTGGATCACAGCAGCTGGAAACAAAGGGAACCCTTTAAGTTTGTGGGAAATACCTGTCAAATAGGGCAAGCACTAGCTTTTCCAGAAAAGCAGTTTTTCACAGCATCAGTTAAACACAATTATCATGAAATAGGTGTGAAATTAACATTTAACCTCCAAAACCCCTTAGCCTTCACTAAAACAAGCTGAAGCAAAGAATCCAATTTTTAACCCCCAAATGGATATGATTGGATTTCACTTGAGGGATTCAGATCCACCAGAAAAGCTAATTAAGACCACCCTTAAGTAAATAACAAGTTATTTTAGTTATTAATTTGCAGTCTGTCCAGTGAATGTGCCAGGAGTATTCACATAGACACTTTATACTTTTCTTCTGGAATGTTCCTTCTATCCATCTTATAGCTAAATTAGAGAGTTGCTTCAACTTGCAATTGAAAACAAATCAGAACAATGATTCTATTTTATTATATGTGTGGTATTAGCAACAGATAGCTCCTAGCATTGATGGAAGCCTTGCTGCTTGCCAGACACTGTACTGGAAGCTGCCTCTGGCTTATCCCATGGGACCCCAACAACCACCAAATGGCTAGGGTGCTGGTATCAAACCTTCTGACAGGGAGAAGCAGAGTTAGGGAGATTAAAAACTTGCCTCAGGTCACACAGCCTTTAGGGAGTTGAACCCTGAGAGGCTGGATTTATTGCCCCCTCACTGCTTGACCATACTCTGAGGATCATCTCTGGACACATTCTTTTCACCTCGTTTGCATCATAAATTGCTCTCCTGCACACACTGGCCTGAGTTTTCCTGCATTGTATTACATCTATTGGTTTCCTTTGCTCTTTAGACAAATGTCTTTAAGGTGAAGGCTGTGCCTCAATCATCTTATCATCGTAGCACCTAACCCACTGCCTGGCATATGGTATGGGCCTAATAAATATTTGAATAAATGAATTAAACATAAATATAATGCTAAATTTATTTTCCTGTCAATATTTTAAGCAGGAACCTGGATCTCTTGGATTAAGCCCTTCCACAAATGTTTCTTGAGCACCCATAGTGAAGATGATGAAGATGATGTCACCTGGGGCTATTTATTGTCAAGACCCTCTTTGCCATCAGAGACTTTAAATTTTACTGAGGGACTAAAACATGCCTAGAATATAGTATCCACAATATGACAAAACATCCATTAGAAAAGAAATGAAACAGAAGAGATCTAAAAAAGAATATGAGTATAAGTGAACATTACTGGTATATCAATTGATGAAAATCAAACAGGTAAAGATAGAGGAAGATGATCATAAACTCAAATATGATAAATTTGAATAATCACACATCTTTTCCTAATCTCCTTTGATCCTGAAATTGATCATTGCCATCACAATATGTCCATTAATCTTTGGATTGCAGAGCTGGGCAGGAACTGCACATTTGTGAGCTGAGCAGGTTATGGTCTTCCCAATTAGCGTTGACACAGCGAGTGCTTTCTGGCTTATGACAGTCTTTGACATCGTATTAGACTCTCATGCGGATCATGGAGGAAGATGTTTTATGCTTTTCCACAGAAGAAAAGAGGTCCAGGGAGGGAGGAGTTGGTGGAAGGAGCAGGGACAGGACTCAGACCTTGTCTGGTCAGAGTTGCCCCTGAAATTTTCGGAGCCCATGCCACCTTCCCCTCTAGTGATATAAGCTTGGAGCTCTGCTTCAGTGTTTCTTACAGGTATGTTGTTGGCATTTAGGGTGGGCATTTACATGCACACATTGTAGGATGTGTATCATCATTGACTTTCAAGCTTACGTGCCAGTTGTACCCTCTTTATCATCAAAATATCCACAAATGTCACATGCAAACACTCCCTAGGGGGTGAACTACTCCTAAATGACTTATCCCAAATGCTTCACAGGAACACTCCTCAAAGGGGCTGAGTTAATGGCACCATCACTTTCTTTACCTCCTTTTTCACCCTTTCAATTATCTTTTGTTTAGTTTTACTCGTCCAGGAAGAGGCTCCTGGCTTGGTAAAGGTGGCCCAGACACCGGACAAGAACAGTCTATCATTTCTCTGGAAAACTTGGTCTTTGGAGCTGGGTACTGCAAGCCGACTTCCTCAGAGGTAAGGCCTGTGTGGGGCAGTTGCTTCAAAACTTTCAAACTTTACTTTGCAGAGTGTATGTTCTATGAGATTCATGCTTCTTTGAAACATCCCCTTCAGAGATTTTTGCTAATTTGACCCTTCCTTTCACCATCTTCCCACCCCTTGTTTTTATCACTACAAGCTCTATCAGACATATTTCTAAGGCCAAGCCCTGGGATAGATACAGGGAATATGGTCTTCATATGATACTTGTTATATGTGGTCTCTTGGAAGAATATGGTTCTCTGTAGGTCAGGAGGCTGTGCTGTGAGGGGGCCACTCAGACTATGTGATAACGTTGAAGGCCATGTCTGGTTTCAAAACCTGGCTCCCGCTTTCATTTGTGCACTCTCTGAACATCAGTTTTCCCACCTGTAGAGTGGGCTCCCCAATAGCTAATAATCTCATGGAGTGTTATATGTACCCAAATGTTGTAATAAATGTAAAGTTCCTAGCCCGGTATCCAATACTCACTAGCTGCTAACTAAATATGCATATCCTGTCCTTCCCCTTGTTCTTTTATCCTAGGAAACATCCCCTGCTCTTCTGTGATGTGCAGGGCTTTAACCACACAGGGTATGATTCTGCTCATATTTCTCCCAAGCCAGTATATGCTATGTTTTTATTAGTGGCCTACTCATAAATAAACAGCCTGTATTATTCAGGGTTCTCCAGAGAAACAGGACCAATACAGCCAATAGAACACACACACACACACACACACACACACACACACACACACACACACACACACAAAGAGATTTATCATAAGTAATTGACTCACATGATTTTGAAGGCTGAGAAGCCCCCAAATCTTCAGTCAGCAAGCTGGAGACCCAAGAGTGCAGGTGGTATCATTCCAGTCCAAGGCTAAAGGCCTCAGAACCAGGAAAGCTAGTGTTATAAGGCCCCTTGCAAGTCTAAGTCCAAAGGCAGGAGAAAACTGATGTCCCAGATCAAAGACAATAAATAAGAGAGACAGTTTTCTCTCACTCAGTCTTTTTGTCCTATTCAGGCCCTCAATGGATTGGATAAGGCCTATTCATGTTGGAGAGGGCTATCTGCTTTATTCAATTGACCAGTTCATCCAGACATACCCTCACAGGCTTACCTAGAATAATGTTCAACCAAACGTCTGGGCACCTTGTGGCCCAAGTAAGATGACACGTAAAAGTAACTGTCACATTAATAGTAACTATCACTACTAATTTCTGAGTAGCCCACATTATAAGTGTGATAAACTGTCCATGCCCAGTCAGCCCCGCAAAAGAGGTGTTCTATCCTCCTATACAGTCAGGCTCTGTGCACAGACTGTTCAGAATATTAGGTAATGCACTCAGCTGGCTCTCCTGTGATGTTATCTTTGCTAGCTCTGAGACCCAGCCAGGAGGTCTGGTGGCAAAAGCTGCCCAACTCATGTCTTCATCTTGTCCAAGCTGCTGTGTCACATGATTTTATGGTCCTGAGAAGCAAAGAAAAGAGTTGTCAAGAACCTGCTGAGGGGACCTGAAGCCAGAATGGGGTTCTGTGCCATGGAAGGAGCAGATTTTAGAGCCAAATAAGACCAGTTCCAGGGTAGACTCCGGTGACTTGTAGATGCAGAACTTCAGTCAACCACTGAGCTTCTCAGAACCTGACGTCCTTAGCACTGACGCAGGGCCCAGCACATAGGAAGTGAATGAGTAAGAAAGCGAGTGGAAAGCAGTGAGCCCTGTAGCATGTCATTGGACTGTCCCTGCTGTGGGTCCTTTGCTACAGGACCATCACTGAGGCAAAGCTCCCCGTGGTCGGCCGAAGCCTTTGCTGTGACTACATCACAGTTCAGCTTCTCCCTATGTCCAGTCTTCCTTCCTTCAGCCCCCACGTGGGCTGGCACCCAGAGTTTCAGTAGACCCCATTGTAGAGACTGAAGAGTCTCAGAGCCAGTGCTGGCCCTCAGAACGTCAGAATCTACTGCCTGAAAATCTTCCACTCAAACTCTGTTTTCCAGGGAATGTGGCCTGGGGCGTTAGGGAATGTCAGTGGTCACAGATCAATTCAAAACACTTTCAACACTCATCTCCCAAGCCAAGGGCCTTTGCTGAGGCTGCCACAGGAGGTTGTGAAGATGATTATGAGAAGGTTTCTGTCCTGAGGGACTCTGATGTGCAACTCCCTGTACACCCTCCAAGACTTTGTCAGGTGCCACCACTAATATGAAAGTACTCTCTGATTTCTTAAAAAGAAATACTTTCTCTTCAATTCTCTAGGCATTTCTGTCCTTCCTCCACTGGGCTCTGAGTGGCTGGGAATAGAAACCAACTCATTCAGCTCCCCATCCCTAGGGCCAGCACCATGCCTGCCATACTCAGTGCTCAATAAAAGTGTGGGGAATGAATGATACAAATGTGTGAATCATATTCATGTAGGAAGCTGAGAAGCAAGACACTGAGGCCACACAGACCATTCATTGCTTCACACGGCAGGAGCCAGTAACCAAATGGGAGGCAGCTGTGGAGTGAGGGGCATCTCTGCTGACGTGTGTGTGCCCAGCTCAGAACGTTAGACCTGGTATGAAGTGGGATGGAATGGCACACATGATAGACCATTTCAGTCCACCAGACTCTGTTACAAATGACATATCTGAGCACGGCCCAGCCAAATTTCTATCTCGGAGACTGTTACAATGCGGTAGAAAGCAGACTCTGGTTACAAATGCCTCCTATGATAAATGCTATGTGGCTTGGGGGAACTCATTCACTCTTGTGGAAACTTAGTTTTCTTTTCTTTTCTTTTTATACTTTAAGTTCTAGGGTACATGTGCACAATGTGCAGGTTTGTTACATATGTATACATGTGCCATGTTGGTGTGCTACACCCATTAATTCGTCATTTACACTAGGTATATCTCCTAATGCTATCCCTCCCCCCTCCCCCACCCCATGACAGGCCCTGGTGTGTGATGTTCCCCTTCCTGTGTCCAAGTGTTCTCATTGTTCAATTCCTACCTATGAGTGAGAACATGCGGTGTTTGGTTTTTTGTCCTTGCAATAGTTTGCTAAGAATGATGGTTTCCAGCTTCATCCATGTCCCTACAAAGGACAGGAACTCATCCTTTTTTATGGCTGCATAGTATTCCATGGTGTATGTGTTCCACATTTTCTTAATCCAGTCTATCATTGATGGACATTTGGGTTGGTTCCAAGTCTTTGCTATTGTGAATAGTGCCGCAGTGAACATACATGTGCATGTGTCTTTATAGCAGCATGATTTATAATCCTTTGGGTATATACCCAGTAATGGGATGGCTGGGTCAAATGGTATTTCTAGTTCTAGATCCTTGAGGAATTGCCACACTGTCTTCCACAAATGTTGAACTAGTTAAACTAAAGAGCTTCTGCACAGCAAAAGAAACTACCATCAGAGTGAACAGGCAACCTACAGAATGGGAGAAAAATTTTGCAATCTACTCATCTGACAAAGGGCTAAAATCCAGAATCTACAAAGAACTCAAACAAATTTACAAGAAAAAAACAACCCCATCAACAAGTGGGTGAAGGATATGAACAGACACTTCTCAAAAGAAGACATTTATGCAGCCAATAGACACATGAAAAAATGCTCATCATCACTGGCCATCAGAGAAATGCAAATCAAAACCACAATGAAATACCATCTCACACCAGTTAGAATTGCACTCATTAAAAAGTCAGGAAACAACAGGTGCTGGAGAGGATGTGGAGAAACAGGAACACTTTTACACTGTTGGTGGGACTGGGAAACTTAGTTTTCTTAACTGTGAAATGGGATCACATCTACCTTCTAGGGAGGATTTCAGAAGTTAATATGTATAAAAACATCACAGAAATAGACTTAGGCCCATGATACAGTATAGCATTTTCTTTTTATTTCTCTTCTTGGCTATTTTTGGGGATGTGTGTCAAAGCAGACATCCCTGTCTTTGACCAGACTCAGATAAAATGGTTTATTTGTGAGTGCTTAGCTTTGAACTTGCTCATGGAGTTTAGCTCAATGGGTTATTTTCAGGACTTGATTCTTTTCCTGTGCATTTTCCATTTGAGTCCCATCCAATTATGCAGATTCAGTGCTGTGCACCCACCCTGTGCCTTCCCACCAGACAAGTGCTGCCAAGCAAAGAATAAAATCCACTCCCTCCACCTCCCCTGGGAGCTTTGTATCCAAATCCCTGAGAAGCCCAGCGCATTAACAAATAACATTGGAATCCGCACAGATTGTAGCATCAGCTGGAAGGATTAGAGAACAGGTGTTCCCTTCAAAATAAGCCTTTCCTTGCAGAGACATTTGCAAAACTGGACTTTCATAGCAATACGAGCTGATTGGCGTAAAAAATCACAGGGAGGTAAGGGTTGCTGAGACAGGCCATGTCTTTTTCTCATTAGCCCTGGCCCCTCTCCCCTCGTGGCCTCTTTTCTTTCCTACAGCACCTTTGACATCTAGACATTCCACATTTAGAGTTGGTGGAGCAAGCGCTTATGTTCCCTCTGCATCTGAAACCAGCAGCTTCACACTAGGGGAATTATTTACCCTCTTTGACTCTTGGCTTATCAGTCAAAGGATATACTAATGCCTGGCTCACAGGGTTGCTGAGAGGATTAAATGAAATAAGCTTATAAAGGCCTTGAGCATACAGCCTGACACAAACATGCCCAGTAAAAACCTCCTGCTGATATTATTTTTTTCTGTCATTTATCCACATAATTAAATCAAATCTTCCTCCAAGAGCTTCAATGCAGCCTTGTGGTGAGACATTGAGTGAAGAGTCTGCCACGTGGTTTTCCTCAGTGCCAACCTGCTGTGTGACCTTGGGCCAGGCACCTACCCTTCTGGGTCTCAGTTTCTCAAGGTATAGAGAGATAATTGGATATGATCATCCCCGAGGCCTCCTTTAGCCTTTTGTGTGCTGCTTTTACTGTGATATCCCTGACACTGCCTGGTCCAGTTGGGGGCAGCTGGCACATGCTCGATGTATTAGTTTCTCCCGAGTAACAGAACCAATAAGTTGTATATGTGTGTTTGTGAATGTGTATGTGTGTGTATATTTTAGATTTTAAGAAATTGGGTCATGCACTTGTGGAGGCTGGCAAGTCTAAAGTCTACAGGGTAGGCTGGCAGGCTGGAGACCCAGGGAAGAGTTGCCATCCAAGTTGAATGCAGTCTGCTGGCAGAATTTCTTTTTCTTTGGGGAAAGTCAGTCTTTTTCTACTGAAAGGTCTTCAACTGACTGAACAGGGCCCACCCATACGACTGAGGGTTATCTGCTTTACTCAAAGTCTAATGAATTAAATATTAATTTCCTCTAAAAGATGCCTTCACAGAAACATCTGTAATGTTGGACCAAATACCTGGGTTTTGTGAACTGGCAAGGTTGAGACATAAATAGCCATCACAGCTGATGAATACTCAGGCTCTGACAGACCGTCATTAAAGATCAAGGATTCAGGCTGGGCACTGTGGCTCACGCCTGTAGTCCCAGCACTTTGGGAGGCCGAGGCGGGCAGATCACCAAAGGTCAGGAGTTCAAGAACAGCCTGGCCAACATGGAGAAACCCCGTCTCTACTAAAAATACAAAAATTAGCTGGATGTGTTGGCGGGCATCTGTAATCCCAGCTACTCAGGAGGCTGAGGCAGAAGAATCACTTGAACCCTGGAGGCGGAGGTTGCAGTGAGCTGAGATTGTACCACTGCACTCCAGCCTGGGTGACAGAGTGAAACTCTGTCTCCAACAAAAAAAAAAAAAAAAAAAAAAAATCAAGGATCCAGTTACTCAGAGTGAGGTGCACCCTGTTCTTCCCCAAGGAAGGCTGCACACCACTTTTCTTCTCACTGACATAAGGAGGGCTGTTCCGTCATCCGACGGAGGAATGGCAGCCTGGTGGGAAGACACGGACTTTAGGGAGATTTCTTTGTCTTCAGATCTCCATTTCCTTGGGCAGAGGCTTTAGTACATGTGCTCATTTATTTATCTATCAGCCATTTATTTAGCCCCTACTGTGTGCTAGGATCTGTGAGCTGCAGGGACTAAGACAATGAATAAAACTCAGTGCCAACCCTTAATGGATCCTGTGATCCATTCACCATGTTGTACATGAAACAAAGGAATAATTAAAAATTACACATTTCACCATAGTGTGAAAAGCATGTTATTGATCATTTCGAATCACATTTTTGAACATCTACTTTACATCAAATATGCTGGTAAGCCACTTATGTGCATGGACTTCTTCAATTCACAGAATGGCCCTTTCATACTTCCTTTTACAAATGAAGACATTGAGACTGGGAGAGTTTAAGTATGTCACTGCTGCCACACAGCTGAGCAGGGACCAAGCTGGAGTTTTAAATCAGTGAGCCTGATGCCATCTCCTCATCCCCATCATTAACCATGATGTGAATGTTTAACCAAAGAAGGTTGTGATACCTTTCGTCCTTCTTTGGAAGGATGTGATAATATTCTAGTGTGTATGTGGGGATGTGTGTGTGTGTGTGTGTGTGTGTGTGTATGTGTGTGTGTTCTTTATCCATTTATTCATTGATGGACATTTAAGTGGTTTCCATATTTTGGCTTTTGTGAATAATGCGCCAATGAACGTGGGAGTGCCAATTTCTCTTGGAAATCCTGATTTCAAATATGTTGGATATATATCCAGAAGTGGGACTCTAGACTCTAAGCTCCACCAGAGCAGGGTGCGTTTCTGATTTATTTACCTATGTATGCCTGGCACGTGACATATGGCCACGAAGCCTTTGTTGAGTAAATGAGTGTTGGATGCCTTGGAATCTGAGAACATCTGAACGCAGAAGAACAAAGGAACTTACAGATAGAGTGTCCGGCATTTGACTTTCCCAACAGACCTGTTTCCAGCCTGCACATTGAGCCTCCCAGTTCCTTGGCTCACCCGTGGAGATCATAGGTTTGGCCTTGCAGTGGGGAGCACCTTTCTCTGAGATGAGTGTGCTGGCCAACAAAGTGAAATCCTCCTTCCTTTGTTTTACTTAGAAGATGGTTTCCCAGACAGAGGAGTGCATGTCATTGAGAAAACGTACAAGGTTGCCACTCTGAAGCTGTCTTTAAGTCGAATTGCAGAGAATCGTAGAACAGTATCTTCCTCAGAGTGGGTAATGCTCACACTGGACAAGAGGATGTGCTTAGCTTTATAAGGCTCCCACCATGCCGAGCCTTGTGCCATGACAGCCCCTTCTCCTCTGATGGGAGGTGTGTGTCTGGCAGGGCAGGGTGGGGAGGGGGAAACTGAGGCACAGAGCTGCCTCTCAGGCAGAAATCTTATTTCTTCTAAGTAGGCTCTTCTTCTTATTCTCTTATACCCATTTCTATTGGATTCTTTGCACTTTGCCCTTGCTTTGAATATGCCCTTGCTTGTTACTGTGAACACCCTCATATTCTTTTCATGAGGATGTAGTCACATACGTAAGACACAGACATGCATAATTATCATTAAACATGACATTATGTTGTCTCTAGACAGGACATCTCTTTGAGCAGAGATACTGCCATTGGTTTATTCACTAATCAAACATTAATCAAGCATTAACTCTGTCTCAGGCACTGTGCAAGGGGTTTGTGATGCAGCAATGGAAATGACAAGTCTTCATCCCAGCCTGGTGTAGCATCTTCATTTCTAGAGCCCTTGGTGCTCATTAGTTTCTGACACATTGTGGGTGTCAGTCAGTGCTGAGTCAATAAGTGAGGTGAGGAGATAGAGACTTACATCTTCTTATATCTACAATGAGTGGCCACTGTAGATGTAGCCATCAGACATAATAGGCACAGTGGCTAGGGTCTACAGTACTTTTTAAGGACCAAAGGAAAGTTTTGATTTCTTTTAAAATCAGAAAAAGATAAGGAATATGGTCCAGTCTGAATTATAGTCACCTTTATACAAACAGGTGCAAAAATACAATTTTAAATACTTGTTTTATGGATGAAGGAGGCCTATGGAGGCAAAGGTGCCTGGGGCCCACAAAAGTCATAATTCAGCTCTGAGAGCAATTATTATTATCCCTCATTATCGTCTCCTGATTATAGACATAGAAAAACTGAGCCCAGTGAGCCTGGAGGACTTCCCCAAGGCTTGAAGATGTGAACCTAGAACTGAGTCCTCTCTGGCCCCAGGCTTTACTAACACTCATTGCAGCAGCATGTCTGCCTATACACGGAGTGTGCCACAAGGACATTTGTACACTGATGAAGTAGCTGAATACAAGAGGCGCCACTGTTTGACATTTTTAAATAATATGCTTTAAGGTTAACTACCTAGAGAAGGACCAAAGTTACCAGAAAAAAATGTTTTTCAGGTTCATCCCTGTGGTTACATGTGGCAGGATTTCATTCTTTATTAAGACAGAATAATATTCCAGTGTGTATGTATATACAGATATGTTTTTCTTCATCCACTCATTCACTGATAGACATGTAACTTGTTTCCATATCTTAGCTATTGTGAATGATGCTGCAATGAACAAGGGAGTGCAGATTTCTCTTGGAGATCCTGATTTCAAATATTTTGGATATATATTCAGAAATGGGATTTCTGGATCACATAATAATTATATTTTTAGCAATTTGAGAAGCCGCCATATTGTTTTTCATAGTGGCTGCACTATTCTACATTTCTATCAATGTTGTACAATGATTCAAATTTCTCCATGTTCTTTTCAATACTTATCTTTTATACTGTTGTCAACACATCTTTTTTTTACAAGATAAGTGTTGACAAGTTTAATTCATTTGAGTCTTTTAATGCAAAAGTCAGCAGTATTGCTTACTTATACACCATCCTTTTTATTAATGAAAATTGCCTTGTTCCATGTCATCAGCCTTCTGATGCCTTGCTCCTTACCAGTATTTCTAGGCATGATGAGAGATGTCACGTGATGACAATGAGGTGTGAATTGATATCTCATTTTGTTTTTTATTTGCACTTCCTTAATAATTAGTGATGCTGAGTATCATTTCATATGCCCATTTGCCATTTGTATGTCTTCTTTGGATAAATGACTATTCAAGTCCTTTGCCAATTTTAAAAATCAAGTTTATTTATTTATTTATTTGTTGTTGTTGTTGTTGAATTGTAGGAGTTCCTTATGTATTTTGGATATTAACCCCTTATTGGATATGTGGTTTGCAAATATTTTTCTTCCATTCTGCAGGTTGCATTTTCACTCTGTTGATTGTTTCCTTTGCAGTGCAGATACTTTTTAGTTTTGTGTAGTCCTGCTCATCTATTTTTGCTTTCCTTGCTGTTCATTTGGTGTCATATCCAAGAAATCATTGCCAAGATTAATGTCATGAAGCATTCCCCTTATGTTTTCTTCTAGGAGTTTTACAGTTTTGGGTCTGACGTTTAAGTGTTTAATCCATTTGAGTTGATTGTTGTATATGGTGTAAGATATTGGTACAATGTCATTCTTTTATGTGTGGATATCCAGTTTTCCCATCATCATTTGTTGCGGAGGCAGCCATTTTCCCATTGTGTGCTCTTAACACCTTATCCAAGATCAGTTGTATATGAGTTGGTTCATTTCTTAGTTTTCTATTATTATGTTAAAACCACTTTATTGAGGTATGAGTGGCATAAAACCTATACATATTTAGCGTCTACAATTTGGTGAGTTTAGATGGGCTTGCAATTTGATTCAGTTGGTCTATATATCTGCTTTTATGCTGTTACCATACTGTTTTAATTACTGTAGCTCTGCAATATATTTTGAAATCAGGAAGTGTGATGCCTGCAGCTTTGTACTTCTTTCTCAAGTTTGCTTTGGCTATTTGAGATCATTTGTAATTCCATATGAATTTTAGGACTATGCTCAGTGACATCAACTAGTCACAGAACAACAAATACTACAGGATTCCACTCATAGGAGGTATCTAATATAGTCAAGCTCATAGAAAAAGATAGTATAATAGTGGTTGACAGTGGTGAAGAGGAAAGTGGGAGGTTGCTGTTCAATGGGTGTAAAATTTTAGTTATATGGGATGGATAAATTCTAGATATCTGCTGTACAACATTGTGCCTATATTAAAAATACTGTATTGAACACTTACAATTTTGTTAAGAGGATAGATTTCAAATTAAAAGTTTTTACTGGCATTTTAAAAAATGAAATAAAAAATAAGTTACCAAGAAAACATAAAAACACAAGTTATTTAAAGAAAAAAGTTTTATAGTTAAAAAACTGTACTTCATAACTTTTACTATTTTAAGAATTAAGATGTCAAGCACTTTTGCACTTTCCCCCATTAAAATTACAAAATTTTAAAATTTATCTTTTAAATGATTGCTTGATTTAATAAAATCCTGCAAGATAAATACAAGTTGCCATACCATACACACACTAAGGGGGGCTTTGAGTAAATGGTGCATTACATCAATCTGCATATGAATCCAACATATTTCCACAGTTCATTTTCATGAATCATATAAATCAATAAAAATGGTTCTTTAATGCAAAGGTCTACAGTATTGCTAAATTATAGACCACCCTAGTTTATTACTGAAAATTGCCTTGTTCCACATTGTCTGCCTTCTGAAGCCATGCTCCACACCAGTATTTCTGGGCATGATGGAGATGTCACATGGTGACAATGAGGCACTGGAATTCCTTCCCAGACAGTCCAGGGCTCCCCCCCACTATGTCCTTGGTGCCCAGCATGGCTCATGGTGCATGACAGACATGAAGTAGATACATACTGAGTGAGTACAAGGTGACAGAGCAGCAGGGCATAGAGCAAGAATAGTGGCCTTGGAGTAAGGAAACCTGGTAGGGCTAATCTTGGGTTTTCCCATGGATTAACTGTGAGAGCTTGAGTGAGCCGTTTAACCATTCAGATCCTTTGTTTCTTCTTCTTTTCTTAATGGGAAGATGAAATCTTCTTAACCTATAAGATTTGTCTGGGACTCAGGAAGGGTAAGGTATTTCCCCTTTGGGGAATCCCTTTCTCCCCACCCTCTTTTTTCTCCTTTCCCCATTCTTCCACCCAGGGATGCCGTGATGGTGACATTACAAACCCATGGATCTTGTAACATAAGTATGTTAGGTAAATGTAGTGAGCATTTATTTATGTTTGGCTCTCGGCTGGATATTTTTAATATGCCTCCTCACACCTTCCTGAATATACTCACATTATATAGTTGAAGAAACTAGAGCTCTAATAACTTAAGCAAATTGGCCAGGATCAGACAGCTCCTGGCAGGGTTGGATGTGACTCCAGATCTGACTGTGTCCAACACTTGTCTTTTGTCCACTTTGAGTCACTTTTCACCTGCTCACCTCCTTTCATATTCCTGGTAAGTTGGAAGCCATATCTGTCACATTCTGCACCTAGCACGGAGTCATCAGAGAAATAGGTATCTCCTTAATAAAATGTTATATTAGTGTTTGCTCTTTTTTGCAGTTAGTGAAGCTGAGTCTAAGCCATTTATTTTGCACTGATATGATGTGGACAACGGTTATGTTAAACCCCTCAGGTGTGAGGATGAGTGTGTTGGTGGTGAACAAGTCTGCCTGGTCCCTACTCTCACGGAGTTTACAAATTAGCTATTTAAAAAAGTCTTGAGGACAGGAGCAGTGGCTCACACCTGTAATCCCAGCACTTTGGGAGGTTGAGGTAGGCAAATTGCTTGAGTTCAGGAGTTTGAGACCAGCCTGGCCAACAAGACAAAACCCTGTATCTACTAAAAATATTAAAGTTAGTTGGGTGTGGTGGCATGAACCTGTAGTCCCAGCAGCACTGGGAGGCTGAGGCAGGAGAATTGCTTGAACCCCGTTGCAGTGAGCTGAGATTGCACCACTACACTCCAGCCTGGGTGACAGAGCAAGACTCCATCTCAAAATAAATAAATACTAAACAAATATAAAACAAAATAAAAATAAAATAATAAAATAAATTAGAAATTCTTGAAAAAGTAACTTCATGTAACCTGCACATGAAGAGCCAAGCAACAAAGCAGATTTTAAAACTTTGAATGTGTTTACTAGGAGACCAGAAACAGATAGATTGACAGCCTAATCAGTTTTTTAAACAAAATTATATTGTCAAGGAAACTACCAACTTGGACTCCAAGAATATTTGACTCTTTAAGACTGTTATCAACCCTTTGGCCTCTGGTGCTGTAGGGCAAGAGGTAGGCTTTAAAAAACATATAGTCCCCAAAGTGTCATGTTCCCACTGTCTACCTCAGAACATTCCAATAAGAATAAGAATAATGGTGAACAGTCTCCTAGAAGGAGACTCAGCGGGCACAGCTTACGTGAGTCCAGGGGCATGGAACAAGGAATTCCAACCAGCAGCAGAATTTGTGTCTAACCATGAGTCCATTCCCAGCTGCAGTAGAGGGCTTTCAATTTGCCTTCCCAGCAGCATTTGAGAACTACTGTAGACCCATGGCTGCTATGAGTGAGGCTTTTCTCTATTCCTCCTAATGGGAGTGATTTTGTCAGTTATCCTCTTATTTTTCTAGTATTGTACATTCTGAAGGGTAGTGAATTTATATGTCCAGGTCTTAGGTTGTTGGACGTAAAAGAGTCACCTCCAGACCTAATGCCAACCCAGCACCCATCACTCAGGGATTCTGCAGTTTCAGTATGGAGCTGGGACTTCATGAGCCTAGGGCTGCTCCCCTTGAATGTGGTTACTCTAGGTGTGGAAAAAGAGTGAAATAGATTGTGGCTGATCAGAATGACCGTGGTGGCAGAGATTGGCTGTATTCCCATTTCATCTTTACATGCACAATTGAAGACCCATTTCTGAGCCTTTCTTGTAGTTAGTTTGGGGTCATGTGTCTGGACTCTAGCCAGTGGATACATATCTCATCCCTGAAAAATATTTTATGTGCTACTCTCCACCTCTTTCTGTGGTGCCTTTGGAAGGTTCTATGGTTTGGCTGTGTGTCCACACCCGAATCTCACTTTGAATTGTAATAATCCCAAAGTGTCAAGGGCAGGTCCAGGTGGAGATAATTGAACCATGAGGGTGGCTTCCTCCATGCTGTTCTTGTGATAGTGAGTGAGTGCTCACGAGAGCTGATGGTTTTATAAGGGTCTTCCCCGTTCTCTCAGCACTCATTCTCTCTCCTGTCACCCTGAGAAGAGGTGCCATTTGCCATGATTGTAAGTTTCTTGAGGCCTCCCCAGCCATGTGAAACTGGGAGTCAATTAAACCTCTTTCCTTTCTCAATTACCCAGTCTCGGGCAGTTCTTTATAGCAGCATGAGAACAGACTAATACAGAAGGTGTGTGTTAAAGGTGGCAGCATCACAAAATGGAAGGGCTGAAACACTGACTCCCTGCTTTTCGTAAAACTGCCCACAAAGGCTGCCTTTTCCACAGTGATAACTCAGCTTTTGTGTTGTTACACACTGAGAGTTTAGGGTCGTTTGTTACTTCAGCACTGTCTAACCTACTGTGACTATAACTATGGGTCTCTGGGGAAAGGCGCCCTAGATGAAAGGACCATATTTATTGAAGACTGGGAGTCTGATGTGCAAGACATCATTAACATCTGTATTATAGTCTTGAGACTGTGTATGCTTTGTGAGCTTTAATGGGAGATGGGTCAGATCATAGAAGGTGTCCAATGCCACGCCCAGACACACTTGGAGATGAGTCCTTCAGACTCAGGTTCTAGCAGGCCCCATGAAGAAGGTGCCAAAGAGTAGGACACAGCAGGGGCAATGCATGGAGGGAAGATGCAATGGTGTAAACCTCATAAAACTCCTTAAATGACTGCTCTTAGTAATGAAGACAGCCAGAAACTGACCAAACAGCATTGTGCTGACAGCATTGCCGATTTCCATGTGAGTGTGGTGTACACACGCACACACACACACACACACGTGTGAGTGTTCATATAGGGAAACACGGGCGCTTCGCAGGAGGGATAAAGCAGTCAATGCAAAAGCGGCTGTGCTCTGTTTGGAACCCAATCAGCAGACTAACAGGTTACTTCATACCTATTTACTGGATACCCCTGCTTCTCTGTCCCCAGTCTGAAATTGTAGCTGGCCCAGGAAGAACAGATGCTGCAGCCGGATGGCTGGAGAGAATCCTGGGAACCAGGGGGCATCAGGGCCTTGCACTGCATTGCAGGCAGCGCTTGCAAGCCTTGCTGTCCTCTTCCTGTCTTCCTCCTTTTCCTAAGTCCCATGCTGGCCTGATGATACTGCTTGAGGTTTAAGAGGAAGAAAAGTCAATTCCGAAGAGCAACCAGAAGTTGTGGGGTATATGACATACACTCCCAGTAAGCCGGCTCAGGGGAATCTGTCGTTCAGCTCAGCCTGTGAAACCTACCTTGTCAAACACAGGTCCGCTCCCCACCAACATATGTCTCTCAAGCTCCACACCCTCAAAGATCTCCTTGTATTCTTTAACATAGGAATAAACATCAGAAGTGCAACAAATTTGCACTTCTTAGCAGCTCAGTAGTGGTAAACAACCTTGAATATGGTGTCAGGGAATAGGCAGAAAACACCCGCTCCTGCAGCTGGGGGTGATGCAATAGTTATTAACCAGGAGTGCACATCACAATCCTCTGGGGAGTCTCTTAAATTATGCAAACCTCAGCCCTACACCTAAAGATTCCGATTCAGCCCAGCGAGAGTGAAGTTTGGATAGCAGTAAAAAAAAATATTACCCCATGATTCTGATGTCTACCTCCAACTGAGGTCTCTTGGAATGGTCCAAAAGGGATAGACTTGGGAGTCAAACACGTAGGTCCAAATTTAGTCCTAGTCACCCTAGTCCTTGATTTCATCATTTAACCTCTTTGAGCTACAGACAATGCACACATAAAGTGCCCAAGACAGGGTCAGAATGCAGTCACATGCATGGCTCAGAAACGGATGCTTTTCTGTGTGTATGAAGAAGGCAGTAGAAGCTATAATGTACAACCTTCTGCATATTCTATTAGGTTGCCTTGATAGCAGGATTAAAGATGTACTGCAGAGACATATGACAATATGCAGTTATTTTTTCATTGCAGTTCACCTTGCAATTATGCAAGATGAATAAGTTCTAGAAATCTGTTGTACAACATAATGCCTAGAGCTAACAATACTGTATTGTACACTTAAAAATTTGTTGAGAGAGCAGACCTCATATTAAGTGGTCTTACCAAAAAACAACTACCACCACCACCACCAAAAAAAAAAAAAAAAAAAAAAAAGAGAGACAAAATTAAAACACACCAGAAAGCACAAGGAAACTTCTAGATGTGATGGATGTGACTGTTTCCTTGATTGGGGTGATGGTGTCATGAACATGTGCATATGCCCAGACTCACCAAACTGTATACATTAAGCTTGTGCAGTTTTTGTATGTCAGTTATACCCCAATAAAGCTATCAATAATAAATTTAAGAAAACAAGTAACAGGACTCTCATAGCATGCCAAACGTAGGAGCAGTTGTATGCCTGGAGTTTTGCTAATTGGAGTAAAAAATTCTGGATCCAAGGCAGGTCCCAGCAGGGCTGGATAGGATCCTATTCATGAATGTCCCTACTAATGTGCCATTGTCAACTGCGTGGGCTGCCCTTGATTTGCAGATTCATTTTGTATTTAATTATTTCGCTCCACCACTCCCAAATAGCTGACTTTGTTATTATTTCCCAGAAAACACTTTTAAAGAGGATAATTGGTTTGACTAGGGCAAAGATGAGCATCCATATTTGAGCAGAGGTTTTAGCAACAGCCATGTCAAAGGTCACTGGACATCCTAGGGATTAGCTGCCCTTGGGTCACGTGCCTGCCCTGATCTGATCAGTTGTGAACTTGGGAGCTGGGGCCACATGGAAAAGAACATATCTTTCCTGCTGAAGGCAGGACAGTTTGTCATGGAGCATGCTCTGGAGAGGCCAGGCTCTGTATAGAAAGCCCTGAGTTAGGGCTGGGTGTGGTGGCTCACGCCTGCAATCCCAGCATTTTGGGAGGCTGAAGCAGGCAGATCATTTGAGGTCAGGAGTTTGAGACCAGCCTGGCCAACATGGTGAAACCTCATCTCTACTAAAAATATAAAAATTAGCTCGGTGTGGTGGCACACGCCTTTAATCCCAGCACTTTGGGAGGCTGAGGTGGGCAGATCACTTGAGGTTAGGAGTTTGAGACTAGCCTGGCCAACATGGTGAAACCCCACCTCTAATAAAAATATAAAAATTAGCTGGGCATGGTGGTGCATGCCTGTAATCCCAGCTACTTGAGAGGCTGAGGCAGGAGAATAGCTTGAACCTGGGAGGTGGTGGTTGCAGTGAGCTGACATCACACTACTGCACTCCAGCCTCCACTACCGACAGAGTGAGCCTCCATCTCAAAAACAAAACAAACACACACAAAAAGCCCTGAGTTAGCCAGGCTCTGTGCAACCACAGGGCCTTTGCACATGCTGCACACACTTCCTGGACAACCCCTACTCTTTGGCGTTACTCATCCTTCAGATCAGTTTAAACGTGAATTCCTTGGGAGAGCTTTTCCTGACTCCTAGGTTTGTCAGGTTCCTTTAGCATACATTGTAACAGAATTCTGTTCCTTTCCTTTTGTGCATTTGTCTTAGTTTACAACAGTGACTCTGTGTTCTATGAGGGCAGGTTTCAAAGATGTTCTTGTTCATCATGGTGTCTCCATGACCTACCATAGTGTTCAACATAAACTAATGCTCAATATTTGTTTGCAGAATCAATGAAAAAAAAAATGACATGCGCGCACACACACACACACACACACACACACACACACACGGTGGGTCCCCAGAAAATTGTATTTTTTTAGAACTTCAAGGTACTTTATCTGCTAATTTTTCTTGATGACTTGTTATATAAGATAATAAGAATAATAAGTTATCCACCTCTAAAACTGGGCTCTAATACTATTTCCTTATAAACTCTCTCCTCTTCTAATTAAACATGAATTCCAGGTTCTGCTAGGCCCCTATGGAATGAGCATACACCTTCAATATAACTGAAATTTACTCCTCCCTCCTCTGGGCATAGTATACAGATCTCCTTTACAGGAACCATGCACCACCACCCTGCCAGCTGCTATGAGGGTTGGTGTTGAAAGCTCAGAACTTCACCCATCCCTGCTCACAACTCATGACTGCCTGACACCTGGGTGTGGAAGACTGCCCACCCCTTGTCTCAAGTTTAACCCAATTATTAGTAGAAAATACATCCTTGCTTAGCTTCTGCCCTGACCTAACTTGGTCCCTCAATCATTTTCTCCTAAGAGCAGTGCCTTATTAAACTATGTGGACCTTAATCTATGTGTCTGACTCTGATGTAAGACCATTTGTCCTCCAACAGTGTAGGTGTCTATTCTCTGCCCAACCCCTGCACAACACACACACACACACCTACACAGCACCTGAGAATTGAAAAAGTTTTTTTCTTTTTCTTCTTTGTTTTTGTTTTTTTTGTTTTTTTGTTTTTTTTTTGTTTTTTTGGCTTAAATAGCAGACATTTATTTCTCACAGTCTTGGAGACTGAGAAGTCAAAGATCAAGGCACCTACAAGCCCAGTGTCTGGTGAGGGCTCTCTTCCTGGCTTGCAGATGGCTACCTTCTTGTTGTACCTTCACATGGCAGAGAGCAAAGAGAGATCCATATCTTTCCTATTTTGTTGTTCTTCAATCTAATTTTCTTTCTATTTATTTTTTAGTTGACAAATAATAATTGCATATTTTTGTAGGATACAGTGTAATTCTTTTGATCTATGTATACTTTGTATAGATTAAATCAAGCTAATTAACATATCTATCTAATCTGTCACTCACCAACTTATCCTTTACTTTGTGGTAAGAATGTTTAAAATCTATTTTGTAGCAATTTTGAAATATACATTATCATTAACTGTGGTCACCATGCAGTGCAATAGATCATTAAAACTTATTCCTTCAGGCTAACTGAAACTTTGTTATCCTTGAACCAATTTGTCCTTTTTTTTCCATCCCCGCCTTTCCTGTTCTCCCCACCTCTGCCCAGCCAGTCTCTAATAAACACCTTTCTATTTCTGTTTCTACAAGTTTGACTTTTTTTAGATTCCACATATAACTGAGATCGTGCAGGATTTGTGTATTCTGTGTCTGGCCTATTTAATAATGTCCTTCAGGGTATTAACCTCATCATGAGGGTCCCATCCTCATGACCTAATCCAACTCTAATGACTTTCCAAAGGCCTTACCTCCGAATAAGACTTCAACATACGAACTTTGGGGAGACACAAACATCAAGTCCATAACATATGCTAACCAGATAATAGTTGTATTTTAACTGTTTAGGTATAGCTACAGTGTAGTACTATTCTTCCATGCTAGTTGTTACTCAATGATGTGGAACCTTTAGTCACATATATCTTTAAAAATGTTAGGCGGAGGTTGCAGTGAGCCGAGATCGGGCCTCTGCATTCCAGCCTGGGCGACAGAGCAAGACTCTGTCTCAAAAAAAATAAATAAATAAAAATGTTTTGGTCTTGGTTCTCTCTAGCCCCTCTTGCGTTGTCTGTGTGCGTGTGCATGTGTGCATGCATGAGTTCTGCTCTGTATTTGATGCTGGATGACTTTCTGCATTGTTCCATCTCAGCTGGACACCTATGCCTTCCTGAATGTGCTAACTACAGAGTGCTGTCAATTCTTTGGTCTGCAATTATCAATGTTCTTCAACCGTGGTATTTCCCTAGCTTTAGCTTTTTTATTTTTATCTTTTTCAACTTTTACTTTAGGTTCAGGGGGCACATGTGCAGCTTTGTTACCTGGGTATATTGCATGATACTGAGGTTTGGGGTACAGTTGATCCTGTCACCCAGGTACTGAGCATAGTATGCAACAGTTAATTTTTCAACCCTTGCCCCCCACCCCCGTCCTCTAGTAATCCCCAGTTTCTATTCTTACCATCTTTATATCCATGTGTACCCAATGTTTAGCTCCCACTTAAAAGTGAGAACATGTGACATTTCTCTGTTCCTGTGTTAATTTGCTTAGGATAATGGCCTCCAGCTGCATCCATGTTGCTGCAAAGAAAATAATTTTGTGATTTTTTATGGCTGCATAGTATTCCACGTTGTATATGGACCTCATGTTGTTTATCTAATCCATCATTGATGGCACTTAGGTTGATTCCGTGTCTTTGCTCTTGTGAATAGTGCTGCGAAGAACATGTGAGTTTAACACATTTCTGCAATACTAGTGCACAATGCTCTGAGTAAGATATGTGTCTGTCATTGTTTAATACTCAATGAACTTAGAGTCTTGGCCACCTCTATCCTTCAATCCATGCCAAAGGATCCTTAAGAACACATGATCTTTCTCAGTTTCCCACTTGTTTGTAGGCTGCTTCCTATGCCTGGGATACCCTTCAGGATCCTCTTTATCTTAGGAATTCTTGTTGCTCCTACAGGACTCTGCACAAGCATTCTTTCCTCCAAAGTCCTAATCTACTTCCCACCCTCTTGCCTGACTCCTGGCTGGTTTAGGAGGCCCTTCTTTGGGACCCAAATATCTTTTTGCTCACTCCTATCATTTCAACGGTTACAGTTCATTGTCACTGCTTATTTTCTTGCCAGTCTCTGTAGTCAAGAGCTCCTGGACTACAAGTGTTGGGTGAAGTAGTTTATTCTTCACTGTACATTTCCAGACTAACAGGCTTCTCATAAATGGGCCCTGGTGGAATAGTCATTGCCACATGGATTTTGTTGTTCTCTCCTGTTTAACCCCGTGATAACCCTTAGAGGGAGAAATCACCACTGACATTTCGGAACAAGAAAACGGAGGTTCAGAAATAGAAACTAACTGTTCCTGTGTGACACAAGTAGAGAAGCTACAGAAGACCAGTGTGGCAGACACCCTCTAACACCTGTGTACCTAATCTTGGAATCTGAACATGAAAAGGACCCAGTTCACAGTTGGAGGAGGCTCATGTCCCCGACAGTAGCCTCCTACACAGCCAAGCCTTGTCCATTCCATTGTCTCAGCCCTACCTGCAGTTGCAGAAGGCAATGTGTCTTTCTCCTAAATGTAGGGTAAAGACTCTGAACTGTCTGTACTCACAGTTGTCCTTCTTGAGAAAATATAATCCATAATTTAAGAATAATTATTCATTGAGCAGTTAAAGACATGTCATGGGTTGCTTTTCAGAATCTTTTTTAAAAATTCATTTTGTTTTTTTGACTCTAAGGAATATCCTGGGCTCAGAATTAAAAAAAAAAAAAAAAAAAAAAACACCACCAACAAAAATCCTACAAACAAACAAACAAAAAACCCCACCACATCTAAATATAACTATTCTACTTACTAGCTTTTGTCTTTGAGCAAGTTACTGAACCTCTTCAGCCTGGTCAGTAAAATAACAGTTATATTTGTCCCCTTCTTTAATATATTCAGTAACTTTGGGCCACCCTGCTATATTCAATGGACTGTGTGAATCATTGGTAAAACTGCAGTGAATAAAACAGATGATATCCTGGCTTTATGGACAGACAGGGCTTTGGTGGGGAAGTTTTTCTTTGGGGAGGGGGCATATATAGAATAAATAGATAATTGCACCAATTAGTTATGAGTTGCAATTGTGATAAGAGTTAAGAAGCAGTGGGCAGGCGATTGCCATTCAACCCCCTTTCTGTCATCCTGTTATACCCCTTTTATCTGCCACTACCTGCTCCTCCTCCTGTATCTGCCTTTTCTCTCCAGGCATCTCTCTCCTTACTTACATGGCTTCTCTGTTTATCCCCTTACCTCTCAGTTGTCCTTCTGTTTCTCCATCTTTCTCGGCTTCCCGTCTCTCTCTCTCTCCATCTCCTCTTTTCTGTCTTCCACATCTCCACCTCCCACTCTCTACATCATCTTCTTTCTCTTTGCACCTGTCCTTGCTGAGAACTCTATCATTGCTGCCGTTTCTGAATTAGTTTCTACTGATTGATTTTTCTCTTTACATGTATTTCGTTTCCCTGCTTATTTGTATGCCTAGTAGTTTTGTATTCAATGATAGGCATTGTGGTTTTATATTTTTCAGGGCTGGATATGTGTGGGTGTGTGCGCATGTGCGTGTGTGTGCACACTCATATATACATATGCATTCTTTAGCTTTGTAATTGGATGTGGTTAAGTTACTTGGAATCTGATCTTTCCAAAGCTTGCTTTTTAAGATTTGTTCGGTGGGATCAGAGCAGCTTTTACTCTAGGCTAATTTTACCCAATCACTGAGGTAATCTCCTTCTGAGTTTTCTCCTCAATATTCCATGAATTATGAGGTTTTTCATTCTGATACGTCAGTTAATTCTCAGTCCTGGGTGAGCTCTGGGAATTGTTTCCTTGGCTCTCCTATTCAGTACTCTGTCCTGTGAACTCTAGCCCACCTAAACTCCCTGCAATTTGCATTCTGTCTTCTCAAATCTGAGAGTAATATGGTTTGAATCCGTGTCCTCACCAAATCTCATGTTGAATTCTAATCCCCAGTGTTGGAGGTGGGGCCTGCTGAGAGGTGATTGGATCATGAGGGCAGAGTTCTCATGAATGATTTGGCACCATCCCCCTTGGTGCTGTATAGTGAGTGAGTTCTCAGGAGATCTGGTTGTTTGAAAGCGTGTGACACTTCCCTGCTCTCTCTATTGCTCCTACTCCTGCCATCTAAGAGGTGCCTGCTTCTCCTTCTCCTTCTTCCATGATTGTACGTTTCCTGAGGCTTCCCCAGAAACAGAAGCCAGTATGCTTCCTGGGCAGCCTGCAGAACCATGAGCCAATTAAACCTCTTTTCTTTCTAAATTACCCAGTCTCAGGCATTTCTTTCTAGCAATGCAAGAAAAGACTAATACAAAGAGTCAGCTAGAAATTTCCTGGGTTTCATCTTTCTGCATCATGGCCCAGAAACTCCCTTCAGGAAGTATATTAGAATAAACAATAGTAGGTCTCACTTCGTTTTTAGTCTATGCAGCCTGATATCCAAAGCCTGAAAAACTTGCTCAGCTGTCTTATCTATATTTTAGTTATTTCACGTGGGTGAGTACATTTGTTTCTCCTTGTTGGCTGAGGCAGTGGTCCCTTGCTTCTTACTCTCCTTTTTATATGAGACTTTTGAACATTTATATATGTGCAGTTAGTTGTTGTTCTATTTCCTATTTTCTTATAAACCATGAGATGAAATTTACACTGGCAATATGAACACAGGACTCGAAATAGTTGGGGGGAGTTCTTGTGGTATAGAAGTGATAGCCGTTTTCAATTTTGTTATCACCACCACTAGCATCATTACCATCCCCCTCACCCTCTTCTTCATCAATACTTACCAAGCACTTACAATGCGTTAGATATGCTTCTAGGCTCTTTGCATTTATTTACTCATTTAAATGAAGTGTCCACCTATAAGGCAGGTCATTAATAATCTCATTTTTAAGATGAAGAAACTGAAGCCCAGAAAGGTCAAGGAACCAGCTGGTAAGCAGTCGTGCAGGACACACACCTGGGAAGTGTGGCTTCAGAGGCTCCAGGCTCAACAACGATGCTTTTTGCCTCTCACTAGCAGTTGATGCGTAGGACCTTCCCAAGGTGCCCCAGAGGAGAGGGTGGTACTTCAGCTGCTGATTAGAGTGACATTTGAATTACACTTGCCTAGGGCTCAGAAAGAAACAGCAAGCCTATCCTCGACTCCTGGCTAGAAAGGTGACCCAATCAAGAGAATACTTCTTGAAATACTGTCACCTTTTGGCAACCCAAGCATTTCAAGTTATATACCTGCTTTAGTTCTCACCATGGGGCACTGGACCCAGATTGCTTATGCTCTGCTCTCTGCTTTGTTAAGTTCTGCACATGAGCACGTGTGTGTGTGTGTGTGTGTGTGTGTGTGATTTTAGGCAAATCACCCTATTTGTGTATGAGTTAAAGCATTTGTAAAATAGAAATAATATTAACAAGAACAATCAGTATGTTTGGGGTGAGAAAAAAATGAGTTAATATATTAAAATCCATGAGATAATCCAGGGCAGGAGGTCAGCCTTTCATTAGCTGTTGTCTATGAATAGTTCATATGAATTGCTTATCACAAGCACCTGTGCATCTGTTTCTGTTTCTACCAGAACATGAGTTCCTAGAGGGAAAGAGCTGACTAGTAAAAACACATTTGGATTATTCCAAGGGAGAACCTGATCCGTGCTAATGCAATAGGAAATGGGGGAGGGAGGTAAAGTGAGTCATTTAAGAGGTAAAGTGAGTCATTTAAGAGAGAGAATGAACACGTCTGGGTGAGAGGGAAAGAACATACAAGGATGACCCTGGTTTTCTGTTTTAACTAGTGGAGGAATAGGAAGGCCTGGTCCATTTGGTATCTTAGACCATGCTTCTTTGTTATTTTCTCAATCCCCATCTCAAATATTTACGCAGATTTTATGATCCTCACTGGGTGATTGCCGAGTGGCCTTCCTTAATTCACTGGGGTTCTGGGCATTTATTGGTACCTGGTGGACTTCTGTGAAATGACTAAAGGCAGCAAATCAACCCCTACGATGAAAGCTGCCAGGGACAGGTTCCAGGTTTAACAATGTTAGAAGTTACAGGAGATCTAGGAATTGTGATCCTTTCTTCTAAAATATCAACCTGTTCTCCCCATCAGTGTCATTTTCTTTTCTCCCTGAAAAATAAGCAAAACCAAAGGCGTATTTGAAACTCCCCACTTCCTATCTCCCATGTTACGCATAATTGAATATATTTTACAGTTTCTATCATCTTGAAAAATCACTTTTCAAATATTGAAATAATAAAAGATCCATCTATGAACAGTAGTGAAGATAGTACCTTCTGTTTCCATGGAGACCAAATTACTAGTGTTCAGATGTGTGGTTATTAATGGCAGTTACAGATACAGCTCTCACTGGGTTAGCCAGGTAAGTAGGCACATGATATTTATCATCACCTGCAAATGCATTCAACTCATTTCAACCTAATTTTATTGTTGGAATTTTAGAAATAGTTTTATTTTCTATTTTGGTTCAATTTCATTTTCTTGCGGAGTATTTTACTGGTGCCTGGTAAGCAGTTTCCTGGCTGCGTTGCCTTGTCTGATGGGACAACATTCTATTCATAAATCTCTCTCTCTCTCTTTCTCTCCCTCTCTCTCTCTCTCTCTCTCTCTCTCTCTCTCTCTCTGTGTGTGTGTGTGCGTGTAAGTTTGGGAGGAGCAGGGCATTGAACAGGGTCTCTAGAGTGGCCTGTAGCAAACCTTAGAAGGCAAGAAATCCACTGCCCATGTAAAAAGAAAGGAGGAGGGATATCTATTGAGCAACTCTGTGCTGTATATTCAGTTTTTGCAAACATCATCTTTTTAACTTTTCTAACATCCATGAACATTTCTAAGTATGAGTCCCACTCTGTAAAGGAGCAAACAGGGGATCTGAGACGCCAGGAATCTTTTCTAAGGGAAATTATTAGAGCTCAAATTGTAACCCATGTCTATAATTCTGAACTCTTCACTATTTTCTATATTGGTATTGCACTAAATTAATATGTGATTGTGAGCAGGACATATTGCTATCCCCATGTGACTTCTATGGTCGTTCTCATGATTAATGTGTAGAGTGATTGACTTATGGTAAATATTGAATAAATGGTAGCTCTCATCTTTTTCCTTCTCCTGCTTTTATTTTTCTCACTATTTTTAGTAGAGCTTTAATTAGAAGTAATAGAAGTAGAATTATTTCTATCTTTGCTCATATGCACAGACATTTTTTGGTTAATTCAAGAACTGCATCTACATGGATTCCATTTTTATTTTCCCCTAAAGTCTCATTGCTCACACATTTGGAAGTCATCTTAGTTATCATGTTTCCATAAATACTAAATTTTCACCCATTAAAGTCTACCAATTATACTTAGTGTGAAGAGGTGGGAGTTAAATATGACTTCCATTAATAGTTTCATTGTTTGGAAGACAGAGGTAATTTTTGATACAGAAATAAGAATTCCTTACATTTATGAGATGGCCTAAAAGAATCCCTCCAGTATCTTGTCTTCATCCCATGGCTGTTTCATAGTAACATTCAACTTTTTCTCTTCCTACTTTGTCTCCACTGCTACAAAAACTCCGTGAAGGAAAGGACCAGGTAGTTCATGAACACTGATACATCCTCAGCGCCTCACGCATAGGAGGAAACTCACTGAATGCTGTTGTATAAAGAAATATATCGGCCGGGCATGGTGGCTCACGCCTGTAATCCCAGCACTTTGGTAAGCTGAGGCGAGCGGATCACAAGGTCAGGAGATTGAGACCATCCTGGCTAACATGGTGAAACCCCGTCTCTACTAAAAATACAAAAAAATTAGCTGGGTGTGGCGGTGGGCGCCTGTAGTCCCAGCTACTCGGGAGGCTGAGGCAGGAGAATGGTGTGAACCTGGGAGGCGGAGCTTGCAGTGAGCCGAGATCGTGCCACTGCACTCCAGCCTGGACCACAGAGGGAGACTCCATCTCAAAAAAAAAAAAAAAAGAAATATATCAGAGAACAAATGAATAGCCTCACATGGAAGGCTAGAGGCAAGAGATATTTTTTTCCCATCTTACAGAGAACAATGTTGGAATTCCAAATTACTTCTTCCCACTCTTAAGCTAAGAACTTTTTCAGTTATACCATTTTGTTGTCTAGATATGACTATCCAGAAGTATATTGATAATTCTAGCCATGAAGCACATTATTTCATTTAGTTACTATTTACATAAATATAGATTCTGAACAAAATTTCCAGACTCTTGACCTAAGTGGGCATATTCGTCAGGCATTAGATAATGGTGATGATGCTGTTGATGATGGTGGTGATGATGCTGGTCATTTTGGTGACAGGCAATGCTTACATAGATTATCTCACTTATCCCTCGCAGCTTCGAGGTGACTATTATTATACTATCATGTGCATCAGGAAACCAAGGCAACAAGGGTTTCTATTTGACCAAAGTCGCATAACCATACAGTGAAGAAGCTGGTAGACTCCACAGCCCAAAGCCCTGGAAAGCTCTGTAGCCTACTTATTATGTGTCCTCATGCCTCGTTTCCCCTTTTATAAGATGGTTAGGATTGTAGCTGTCTTTCAAGAACATGGGTTAGGCTATATGAATATGCTTATTGCAAAGACTACCAAGTCAAAGATTCCTGTGGATTAATCAGAGTTTAGAGAGCAGGTTTTCACTCTCTAATGAGCAACCCATCACTGGCTCTTAAATGGGGCTTAGAAACAGTAATACTTTCCAACCACCAACTTGTTCATAAACACATCAGACGACTTCAGGTATTTATTGCCCAAATGAGTGAGAAAGGCAGCACATCAGATGACTGACTTTTTGAAGCTTTCTCTTGGCCATTCTTTAGGATTCAGAATGAATGTTCCTGGCTCAGACAGGCATTACCCAGCACCCCTTACCTGCATCCTTTCCCTTTCTCCATTAGTGCAATGCCAATCTCACTGCAGACAGTTGTCTGTCTTCACTACAGGCTGAAGGCCTGGTGAAGGCAGAAATGTCTGCCTTCATGCTATAACCTTCAGCATCTGTGTAAGCACCTAGAACTCAATAAATATCATGAGTGTGAATGTTATTAAAAGATAGTCTGAGGAAAGCTTATCTCAGAATTGATCAGATGTGTCCTCTTCTATCTAGCTATCCTCCAACGGTTCTAAGTCTTATTGGTAGTGTCTTCATAAAAATTGTTATTGTAGTTATTTAGATTTTAATTGGCAACCAGCAACTCACTGCCACCATTCCACTGCAGATCTTCTATTCCTGGAGTTGATATGACAAGGAAACCCTATTGGAACCAAGTCTTCAGATTGTTCCATGTGCAGACAGGCTCCTTGTCTGTAGGTGTAGTAGCATGTACACTGTACTGTTCACTGTAACATAGTTTGTTCTGGTATTTGTTATTGGAAATGAATATCGCTTCCACTGACTTTTACCATCCCCTCGGACTCATTAATTGCTTTCTCTGGGTAGCACAGAGAATCCTGTTCTATGCTGATCTCATTCTCATTCCCGAGAGAATGTCCAAAGAAACTGATGCTTGCTCATGGCTGCCAGAATATCTTCTGGGGGCTTCTCTAATCTTTGCGTGGCATCACTTGTAGGATCTGAGCCATTCATGGGTGGGAGGAGGGTGCGGAGAATGGAGTGCCCATGCAACCTTCCCAAAGTGCCTTAGTTGTACTTTCTGACAATTATTATTGATGTATCAATTAATGCAACATGATTTGGGGGTTCTATAATGTTCTGTCTGTGCCAAAGCACTTTCATCCTCTTGTTTCATTTAATATTTCTGATAACGCCTCTGCAACTTGCTAACTTCTGTCATAGAATGGAAGCCTGAGGCTCAGAGACTGAAAGTGACTTGCCTAGGATTGTTCATCTAGTAAATATTAGATGCTAGATTCAAGATTCCAAGTCTAATGTTCTCTTTGCTATGTAATAGTTATTTCCAGGGATCATGGTGGTGAGTTTATAGATATAAGGGAAATGGCTCTATGGCCAACATTCAGATCAGAGTCCATACTTTCAATTAATAGAATAATATCAGTTAAAATATTATTTTGAGTATTTACTATTTTCTATCTCCCATATTAAGTTCTTGCACACGTTATCTAATTTGCTCTTCACTAGCACCCTACCAGGAATCTATTAGTTTTCCCTCATTTTACAGATAAGGTAACTTAGGCATAGAGAGATAACTAACTGGCCCAAGATTAGGTAGATTGTGGATGGTGGTTCTAGGGTTTGAGCCCAGGCTGTTAGACTCTAGATATTTAATCATGTCTAGATATTTAATCATGTCCATCTTCATGGGATCTAAAACTTTTTGAAAAATCTGTGTTGTCTGAGTCACTGGAAACCTCAGAATTATCCCCGATCCCTTCTTCTCTCTTATGTCTACGTTAGTGACTGATTTCTACAAACTGTGTCTTTGCTTTTTTTGCCTCTTCCCCTTCTTCCACTGCCTGCAAATATGTCCTAATTCCTTCTTATCCAGACAGTGCACAGACTCCCAACTTACTTATTTTTTTCTGATCCTCTTCCCTCTGCTCCATCTTCACCTAAGGCTAATTTGAGGTGCTGAATCTTACATGCATCATCATGACAAATAAGAGAGACCTTCATACTGCTTTATGCCTCTGAGTCTAAGCTCAGCTTCAACCTTGTACTTTCTGCTAGAATCGTATCAATTTTATTTTTCCCTTCCGCAGTAGGTTTTTCCTTATCTAGGTGCCTGGAATTTTCACCTATGTGTCCATCTGGCTAACTATGTATTTTAGACAACAGGATTATTTTTTACATGGTGTTTTTCTTGACTGACCCCAGAATGATGCAGACATCTTTATTTGTGCTGCAATAGCATTTATGTATAAATTTATCATAGCACTTATCAGACTCCTAAAATCATTAGTCTGTGTGCTCCCTCACATGCTAAACTGCAAAGATCTTGAACCCAAAGTCATACACAAATAATATTTTCATTTTCTAGTAGAGTTCAGCTTGGTGCCTAGTCCAGAAACAATGCCCAATAAGTGATTCTTGAATAAATGCATACATGCACCATGTTAAGCATACTATGTGTGTGTATTATGCTTAATTCTAAAATATGGCTATTCATAGTAACACAAATCATAATTATTCTTGATAGAACTGTTTATTACCTTTGCATAGAAATAGTAAGAGTATTTGAGTCGGGGATATGGCAGAGCAGTTCCCAAGAGGAGATAGACTCTCATTTCCTGGGATCTCTGTTGAAAAAAAGCCAGGGGCAATTACCTGGCTGTCTGCGCAATGGATTTGGTAACGTGAAGGCATAGAATATAGACTCAGTTGTGTTGGGATGGGAGACTGGTGTCAGGGACAGAACAGGCTGGATTTGGAGAAATTAGGTCAACACGAAACCACAGGAGGATGATCAGGCTTTGGTCCCTGGGTTAGAAAGGCCCCCACAAAGCCATCCTGAACACCACCAAAAGTTATGTTGAGTCCAGTTGGGTTGAGAGCAGACTTCCAGCCACAAGTCTTCAGGGCTACAGAAGCTCTCCTATCCATCAGGCTCTCCTGTTCATTGTGGGAGCCTCCTTGATACTGTCCTCTAAGTGGGTTCCAGCCTAGCGGAGCTTGCTGCTTCCCCTCTACTTCTAAGTGAGTTCATTGGACTTTCCCTCCTTTGTACAACCCCCCAGTCCATTTTCATTTATTTTTACCTCTTGCATCATTCTAGTGTTTAAATCCATCCTTCTCTTGCTTAAATCTATAAACAGCAATTTGCAAGGGAGATAAACTTTCTCCACATCTGATCCTTAACAAGCTAAAATTCTATCTCCAAAAGCTATTTCTGCCAGATCTGAGAGCCAAGTCTTAAAGCAGTCAAAGACATCAAGTTAAAAAAAAAAAAAAAAGAAATTACATAAAATTGAAAACAACACACGGAATTTAGCCATCCTCTCCCATTCCTCCATCTGTTTGTCTCCTGTAACTCTGGACTGTGGTCTAATTATGAGGGAAAATGAGATGACATGCTGTTGGCATTATAACGATATTAATAGAAAGAATTAACACTAATAATGACAATAATACTTATTACTTAATTCACCGTGGCTACTATTTACGTAGTGATCGTACGGTGCACTTAATACATATCAGTCATTTAATTTATTCTAAGTTTAATCTTTTCAACAATCATATCCAGTAGGTGGTATCTCATTCCAATATTGTTTTTGTAGTTCTATTCAGCATTTTCACATGAAGGCAGGAACTCTCAGGAGTCACTTCTTAGCCATGATCTCAGAGTTTACAATTTACAAAGCCAGTATCTGAATCTAAGTGGACCCCGATGGGATGGTGGAGCTCATGCTCATTTCATTTAACAGACAATGTCTCACATTTTAAAAAATATTACACATAGTGATTCTTTAGTAATTTTTAAGAAACGTGTACACATTAAATTGGAGACTAGTAATTTTTTTTAAAAAATCGGACCTTCAAGCCACATTATAAAAGTAAAGACATTCATCAGAAAGGTGTTTATGGTTTTATAATGATCTGACAACTAAATTGCTTGTTCAGTTTGAGTTGTGTAATGTTGTTCCCAATTAGATTAAATATTAAGAATCCAATTTGCCAACTGCTAACAAAATTGCTGAACATTGCACACAGTCAGGGGAATTGCTTTTAATGAAGAACAAATGGAAGTAAAATGCTAGAAAATGAAAGTGCCATCTATAAATGTTTTAATAGATAGATTCAGCATTTTCAAATGTGGATTGTTAAGTATTCTCCACACTGGAATGATGTGTTGACTTCAGTTGCCTTAATTAAAGAATCTGCTGTCTGCAGAGTCATTGTGAGCAAATCCAATTGTGAAATAGCCTATGCATATCATCTGTCTATAATCCTGAAAAGCAAAAGGCAGAGGGGCAGCTGTGTTTGTGAGACTGCAGGAAAAGGAGGCTTTAGTTCCCTCTTATTTCCTTTTTCCCTCTTATTTCCTTTTTGTGCCTCAGTCTCTTCAGAGCAGGGAAAAGCGGGGCAATATTTGTATAGTACGGTTGCCAGTGTGATGGCCAGCAACATCACTCTATCTGCTGAGTCCTCTAAAGCATCCCTCTTTCTACTTTAGAGTTCTTCCTGATGACCATCACTCCCCCTACACCTGCAGTGAGGGCTGCATACCTGTCTTCTATGTACTCTTAGCACAAATACCTATTTTGTGCCAGGTGTCCATCCTTTGTCAGACTCTCCCTTAAGCACCATGGTTACATTATCTGCCCTAGTTGCTCCTCACCACGTTGCTAATAGGTAATTGCTATTATTATTGCTATTTTATTGTATTTATTTATTTGAGACAATGTCTTTCTGTCACCAAGGGTGGAGTGCAGTGGCTCCATCTCAGCTCACTGCAACCTCCACCTCCCAGGTTCAGGTGATTGCCCTGCCTCAGCCTCCCGAGTAGCTGAGATTACAGGTGTGCACCATTACGCCTGGCTAATTTTTGTATTTTTAGTAGAGACGAGGTTTCACCATGTTGACCAGGCTGGTCTTCAACTCCTGACCTCGGGTGATCCACCTGCCTCAGCCTCCCAAAGTGCTGGGATTACAGGAGTGAGCCACCATGCCCAGACTTATAATTGCTATTTTATAGTGGAGGCAATAAATGATTGCAGAAGTGCTGCATATACATCCATGGTATAAGCCATATAGAAGGTGTTCACAGCATTCAGCAGTGTACTAGCAGATAACAAACAGTCAATAAGTGCAGAGCAGCATTAAATAGAAGTCAAATGCCCTAGTCTCAATTTTAGAATGTTGCAATGCAATATCAATACTGTCACTTCAGCATGGCCATATGTTTAACAACTTGATCTTAAACCCTATGCAAATGCAGCTACCAAAACCATGCAATGACATTTGAATGTAACATGGTTGTTGATATGATCCAAATTTTACTGAAAATTTGCTCAGATTATTTTTGAGCTATTAATGTTGATAAATGATTTTGTAGGAAACTGTTGATTCTTGACACTGTCTGAGAGATCCACCCCTCTGTCGGTGCATCTGTAGAACGGGACTAGTAGTAATACAAACCCTATAGAGTTGATCTTAAAGTCCCAGGTAAACGATGATTTATTATGCAAATACTATTATTTTGGTTTCTATGATTGCTGTAGTTATTTAAATAAAAACCAGACCTATTTTGAGCTGCTTTCCTAAAGAATTAAATATTCTTATATGACAGGGTCCACTAAGTGGTCTCCCATGTCGTTTAGTGATCCCTTAGAATAGCCTGATCTGTTTTCTGCAGGAGCCAAGAGAGAGCTAACATTAGCACGGAGCATCTTTTATAGAATGGCAAAATTGGTGGTGATTAGGAGCATGGCTCTGGGATCAGGTACACCTCATTCAAATCACAGCCATGCCCCATACTGATGGTCCAATTTTGAGACAGAAAGGCCACTTCTGCTTCCCCACCCCACACTGAATATGATTCTGAATGCCCTGTGAGGCTCAGGTAAGGAAGTTTATGAGGGGCTACATGGGTGTGTGTATGCTTGGTATCAGAACATAGAATATGTTTCCTATGCTTGTTTGTTCTGATACACTTTCTGGATTCCCTACAGAATGCACCATATGTAGAAAGCCTATTGATATCGTTTGACTCTGTGTCTGCACCCAAATCTCATGTCGAATTATAATTCCCAATGTTAGGGGGAGGGACCTGGTGGGAAGTGATTGGATCATGGGGATGGATTTCTCCCATGCTGTTCTCATGATAGTGAGTTCTCACAAGATTTGATGGTTTAGAAGTGTGTGGTGCTTCCCTCCCTTACTCTCTCTGTCTCTTCTGCCACGATGTGAAGAAAGTGCTTGCTTCCCCTTCACCTTCCACCATGATTGTAAATTTCCTGAGTCCCCCCAGTCATGCTTCCTGTTAAGCCTGCCAAACTTTGAGTCAATTAAACCTCTTTTCTTCATAAATTACCCAGTCTCAGGGAGTTTGTTATAGCAATGCAAGAACGAACTAATACACCCATCAAGAATACTAGGGGGAGAGACAAAGACCAAATTCATACAAGAGATCTTAGAACTCACAATAAGAGACTCATAGCTGCTGACTCTGTGCCTGCCCCAGTGTCAGCTGGAGGAATTTAATGCCTTGTATAATTAAAATCAGAAAAGCATAAAATTTTAAATCTCTAAGGCACCATAGTGAACCGCTGTAACTTTCAAAGTAGAGACAGACACAATGGTCACAATGTCCAGAGGCACTGAGACTGATAGCTTACTTATTCTGCAGACATGTCTAATTTGATGATCTTGGACTAGCCTCTCAGAGATGGGAGTAATCATTGCTTGACCCTTCACACTCTACATAATTAATCTTATTTATCTGATGGCCATTTCTTCTTACTCTTGCTATTTTCATTATCTCTTTTCTCATTGTCTTGCCCTCAGTTGAGAAGCCACCTTTCTATTTGGGGACTTTAATTCTGGTGAATTCAGAATAGTCCCATGTGGGATAAAGAGCTTGGCTTTTGAGCCAGGCTGTGCTATTTTGGAATTCTACATTTGTATCTTAGCAAATGTGGGACTAGGGGCCATTGACTTAACCTCTCTGGGCCCATTCCACTTATGTAAAATTTATACCATGATTACAACTTTCCTAAGGGTTTGAGGGACCAGAAACCAGAGCCAGTGAGAAGCCAGAGTCACAGAGAAAGGCCTCCCTGTATCTCCCTGAAGGGCACACTATCACATGGTTTGGACATAGCTAATATGTTGCTAGTTTCCTAGGAATTGATTCTTGATCAACATGCTATGCCTGGCTCTCCATGACCTGACCTGAATCAGTCTGTCCATTGAGCTTCATCTCCTGCTTCTCTCCTGGACTCTGGCAGCCCACATCTGGCAGCCCACATTCTGTCTCCCTGCACTTTGTTATTTTACTCACTCTATGCCCTTGTTTATGATGGCTTCTGTGCTTGTCACGCCCTCCTCTTATTCCTTATGTATCTACCTATGCCTTCAAGATCCAACTGCAGCAGCATCTGTCCAGAAAGCCTTTTTCTACCCCTACGTGTTAAATGCCTCTGTGTGCCCTATGTCACACTCTCTACATCCTGTGGTTTCCTCTGGTATCATACTTACCATATTGTGCTGCAATTATGTGTTTGTGACCCAGATTTCTTCATTTTGGGTATATTCTCCTCCAGGTGAGGACAGTATTCATTAACCTCTAGACCTCAAGTGTTCACCGCAGTGATGGGCACACAGGAACCACCAAAAAAACCCAGCAATTAGGATCATGATGATAAATGGGACTGACCCCATTGATTGCTGAGGAATATATAGAAACCCAACCACAATGCTTCTAATATGAAAATATAGTTCTCTAAAGTCAAACAGATTAATAACAACAACTTATGTATTCATGCAACATGTATCATAGGTATTAAGGTAATTTATAAGATGGTTATGAATTATTCATAGTCAATATATCAACTTATCTAACTAATAATGAGATTTTTTTTTAAAAGTTCTGAATAGGTCAAAATCTCTTGGCAATATAAGAATTGACTAATTTACTAGTTTACTAAATAAAATATCACTTAAGTACACCAGTGGAAGGATTCATATGAAATTCCTACCAATAATAATCATAATCAGAAGACTAATGTTTGTCATGCTTTATGATGGCAAAGAACTCTTTCCCCTTTATCCTCACTCTTGCCCTCTGAGGGCAGCAAAGTCTCTGTCCAAAGGGAGGAGCAAAGCCTGGACTTGACCCTGGATCTTTCCTCTAATTCTACATCTGCTGATGTTTTTGTGGGACTCTGTTTCTTTGCCTCACAAAATATATTTTTAAAAATCACCTTGCAATCATTTTGAAATAAACGGGATCAGAAAGAATATTTTTTAAAAATGCTGATAAAACAACACTTAGAAACAGAGAGGAAAGAAAACAATATTTAGGAATAAGAAATGAAAACTATGAGCAAAAAGATTGCTGAGGTCTGATTTTCAGCCACATAATTCATACCTGCCTTCTGGATCACAATGGAATAGCTAAGACTTCCAGAGGTATTCATTTAGTCTAATCATTTTCAAACTTTTTCTTTTTTTAATTTTTAGAATCCAGCATATAAAACTGCTATAAACGAAACAGACTTGTTGAAATGGGAACACCACTCACTGACCTATTCGAACCCTCTACCCAGCACTGACGGACTCTCCTGTGTGCCACCCCCAACCTCAATTCCTGAGCACCCTGGGTGATAGGAGGCTTCTGAGGCAGTCTGTCCACAGTGGAGTGGTGGTAACCTCAGTGGCCTCATCATCCAAGGAGATGGAATCTGAAGTTGGGTGTGAAGCAGCACTGAAAAACAATACCTTCTTTTCCCCAAATGAGTGCTGAACCAATTGGATAGGACAAATTGCAGATTTTTGTTTATGTCTTTGGGCAAAAAGATACATGAGTCGTGAGCCCTGGATTTAAATACTTACCCACCCTGGTATGGCAGTGCTATCAGCTACCAGCCTCCCTTGCAGGATGCCTCCTTCACCAGGCTACCCCAGGGCCGAGAGTGATGGAGATTGACGCCTTTGAGGGAGAACAAGGCAGACCTGTTTCTTATTCAAAACTCAACATTTGCCCAATAAATGGGCAGAGAAAGGCCAGGATTATTATGCTAATGGGTGTCCCTCCGTGTTGAAAAGACTTTAAGAGTGGAAAATTAGCCTTCTCACCCACAGTATGTGCCTTCCTATGACATCCATCCATTGGCTCTAGCTCCACTCTGTGGGATCTTATGCAATGAACTGTCCCTCAGGAGCCTTCAGAAAGCTGAAGGCATCTCTCAAGCTTCACAGAGACCCTCATCTTCTTAAAGTATTGTTTCAGGTGGGGCGCGGTGACTCATGCCTGTAATCCCAGCATTTTGGGAGGCCAAGGTGGGCAGATCATTTGAGGTCGGGAGTTCAAGACCAGCCTGACCAACATGATGAAACTCCATCTCTACTAAAAAATACAAAAATTAGCCTGGTGTGGTGATGGGAGCCTGTAATCCCAGCTAGTTGGGAGGCTGGGACACTTGAACCCAGGAGGCAGAGGTTGCAGTGGGCTGAAATTATACCACTGAGCTCCAGCCTGGGCAACAAAGCGAGACAAGTCTCAAAAAAAAAAAAAAAAAAAAGTATTGTTTCAGTCAACTGCACAGAGTTATTGCCGTCTATGTAAAAGTAGCTGAGAATAGAAGATGATCAATATTTTCTCCCTGATTTCCATGAGGGACACAGTAATACAACAAATTTATAGAAGGAGAGGAACACAAAACTGAGTTTATTTCGCATGTGGACAGAGCCATATAGATGTGTCTGTGATCACTCAACACTCGCTTGTAGGATCCTTTGATGCTGGAGCCATGCATAGGTGGAGAGGATGCTGGAGTTGTGGGTAGGTGGAGGGGATGCTGGAGTTGTGGGTAGGGGGAGGGGATGCTGAAGTTGTGTGTAGGTGGAGGGGATGATAGAGCTGTGGGTAGGTGGAGGGGATGATAGAGCTGTGTGTAGGTGGAGAGGATGCTGGAGTTGTGTGTAGGTGGAGGGGATGATAGAGTTGTGTGTAGGTGGAGGGGATGCTGGAATTGTGTGTAGGTGGAGGGGATGATACAGTTGTGTGTAGGTAGAGGGGATGATAGAGCTGTGCGTAGATGGAGGGGATGATAGAGTTATGGGTAGGTGGAGGGGATGCTGGAGTTCTGTGTAGGTGGAGGGGATGATAGAGTTGTGTGTAGGTGGAGGGGATGCTGGAGTTGTGTGTAGGTAGAGGGGATGATAGAGTTGTGTGTAGGTGGAGGGGATGCTGGAGTTGTGTGTAGATGGAGGGGATGATAGAGCTGTGGGTAGGTCGAGGGGATGATAGAGCTGTGTGTAGGTGGAGGGGATGCTGGAGTTGTGTGTAGATGGAGGGGATGATAGAGCTGTGTGTAGGTGGAGGGGACGATAGAGCTGTGTGTAGGTGGAGGGGATGATAGAGTTGTGGGTAGGTGGAGGGGATGCTGGAGTTGTGGGTAGGTGGAGGGGATGATAGAGCTGTGGGTAGGTGGAGGGGATGATAGAGCTGTGCGTAGGTGGAGGGGATGATAGAGCTGTGTGTAGGTGGAGGGGATGAGAGAGCTGTGTGTAGGTGGAGGGGATGAGAGAGCTGTGGGTAGTGAAGGGGATGCTGGAGCCTTGCAGAGGTGGAGGTGATACTGAACTGTGCGTGGGTGGAGGTGCTGCTGGCCTGTGTGTAGGTGGAGGTGATGCTGGAGCCCTGGGTATGTGGAGAGGATGCTGAACTATGCATAGATGGCGGGGATGCTGGAGCTGTGTGTATGTGAAGGGGATGCTGGAGTCTTGCATAGGTCGAGGTGATGCTGAGCTGTGTGTAGGTGGAGGTGCTGCTGGAGCTGTGTGAACGGGGAGGGCAGCAAGTACATACATGCATAATGGAACAGATACCTGGGTCAGAACATGACCTTGACCAGGTTTCTCAATTGCCTTCCCACTCCTAGGCCCACCCCTCAGTTCCAGCCCAGCAGCTTCTGCTCCTTTTTTCTCATTCTCAGATACACTCTGTGGAATGTCAATGAGGAGACAACATTGGTACCTTTGACTCCAATGGTATTAATAGAAAAAGTCATTTTTGAATTTTATATTTTAAATTTTTGGTGAGAAATATTTGCAGTTCAACTCAAAGCTGGTCACCACAATCCAGAGTACTGGGACACATAATTTAGGTATTACTGACTAAAAGCTCAGCAATTTGTGGCTGACAGAGAAGGTATTAAAGAGCCGGAAAGGTAAGTGATTTTCCCAGATTGCAGCTAGTTAGCAGCAAAGCTACAGCTGGCACAAGAGGCTTTGCTTTTCTTTGTAATTGATGAAGCTGGTTTCCTTTTTAAACCTGGACCCTGGCCTGAGTTAGAAGTTCAACTCGACTGTTTCCTGGATGTGTGAACACAGGCAAACTATCTAAACTGCCTGAAGCTCAGTTCAAAGAGGAAGTTCAGCATCGAGATGAAAAAGTCTGGGGGCTTCCAGCACCACATCATGTCTGGATTCTTGATCTGCCACTTTCTTGCCATTGAGACCTGCAAACATTATTTACCCTTTTAAGGTTCAGTTTTCCACTCTCCAAAATGGGTGTGAGTACTCAGACTCATTGCATAGAGTTGGCAAGAGAATTAAATGCTTAATACACATAAAGCACTTAATTCCTGACATTTAAGAGTCAAATAATAAGTGTTAGCTGTTTTTTATGATGATACTGTTTTCTTATCAGTGAAAATGGGATAATAATGTAAAACTCACTGAATCACCAAGAAGAGGAATCCAGGAACTAAGAATAGTACCAGGCACACAGCAGACATATCATGAACACTAGACTGTTAGTAGCATTATAGATTTTGAAGTCTGCTAAACCTAACATTTCTTTTTTCAATAAACCTCTGGAATATTAGAAGCCAATTCCATTTATGCATTCTTCCATAATTGTAACACAAACAATGCATTGATATTTCTCGGTTAAAAAATATGTCTTGCTTTTATGGGTCTGTTTGAATCATGTTGAAAAGTTATCAGTGTTTATCCCAGGCAAAGTTAAAATCAGGTTACATACATATTCCATATAAAGCATAAACAAGTATATTTATATAGGACATAAATTTCTATAGCATGATTATTATTGTAATCTAGGAAATCCTAATCCAAATCCCAAAATTGTGTGAATGTTCCACGATTCCAAAGTAGGAGGCGGTGAGGGTAAGCTGGACCCTGAGGCCAGGCCTCTATACATCAAGTCTACACTGTCGTGCCATTGCAGTGCCCTGTAGAGGATGCTATGACTCACTCATTCATTCATTCATTCACTCTTTCTCTGTGTATTCAGTGAAATCTAGGTGCCAATTGTTTCAGTTTCAAAGACAACCTGAAAAATAAAACTAAAAAGTAAAAATGTCTTTTTACTCCCAAAGTGTTCAGGGAGTATTGGAATGAGAGGTACAGGAAGAACTGGTCTAATGAAGTATGCATGAGGAGGGGATGATTGGAGAAAGTCACAGAGGAGGTGACATTTGACCTGCATCTTGGTGATGTGTAGGGTTAATTCAGAAAGACATTTCCAACGGCAAGAGCATAGGCCCTAAAGAGAAGTGCCACTAAAGCTCTGGAGGAAAACAAGAGATAGCAGGTGAGTCTGGAAATGTGATGCATTAAGGCAGCAGTCCCCAAACCTGGGACACAGACAGGTACTGGCCTGTGGCCTGTTAGGAACTGGGCTGCATAGTAGGAGGTGAGTGACAGGTGAGCCAGTGAAGCTTCATGTGTATTTACAGCCACTCTCCATCACTCACATTACCACCTGAGCTCTACATCCTGTCAGGTCAGTGGTGGCATTCGATTCTCGAGCATGAACCCTGTTGTGAACTGTACATGGGAGGGATCTAGGTTGCCCATTCCTTATGAGAATCTAATACCTGATGATCTGTCACTGTCTCCCATCACCCCCAGATGGGACCATCTAGTTCCAGAAAAACAAGCTCAGGGCTATCACTGACTCTACATTATGGTGAATCGTATATTACAATGTAATAATAATAGAAATAAAGTGTACAATAAATGTAATGCTCTTGAATCATCCCAAAACCATCCCCCATACCTTCGGTTCATGGAAAAATTGTCTTCCATGAAACGAGTCCCTGGTGCCAAAAAGGAGGGGGACTACTGCTTTAAGGTGTAAAGTCCTTGAATGGCACACAAAAGAATTCGAACTTTCTCTTACAAACAGTGGATGATGATATGACCCACTTGCACAGACAGGAGCGGCAGGTGGAAGGTAAGATCAGAACAGCAAGACACGTTAGATGGATATGTTTAATAATTCACGTAAGCAATAGAGACAGCTCAACCTGGGGCAGAGATAAGAGAATTTGAGAGGTAGAACCATCAAGACGTTCTGACAGGTGCTCAAAGTGAGAACGAAGTCTGGAATCTAGAAGAATCTGTTTTGTTCTTGGGTGTTGGGCAAAGTGGGGTCCATTCAGGAAGACCAGAGGGAAAAGAAGGATCTAGTGAGCTCCATGTAAGATGGTTTTGTGACAGCTTGGGAAGCCATCCAATCAGAAGTTTAGACAATAGACATCTAGAGCCCAGTGCAGGAATTAGATGTAGAGACATAGATTTGAGAGACATTTGCATAAAGGAAAGAGTTGATAACAAGCTAAGCTATGTCTGATTTGTATATATACTCTGTTAGGAAATAAAGGAATTAGAAAGTAAAACATCTTATCTAACAGTTATCAAGTACTAAACTGTAAACAAAGCACTCCATAAGCATTTTAACTAACTTTATCCTGACTTTCCTCATTAGGAAACTGGCACTTCCTATGTTAAAGGTCTAGCTCAGGCAACCTGCTAGTGAGGGAGCCATCCGTGAGTGAGGTACAGGCCTATTTGATTCCAGATTCTGCCTTCAAACCAAACTGTGTCCCTGCGGAGTTCCCCACTAAGTTAAAATTCATTCTTAGGCTTCTGAGTGGATCACTGTTGAATCTTAAGCTGCACCATCCATAGACACGTTCACCGAGGCCATCAATGAGCGTGTAAGCAAAAGTTCCTCTTAGTGTGCACTGACTTTACACTGGAGCATTACATAAGTCTGCATTTTGCTGGAATAATCTCATTTAATCCCTAATAGCAACCCTCTGATGCTGATTTCAGGACTGTGCCCTCTTTTCAGGTGATGCACCTGCTGTGTGGGGAGGGGAAGAAACCTCCCCAAGGTGACATTGGTAGTAAGTGGGAAAGCAAAAACGAAGACTAATTGGGCATGGCTCATGCCTGGAATCCCACTACTTTTGAGAGGCTGAGGAGAGAGGATCACTTAAACCCAGAAGTTCAAAACCAGCCTGGGCAACATCGTGAAACCTCATCTCTACAAAAAAATTAAAACATTAGCCAAGTGTGATGGTGCATGCCTGTAGTCCCAGCTACTCAGGAGACTGGAGTGGAAGGATCACTTGCTCTTAGGAGGCCGAGGCTGCAATGAGCCATGATTGCGCCACTGTACTCCAACCTGGGTAACAAAGCAAGGCCTTATCTCAAGCAAAACAAAAAAAAAAAAACAGACTGTTTGCCCTGTATCTCTTGTTGCAGACTCCATATTTAACCATACAAATATTTTCCCATTTGCAGTGGACTTACTTCAGTCTCAGAAGGGGAGAGGTGCCTTTTTTTTTTTTTTTGAGACAGAGTTTCATTCTTGTTGCCCAGGCTGGAGTGCAATGGCGTGATCTTTGCTCACCGCAACCTCCACCTCTCAGGTTCAAGCGATTCTCCTGCCTCAGCCTCCTGAGTAGCTGGGATTACAGGCATGTGCCACCACGCCTGACTAATTTTGCATTTTTAGCAGAGAGGGAGTTTCTCCATGTTGGTAAGGCTGGTCTCGAACTCCCGACCTCCTGTGATCTGCCCGCCTCGGCCTCCCAAAGTGCTGGGATTACAGGCCTGAGCCACTGCACTCAGTGGAGAGGTGCCTATTTTTTGTCCTGCTTCTGTTGTGGGGTAGGCCCAGGCCAGGGACCTTCTATTTGCCAGTTCATTCACAATGTAATGATCTGCCTGCCTGCTTGATTCTCGTTTTATTATTTAGGGGTTTCATTTCAGATTGCTGAAGAGTGTTGCTAAAATGTTACTGCTTTGTGCTAGGGAAAATGGCGCAGGGTTTTTCAATGCTCTTCATGCAATTCTAATGGAGGCACACTGGCCCGTCCACTCTGACACCGACTCTGCAGGTCTGCCCGACTGACTAATGGGATTTTCTGCAGTATATCGCACAGCTTCAAAAAGTCGTGCTGCTGAGCAATTTATGAAGAATGGAAGTTTTTTTGTTTTGTTTAGTTTATAATACTCTCTAGCCGTATATTTTTTTTTCAGGATTTCTCTTTGGATTAGCATTTTGACTTATTATTATTTCAATAATCATGCTGAATCAGCCTTGCGACGATTCCCCAAAGTTTTCTTAAAGTGTCCCTTGAAAAATCTCTATGACATTGGCATCTAGTTTTAAAAGTCAAACTTGATAAGAGACTTCATAGATTCCTTGCTACCTTTAATGTGTCCTGAAGCTTTGCAGAATGAGACCAAGGTGGTGAGACAGTGGCAGGTAGCGGGACCTGAAAATGGGATTCTAAGGACCGCTTGAAGTCAGCTGGGGATTCATGACTACTGTATTTGGTGCCTTTGTTAATCCCCTTTCTGCTTTCATTTCTGCTTAGTCACAGCTGTCAGAGACACTGCAGGACTTGAATGCCTCAGTCAAAGCAAGCGGAGCTTTGTCTAGCATGTGCTCTCTGCCAGGCCTGGTTTCAGAGGCAGGTGTGGCATGCTGAGAAAGGACAAGCTCGCATCAGCCCTGAATCCTGAGAAACAAAATTTCTGCTGCTGGCAAGCAGAGTGACCTTGCACATGTCACTCAGTTCTTTGAGCCATAGTCTTTTGATCTATGAAATGGAAATAAGAATTTCTATTATTATTGTTTGATCTAATCAGAAAGAATTCCAATATTTGGTGATAAAAGCAAGGAACAGAGAAATGTCCAGAGCATTCTCCAACTTATAAGTGTGTCAGTGCATGTTTTCAAGACATACACACATATAGCAAGCGTGTATACATATACAAAAGCATAGATGGGTAGTATTCCAGAAGAATCTACAAGAAAAAAATTATTAGGCTGGGGGGAATGGGACACTTCATGTTGTGTTTACTTTGATGATATTGATGGGGTTTTGTTTGTTTCACCGTATTTATATTCTATTTTGAAAATCAAAATAAGAGTATCGGCCTTTCATGGTACTTGCTGAAGATCAAAAGAGATAAAGTACAATAGGACTATCTAGATGCTTCATTAAGCAGTGGCTTCCTTCCTGCTCCACAGATCTAACTGGTCTGATGTGCTCCGTGCTGCATACAAGCCCTCCTAGACTTTCTACAGCCATACTGGCTTCTCTGTATTAAACCTTAATATAATAGGAAAGTTGTAGAAATGTGAATATATGGGTTACCCTGAATGCCTGGTGAGCACAGACAGGGCAGTTGGTTGAGTTTTCTGGTTCCAAAATGGACAAGTCTTCTGATTTCAAACGTTGCTGAATGTCTTAAGTTCAAATCAGAAAGAATTTGACAAGCTTTTAATCCAAGGCCAGACTTCAGAGCTGAGAAATGCAAGCCATGGAGGGTAAAGTTCTACAGAGGGTCTCTTCCCTGTACTCTGTGGTGTGATGTCCAGCCCTACCTTCAGACCTGAGCCATTCATTCCTCACACTACTGGGAATGTTGGTGGTCCACAGCAATTGGCTAAGTATGGAGACTGCCCTGTCTGGAGAGAGCTGCTCCCGCAAGGTTACACTTCCCTGCTAGGGTGATAGGGTTTGGCTCTGTGTCCCAACCCACATCTGATCTCGAACTGTAATCCCCATGTGTCAAGGGAAGAACCTGTAATCCCCACATGTCGAGGGAGGAGGTGATTGGATCATTGGGGCAGTTTCCCCCTCTGCTGTTCTCATGATAGTGAGTTCTCATGAGATCTTATGGTTTTAGAAGTGTTTGGAAGTTCCTTCTTTGCATTTCTCTCTCCTCATGCCATGTAATATGTGCCTGCTTCCCCTTCCTTCATGACTGTAAGTTTCCTGAGGCCTCCCCAGCTATGGAGACCTGTGAGTCAATTAAACGCCTTTCCTTTATAAATTACCCAGTCTCACGTATTTCTTTATAGCACTGTGAAAACGAACTAATACATAGGGTAACCCACACCAAGTACTGACCAGTGAATGGGTACAGAGACCTGGTCCTTGCCCCAAGGCCGGGTAACTCTGCAGGCCCAGCACTCCCCATGGCATCAGCTGAGGTCTCCGTTGTACCTGCAGGACAATGCAATGCAGTTCCTCCACCCATCCTGCTTTACAGCTGCACAGATATTGCTCCTGAGAGCACAACCCAGTGACCCTCTCCTGGTTTCTCATAGTCTCTCACCTAAGACAGTCTCAGAGGTATATGGCAGCAGGCCTGAGACTTCTATCCAAGTTTTCAAATTGGTAGCACCCTGCATCACACATGACAATCATTGTGGTACGGTGGTTAGAGAGGGTATAATAGTGCCCGTCATTATCTGCCTATACAACACCCTTGGGAGTGCAGATGATGTACAGACGTGTGTCGACTCCAGGAGACTTGCCCACCCACATTGGATCAACTCAGCCCTCTTGGATGGCAGCTAGGAGAAAGGAGACCAAGCAAGGCAGAAGGATCTCCAGTCATTGGCTGTGCAGACTCACTCGCAAAAGCCAAGGGTGAAATGCCACCAATTCCTCACCTGGCGTTTCTTCCAGCAGGCAGACAAGGTGGCCTGGGAACATGAAGAGCCACGGCCTCCTCCCGTCACGGCCATGTGAACAGTAGATGGGCACGAGCATACTACTCAAGGACTCCCATCTCTGTGCCCAGGCCTTTTCCCACACGATTCCTTTCTCTGCTCTAAGAACAAATCTCTTTGAAATTCACCTCAGGACATCCTTCTCTGTTGAGTTGGCAAGAAAAAAACTGTCCTGTTCCTTCCTTTTCATCATGCCTAGGTCTCCAAGTGCACTGTAGACTTAGGTGTCTTTTCCTCATTGGACAAATTACTTTGTAATTGTACCAGTTTAATCCATTCTATTTCTACAAACAAAATATAATGTACAGTGTTCTGACACTGCATGCTCACATGCAGAGCTGTTTACAGGTGTGCTTTCAGCATTGGTTACTTAACCTCACAACTTCTTTCTACATTACGATGACACTTTCTTTTCCTCCTTTTCAGCACGACCTACTGCTCACCCACCTGCTACAAGGGTCTTTCTAAATTTCTTCTCTCTGCAAAGGAGCCCACAGCCACCTGTCCCATGGCCTCTATAGTGCACCCTGCAGTAGTGGGGAAAGAAGGTTTGTGTATTAGTCCATTCTCAGGCTGCTAATAAAGACATACCCAAGGCTGGGTAATTTATAAAGGAAAGAGGTTTAATGGACTCACAGTTCCACATGGCTAGGGAGCCTTCACAATCATGGTAGAAGGTGAAGGATGAGCAAAGTCATGTCTTACATGGTGGCAGGCAAGAGAGCATGTGCAGGGGAACTGCCCTTTATAAAACCATCAGATCTCATAAGACTTATTCACTATCATGAGAACAGCATGGAAAAACCCCGCCCCCGTGATTCAATTACCTCCCACTGGGTCCCTCCCATGACATGTGGAGATTATTACAATTCAAGGTGAGACTTGGGTGGGAACACAGAGCCAAACCATATCAGCTTGTAAGTGGGGCCACTCGATTGTCTCAAACCTGTGAGGCCAATGTCCTCATCACCTTCATGATCATTCGTTATTATTGTTGCTATTTTATTATTTTAATTTGAATATAAGACAAAGGTGTGGCAGATTTCAGTGTTGTCTTGCCTGGAGGGATAAAGAAGCAATTCCAGCTCAGGACTCTCTTTTTCCTGGAATCTTCAACCATGTTCCAGTTTTACTCAGGATGGGGTCTGCTTCCTTCCCTGAACCTCCAAACATTTTGTGAATGTTGGTGCGGGTGGATGGAGCATCACAGCCCTGTGCTGCCTGGGCCAGGTGCAATATTCCTCAGCCTCTGTTTCTGTTTCACCCCTTAGGGAAGCTTCTACATCACCTCTGAGAACTGCATGCAGCACGCACACAAGTGGCACCGAGACCTGTGCCTGTTGCTCCTCCACGCTTACCGGGGTCTCCGTCTCCACTTCCTGGTGATCATGCGGGACATCCCAGAGCTGCCACACACGGAGCTGGGTAAGGGCCCAGGACAGGGGCAAGCCCATCCCAGCAGCTCATGTGCCTCCTCCACACAAGGGATGGGGAAAAGCTGGCATGCTTTTGTAAATGTCACAGGAATAACCCTGGTCCAGGTAGGTTTGGGCTGTGATTTTTATTATTCTACCAGGAGAGGATCTGGGAAATGCAAATGCAGTAAGAGAAGACACATGTTCCTCAAGGCACATTCATTCACTCATGCATTCATCTGCCAGACATCTATTGAGTACCTATTACACACCTGCCACTCCACTGCATAATTTTAGGTTGCTTTCTAGAGGAAAATGCTGGTTTATAGCCTTTTCTTAATTAAGCTGTAATTATGGAATTGTAACTTACAAGAGTGTAAAACAATCCTCATAAAAACTATATATATACACACACACACACACACACACACACACACACACACACACACATATGCATACATATATGCTTGAGCTGGATGATTATAGAAACTTCTTAGTATCCATTACATTTGGTTATCTGGGGATCAGTTGATTTTTGCACATGGATTTTCCAAAGATGAGACATCATGGAAATCAGTGGGCTTGAATCTCTGTTGATTGACAGACGATGGACCTGAAGCTCAGAGAGGTAAAAGCGTTGCTCAGCATCACACAGTAATGTGTGGCAGAACCATGACAGCTCAGGGATCCTGTGCTGATGCCTTGGGGCAGGGTCCTTTGTGTCATGTCCCACTCAGTAAAAATAGGTGATATGTTCTGGCTCTGCTCAAAGTTCTCTAATAAGGCCTCATTGACTCTAGAACAGAGGCGAAGTCCCCAGCTTGCTTTTCAACGATAACACCCATTTCAACATTAGAACCCTGCTGGGTACATTGACTTCCCTATATGTACCCCTAGACCTCAACTGCTGAGATAACTGTGGTTTTGACTGGGTCAATGGCCTTGTTCATTGTTCATTGCTGCACTGAAATCATCACGTAAAAAATTTATTTGCATGTTTTGCTTCCCAAATAGACTGAGGTCTTTAAGAGCTGATTCCCCTCAGATCCCTGCCACACTCTCTCCGGTATGTAGAGTAAAGGAGTAGGTACAGGGTTATAGTTGTTGAATTGAATCTGGAGCCTTCTTACTATAAGCTTTGTCAGCTCTCACATCATATACAAATCCTGTACTCAGGCACTACTCTTTGAATCATGCAATCACTGAATTTTTTCAAGTTCAAATCTTATGCATGCAGGAATGACCTGCACAGAATCAGAGTGACTTTATATAGCTCAAATGAAAAATGGAGATTTTTCAGTAGCAGTTGGATTCCTGATACAACTTTTTATATTATATTTTATCCAAAGGAGCTGAATTTATTTGTTCATTCACACCCTCATCATATTTTACTGGACATGTACTATGTGTCAGATATTGTGCTAGACACTGAGGATACATAGCCGTGACTAATGTATCAATAGTTCATTTTGCCTTGCGGGGTTCAGGGACCTGAGGTCAGCGGTGAAGTAGAGAGGTGTCTACTAATTAGGTCATCAGCAAGGACCGTAAGCTGCTAAGGGATTGTTTCCACTCAGCTAGGCAAGCATGCTTTAATTAAAATCCATGCCAGAGCCGTGTGCAAATGACTGACCACAGCATCATGGAACCAGAGGAAAGTTCAAACCCAGTCACAACTGTGACCATTAAAACAAATAGCCAGAGGCCACCTGGTTTCTGCTGATAAGATGGCCACATTCTTCAGTATCAGAGCTGGTGGAGCTGAGCAGGAGGTTCTCAGGGCTTCTGATATTTTATCTGTAAGATAGAGATTCAAATCCATCTTCCATATATGATGCACAGATGTATACCTGTGTGTGTGTGTGTTTGTGTGTGTGTGTGTGTGTGTGTGTACCTGCAAAAACAGAAATAAACGTGGAATCTCTCTGGGCCACACAAAGTGCTGTATGAATTTGGGATGTACTGCTTCTCATAACCGTGTGCATGAGGTGATATTGGCTTTTATCTAGTGCTCAGTCCAGTCCATGGCTCCAATCAGGTTCATTCTCCTGATAAGCACAGTCCCTTTAGGAAGTTAGAATAGGTAGAAGGTCCTCAGCAATGTGTTTGTCTCTGTGACGTTAATGCCAATGTGAAACTTTTGCTTTTTCATTTAATTAGCAACTGCTGCATTTCAGTGTGGGTTCATTTAATCACACAGTTTATTTTTTCTTTCTAGAGGCCCTTGCTGTTGAAGAAACACTTTCTCAGCTGTGCTCAGAGCTACAGGTAATTGGAGAACTGGCGCTGGGGTCTGAATGAATGGCAGTAGTTTTGCAAGGCAAATGCAGTTGCTTGCTTGCTGTAAAAAACAGAAGTGAAAAGACACCACTTGTAACTTCACTCTAGATACCAAGCTGGAGAAATATTCTTACATTCTGTTACCCTACATCACTGTGTTCTATAAGTATGTGCCTTGCTAGATATTTTGGAAAAACTAAACATGTTAACAGATTTTTGTTTCCCCGAAGCTTAGGCTACACATATGTATTTGTCCATTACCCATCCATTGAACAAACGTTTGTTGACTGGTTAACTCAGTGCTTCTCACTGTGGATGACAGAATCTTGTACCTGTGCACAGATGGCCTCAGACATGGCAGGGAGGCTAGAGTCAGTGATGATCATGAAAACAGTCACATGCATTTGCCAACAAAGCCTCATCAAGCGTGCATTAAGAGTAAAGGCTGAATAAATATTTGACAAATGCATGCTGCTGCTATTTACAATCTCTGGAACACTTTTACATCCCCCTTGTGTTAGATATCTGGGTGGGTACTCTTATTTCTCTATGAAGAAGAGGCAAATCAAGATTGGAAAGAAGTCTATACCAGGGTGACTAACACAGCTAATCAGTACTAGAAGCAGGACTCAAAGTCTCATCCCCCAAACTGACACCTCTGTCTGTTAAACCAGTGTTTCTCAACTTTGTCTGTACATTAGAATCATCCTTGGAACTTTAATGATGCATCTTTGCCTGAGCCTGGGCATACAAACTGGCTGAAACAGAGTATCTGGGATTGGAGTTCAGATACTGTGTTTTTATTCAAAGCTCCCCAGATGAATATTATGTGCAGCCAGGGTTGAGCACCCCTGCTTTAGGGCATGTTACAAAGTTAGTAAAATCCAGTCTCACAGTGAATGCAGAGGAGATCCCTGGAGAGGGCGGAATGCGGAGGCAGAGACAGAGGAGGGTGTTGGGAGCCTAGAGCTGGAGGGCCTTTGGGGAGGGGCTGTTGGACGGCAGCCTGGGAGAAGGGGTGGGACTTGGCTTGTAGCGATAACAGGGAAACACATGCCAAGCACTGATTATCAAAAATGCAGGGCCAGCAGACTGTAGGAGGGCAACACAGGAGTCCATTTAGAGAGTGTGTAAAGGCCACTGAGACGAGTCAAAGGCCTAATGTCCACACTTGGGGGCTCATATGCTCCGACTCTGCTGCAGCATTGACGGTGTGTGGATGAGCGGGCAGCTGGGTAGACAGGAGGCCCTGGGCTCTAGATGGCTACAGCTCTCATCCTTCCCCGAGTGAGCCTCAAGGCAGCCACTGTGTTAGGCAGGGGCCAGAAGCGTCAAAGCCATGCTGGCGTGGGTTTAAATCCAGGCTCTGAGCTTCTCCTTGGAGCAGCTGTGGGACCTGAGACAATGGGCTCACCCTCTGGGGCCTGGGATTCCTCATCTACATAGTAGGTTTGTTCTGAGGGGACCGCTAGAGAGCTCACGCAAGGACCCTCCTAAGTGCTCTGCTCATGGGGTCTGCTCTTCTCTGGTGAGATGGCCTCTCCTTCCAGGGCTGGCTCGGGCTGCCTCAGGCTCCATCCCCTGAGGGCCTGGCCGGAGCCACGTACCTGTGGAGGTGCAGCTCAGCATCCCAAGGGGAAACTGCTTTACTCTGTAAATTATCAGAAATTTAGTTTTAGCAATTGAAACAACAACAAGGAACACAGGAACAGGCAGCTTTCCAACTCGGCTTTTCCATTTCCCATCACGAGATCAGGCTGAAGAGCTGATTCGTGACTATTTGTCAATACGCCCACTCTCTTTCCTTCTGGGTGTGGCCTGCAGGTTCTCCGTGTTGTTTTCTGTGCCTGTTATGTTCAGGTTTCCAGGAGTCTCTCTTCCCTAGTCCGGGATCACCATAGCACCAGCATCACCGACTTATATTTAATCAGCAGGGATTCTCAGCCTGGCACAGTTCTAAGTGCTTGTCAGTATAATCCCCTTTAATCTTTCTATAGCCCCTGAGATTTCACCATTACCAAAGCATTTGTCCAAAGTCATCTGGTAAGTGGTGGGAGGAATCGGTGCTCACATGCAGCAGGCCTTCTGCCTCCAGAGCCCCAGCTGTGCGGTCGTGAGGGCAGGCAGGGACCACTGCCTGTTTTCTCCTTATACGTCACGTGGTGGTGGGTGGTGGCTAGTGGGTGGTAGTGATGGAGAATCCTGTATTGCAAAGATTATGCACGTCGGAGCCAGGGAGACATGGCTTTGAATTCTCTACCTACTCACTGTGTGACTTTAGGCAAGTTGCTTAATCTTTATGAACCTCGATGTTCTTATCTGTAAATGGGGATAAAAATGAATCTGTTTTCACCGATACAACCACCCAATGGGTTCATTTTACCCACTGCCTAGACAGAGCTCATTTAGCAAGACGGGGATAGCAATAGAGAAAGAGTAATTCATGCAGAGCCAGCTGTACAGAAGCCCTGAGTTTTATTGTTACTCAAATCAGTCTCCCCAGGCATTTGGGGATCTGAGTTTTTAAGAATAATTTGCTGAGTAGGGGCCAGTGAGTCAGGAGTGCTGATTGGTTGGGTTGGCGATGAGTCCAACTGTCCTCTTGCGCTGAGTCTGTTCCTGGGTGAGGGCCACAAGACCAGATGAGCGAGTTTATCAATCTGGGTGATACCAACTGATCCGTCAAGTGCAGGGTCTGCAAATATCTCGAGCACTGATCTTAGGTTTTACAATAGTGATATTATTCCACAGAAGCAATTTGAGGAGGGTCAGAATCTTGTAGCCTCCAGCTGCATGACTCCTAAGCCATCATTTCGAAGATTTTGGCTAATTTGATAGTCTTACAAAGGCAGTCTAGTTCACCAGGCAAGAAGGGGGTTTGTGTTGGGAAAGCGCTGCTATCTTTGTTTCAAACTGTAAAGCAAGTTCCTCCTAAAGGTAGTATGGCCTATGCCCAGGAATGAACAAGGACAGCTTGGAGGTTAGAATCAAGAAGGAAGTGGTTAGTTCAGGTCTCTTTCACCATCTCAGTTATAATTTTGCAATGGTGGTTTCATTGATGCCTTTTTCTCTTAGCCAGTAAGCTGGCACATTGGCTAGTTGCCTGGCTACATTGTGTGGATTTTCTCATGCAATTGATAAAACAATTCTATAAGATAAGCCATCACATTCTGTTCAGTGGACGAAGAAACAGGGCTTGACTCACACCCTGACTAAAGCCACAGTGCCGGCAAGCAGAACAGGGTGAGGCTGCTGGTCCCTGTGACGCTGAGCCCTCCCCAGTGTGATGCAAGCCCAGGAGGCAGCATCGGTGCAGGGAATAGAGATGAAGTCCATGAGGTCTGGCCCTGTGCAGTAAATGCAGAAAATGCAAACCATCATGTCTGGTGCAAGTATTTATCAAATGATGGGGGCTTTGGCTTGTCATTTTTTGTGGTCATAAAGTAGAGTTTGGTGATACTCATGCCTTTGGCAGGGAATATGGTTAAATGTCCAGGTTCCTTTTGTCTTCGTGGCAAAAAGGATCAACGTTTTCCTGGGAACGACTGCCATTCATCTTTTGGCCCATGAGAATTTTTATTAATTTCACAAACATTTCCCAAGCCCCCAGTGCTTCCCAGATCCGGTGTTCTTCAGGTCTCAACCATGGGGACTCAGTGGTGACCCCTTGCTCATGCAGCACATAGCCTAGGGAGGTGATTTGTTCACTCTGGAACTTCTACTGCTTAGAAGGGCTCCTGGCACCTAGAAGCTCCGAATAAATGCTAGAATGAATGGATGGACAGTAGAAAAGGTGAGGAAATGACTGACCCTGGAGCCACTAATGTCATACCCTTGAGGCTATTGGCCCATCTACAAAAGGAGCTTGGACTCAATATGTTCATTTACTGATCCAATGGACCAGTGTGTGGTATTGTCCTGCGTTATGTGTCACCTCAAAAGTAGTGGGTGAAGGCTTCTGCCCAGACTGCAGGGCACAGTCCTGAATCAGCCAGCTGGCTGTCCAGCATTGGGCAGGCCATAGGAGAATGAAGTGGGGTCACAGGTGCACAGTGCTCAGAACAGAGCTTGGGGCAAAATGCCGCCACCAGTGTCACTGCTGTCCTTGACATTGTTCTCCTATTCCATGGGCCTGGTGTTGATGAAGAGAGTCAAACTCCATAAAATATTAGAGGAGATTTATTCTGAGCCAAATATGAGTGACCATGGCTCATGACACAGCCCCAGAAGATCCTGAGAACACGTGCCCAAGGTGGTCAGGCTATAGCTTGGTTTTTTGCAGTTTAGGGAGACATAAGACATCAGTCAGTACATGTAAGATCTGCATTGGTTTGGTCCAAAAAGGTGGGGCAACTCAAAGCTGGGGGAGCAAGGCTTCCAGATCATAGGTAGATTCAAAGATTTTCTGATTGGCAATAGGTTGAAAGAGGTTATCTAAAGACCTGGAATCAATACAAGGGAGTCTGGGTTAAGATAAGGGGTGGTGAAGACCAAGTTCTTATTACGCAGATGAAGGTCTTTAGATAGCAGGCTTCAGAGAGAATAGATGGTAAATGTTTCTTGTAAGACTTAAAAAGGTGCCAGACTCTTAGTTAATTCTCTTCCACATCAGAAAAACAACAACAACTACAACAAAAACATAAAGGGAAGGAGATTCTCTATACAATGTAGATTTTCGCTTAAAGACGCAGCTTTGCAGGGTTCTTCCAAAATATGTTAAATAACTATATCTTAGGGTAAAATACTTCAGTTTCTTTCAAGGGCCTGCTGTCTGTTGTGTTGGTATTTTCTTGCTACAAGGAGTCTGTTTTGTCAGTCTTAAGCCCTCTGTTTTAACATTATAATTTGCTGGTCAGCTGTGCCTGAATTCCAAAGGGAGGAAGGTATACTGAGGCATGTCCAGCCAACCATTCCTATCATGGCCTGACTAGTGCTTCAGGTTTGCATCTGAATGCCCCTGACCAAGAGGAGGGGTTCATTCAGTAAGTTTGGGGGCTTAGAATTTTATTTTTGATCTACAGTGGTGAGGGTTGTGGATGTGGCCATTGCAGGTGTAATTGGCTGGGGCTGGCATTGCAGGTGCTAAGAGAATTTACCAAGACAGTCATAGGTAAAGAAAGGCAGGTTTATTAAAGTACGAAGGTATGAAGATAAGTTGCAAGGGTACCACAGGCAGCGGAGCAGACGAGGGGCTGTCTGCAAAGAGTCAGAGACTGGAGGGAAGTTTAAAAGGGCCATGCTGGAAGGGCTCCATGCAGATAAGGTTGTGCTGCTGGGGCTATATGCAGAACAAGGTATTTGGGAAAAGATGTTGTGCCAGCAGGTTGTCTGTGATTAGCCATGTCTCAAAACAATTGTTCTCCCGCATCTGGGACCCCTTCCTTGTTGTTGCTGACTTATCTTATTAGGACTCCACAATGGATACAGGTACCGTATTGAAGCAGGAAATTTTCCCTAACCCCTTCGTGGGCAGGAACTGGAGCGTAGGCACTGGAGCTAGCTGGCTGCTTCTGCACCAGCAGGGGCAAACTCCACTCACTCAAACCCATTGAGCTCAACCCCTCACAGGAGGTGAGCAGGTACAGGAGCTGGGGTGAGTACTTTGGGATGCTCAGAGGGGCAAAAGTCCATGTGGGCCTCACAGCAGCATCTAGAGGGGAGTACCCATGACCCCCAAAGTCCCAGAAGGAGTGTTACAGTCAGTGCTCTTTTAGCTTTGCCATGTGCGGATGGCTTAAGTGTTAACAGCTCAGTTAACACTTTTTCGCATGAGGTGGTTGCTTTCCGCCAATGAGGGCAGACGGTAAAACAGCCTTTTGCATCCACACCTGTGGTACGCGAGCTCTTGTTTGGCATCCAGGAAAAATGAGGTTGAAGTGATTGAAGGATGGTGAATGAATTGAAGAGTGGTGAATGCGGAGGCTTGCATTGCTGATGAAAGTGGCTCTCAGTGGGAAGGGGAGCTGGAAAGGGCATGGAGCGGGAAGATAATCTTCCCTCAGGGTTTGGCCATCCCCAGCCAGATGCCTCTGCGAAGCAACGCTGTCAAGCCATCCTTCTGAAGTCAAGCTGCTTCTCTCCAGCGTGCAACCATAGTCTCTGGGGAGGCATCCAGCTGCTTCTCCTCTTCTCCTCTCTCTGTTGGTATAGCCTGTTGGTTTTTATGGGCATAGGATGGGGGGTGGGGCAGGCCATGGATGGTTTTGAATAAGGCAACATTCAAGCAGGAAAACAGAAATGCATGTTCTTACTTTGGGCAGCAGTTCCAGGACTGAGGGTGGGGCCCTTGCCAGGACCTTCCCTCTTCTGCCCAGAATTTTCCTGTCTCCTGTCCCTGTCAGTATGTGGTAGAGGGATCCCAGGTTGATGTGTCACTAAGTCTACCCAGGAAAAGGCTGACTCCAGTGGACCTGAGAGAGGAGGCTAGGTTGCAGCCAAGCCTGGAGAGAATACGGAGCCTCTCTTCTGTTTGCACAAAGGCGGTAGATGGAACCTGGAAGCAGCAAGGCGTGAGGTGCAAGGCTGTGCTTGTGGAACAGTGGGCAGGGCTGCAGGAAGGCAGGGCATGGGATGACTGAGGCTCTGTGGAGAGATCCCAGGCTTATAGTGAACAGGCCTGTGTGCCCCAGGCACCACGGAGCTGAAACACATTCCCAAGTCACAGAGAGCCATGAGGAAGGAGGCTGACAAGCTGTGTAGAGAAAGGAACTACTAGGATTTGTCTGTATCCACAGACACTTTGACACCAAATGCGTGGAGGCTTTCCTCACACCAACAACCTTGCCAACTCTCTGACATGAGCTGGATGTCCAGTGATCCAATTCAAACTCAATCCTGTCTACCTGGGTTCAGCATTAGATCCCACTGGTTAGGGGTGCAGCCCCATAAGACAGGCCTCACTTGAGGTGCAGGTTGTGAGTCCTGGGCCTGCAGTACTTCTGACCAATCAGCTTTACATCAGGGATTCCTATGATGCCCTCCTCTAGGTTAATAATTTGGTGAATGGCTCAGAGAACTCAGGAAGCCCTTTTCTTACTATACCTGTTCTATGATAAAGAATATTGCAAAGAGTGCTGATGCACAGCCAGATGAAGAGTTCCACAGGGCGAGGTTTGCAAGGAACCCAAGTGCAGAGACCTCTCACCTGTAGAGCTCCTCCTAGCAGTTGAAGGCGTCCTCAGCTGTACACCATCCTCCTAGCAGGTGAGTGTCCTCACCTGTACACCATCCTCCTAGCAGGTGAAGGCATTCACTAACCCAGAACCTCTCTAAGACCCATCCCTTAAAGGTTTTATGGAGGTTCCCTGATATTAGACACAATTGATTAAATCATTGGCCATTGTTGATTAGCTCAGTCCCCAGCCCCTCTCCTTTCTCCAGAGATCGGGGCCGGGCTCAAAGTCCCAACTCTCCAATCATGGATTGGTCTTTCTGGCAAACAGCCTCTACCCTAAAGCTATCTAAAGGTCTGTCAAGAGTCACCTCATTGGCACAGGCTCAATTAGCATATGTTTGAAAGGAATTTATGAATAACAAAAGATGTTCCTATGACTTCAGAAATGTCAAGGGTTTTATTAATAGAAGCTCTGTGACAGAAACTGTGGAGAGAGATATGTATGTATGTGTATGTATATATATCATATGGGGGCTAGAGGCTCTTGGCCCCTAAAGACCCAATTTCCCAGTGAGTTACAGAAACTTACACACCACCTTAAGGTTACAGAAAGATGGGGGCTTAGATTCTGGCAAACCAGGTTATGGGAGGGAGAGAAGAGGCTTGGCCAGCCAAGGTGGCCTTGTTGTGTAGATGAAGTCTCTCTCACAGAGAATAGGTGGCACATGTTCATTTTCAGACTTTTAAAGGTGTGGAACTCTCCATCCCTCCTGGATCTTGGGAAAGGCATGAAAAAGGGAGGGAGCCTGGCTTCATTATTAGAGGTTCTCTGCAGATACGAATTTTTCCCACTTAAGGCAGTTTTGCAAGATCACTTCTGCCTGGTGGCCAAGCAGCAGCCTTTTCAAAACATGTCAAAGAAATATGTTTGGGAGTAAGAAATTTTAATTTCCTTCCATCACAATACCATACAAGGAAAGGGAGTGAATCTTGAGGCAGGAACTGATGATTAAGGTTAACTGCAGTCACTGCAACAATGACAATACCAACATACCTGGCCTAGGGAATGCTGGCTCCCTGCCCATGGTTCACCAGGCTCTATCCTTGCTGCAGCCCTGGGAGTACAAGGAGGGAGGTACTCAAGTATCCCCAGTCATTTTGCTTTAAATGGACACAGAGAAATGTGGCTTCCTTAAAGTCCACGAATCACCAAGGGGTGGGCCCAGGGCCTAAACACAAGGCCACCTGTATTCCATTGCAGTGCTATCTTGTCTGTTTCCCACAATGGTTCTAGTGGGAGATTCAGGGGTTAGGACGCAGGCTGCCAATGACTTGATCAAGTATATTTTATGAGAGGTCAACTAATTGCCTTCCTCTTCTAGGGCGGTGCCCCAAGCTGCAGGACTACCGGCTCTTGGTTTTGAGTGACTGCATTGCCACAGGCTTTACTTTATACAAAGCAACTAAATTAGCCAACTGCTGCACGGATGTGGCTGGATGAAGAGGGTGGAAAGGGTGTATGGGGGTGTGCTTCCGCCTACTCCTTGGTTTGGTAAAGAATTGGCCGGTCATTGCAATGGAAGAAACAACACCCGCTTCCCAAAAATCCCTGAAGAGCAAGCTAAGTCAGCAGCACTGTTTAGAGGTAGAGCATCGCCAGCTCCTGGTCTCCCCCACTCCTGCCAGTGGTGGGGGTGGGAAGGTGTTTTGGGCGATTTAAAGCAATTTGAAGACATAGAGCTCTGCAGTAATGGAGTGATGTGGATGAATCTTTACTCCATACAATTCTTATAAATGTTTACTTAGCATCTACTGTGTGCTGACCACTGGACTATTCATTGGTTATACAAAGATGGAAGATACCAAGCAGGACTTACTTGCAGCTCAATGAGAAATAGATTTGTTCACAGATAAGGTGGACCCTGCTGATGTGGTCAGTACTGGAACCAGGGAGCGAGAGGTGAGGGGCTGCAGGAGCAAGGAGGAGCGGGCACCTTATCTTGCCTGGGGAGGCCGGCATGGAGCCTGGGACATTGCCCTGAAGGAGTGGGGGGTGTCAGACACCAGTCAGGGAAGGACCCTCAGGGCAGAGGGAACAGCCGTGCAAAGCCCAGGGTAAGGGCCCACCAGACTGAAGCAGCGTGGGTACTTGGGTCCCACCTAGGTGGAGCTCAGGTGGGGATGCAGGGCAGGCTGGAGAGGGGAGTTGGAGCAGTTGGTGAAGACCCCTGCTGTGAAGCCTGATTAGGAAGTGGGGTGTACTCCTCACAGAGGACCTGCAGGTTCTAATGAAACTCAGACATGTGCTTTGGTACAAACAAGTTCAACACATGCTGAGTATCAACTGGAGAGCAATGTTGCTGTTGTTGTTTAATTTGTTATAATACAGCAACGGAGGTTTTCTATAACACAAGAGAATTCCCTGGTTGCCCCCCAGTAAACTTCTGGGAGATCCCAAATTGTCACGTAGTCTTTCCCAGAGCTATACCCTCCTAGCAGGGACTACTAATGATAAGTACAGTTACTAAGCATCAGTGAGCAGCTTCTGACTGTGGGCAGCCTGTTTTGTTGGTTTTGGGGAGTGGCGGAGATTGCGTATTTGGGGTTTGTTTCTTTCATTTGTTTGTTTGCTTTGACCAGTCCTCTTGTCAGAGGGTCTTTAAATGCATTGTTTCATTTAACATCCTTTTGAAGTCCGTGATTCTAGAGGACACTCAGATCCCATGAGGCCCAGTGGCTTCTCGAGTTTCTGCTGTGAAGGAGCTGATCTCAAATTCAAGGGGGTAAAGAGCATAAGAGGCACTCCGGGACACTATCTACCTTCCAACAATGAGTGAAGGAAAGCCATTCCTAGAAACTGAGCACCTAGTCTGCACTGGTCCCATTGATTAGTATGTTACATGTGTGCTCCATGGGTCCTCGTTTTGATGCTGTGATGTAGGTTTTATTAGGCCTGATTCCTAGTGGGGAAACTAAAGCTTTGGGGACTGGCTGTCCACTGTGGTCACTGTTACCTCTCCTTTCCCTGTCCCGCAGGTCAGGGAATTCCTGGCGCTAGGACTTCACAGCACTAACTCTAGAGGGCGACTCTGAGCTTATTGAGAGCCTGCCCAGGGCAGCCCAGAACACCAAGCTCAGCTGGAGGCAGCTGGTTTGAGAAAAACCAATTTCTCTTTCCAATTTTAGAACTTCTCACACTTTAATGTGCACATGAATTACCTGGGGATCTTGTTAAAATGTGCATTCTGATTCTTTTGAGCTGAGGTGGGGCAAGAGATTCTGCAATTCCCACTAGTTCCCTGGAGATGATGGTGCAGCTGGGATATCGTGTATGGCGGTTTGAATAGTGTGTGTTTGAACTCTAAACCTTCACTGGGGGTCGCCCTTTAGGTGGACATCCAGCAGGCACATAGCTGTCTCCTGGTCCCCCTCTGCCATGCCGTGAAGCTGGACACAGGGTTCAACTCTTCTCTGCCCGGTCTTTTCTGCAGCAGTGCACACAGAGCATCTCTCCAGAGGTTCCAGGGGCCTTGGCAGCAATACCCAGACTGCCTTCCTATGGCCCGTCCCATGGAATGGGAAAGCTTCTGGGCCCAGTGAGACCTCACCACATGTCAGGATCACTCTTCACAGGGACTTCTTCTGTAACCACAAGGCCCCGTATGGGGGAGCCCTTGTCTGACTCATCTTTTGCGTCGCACATCCTCCCATACAGAGTGTGCTGCAGGAAGCATGGAAACCAACACAGGGACAACTCTCACTGTCCTGGTTACAAGCTCCTGCTAGTTCCTGTTCACCTGCAGGATGAAGGCCTGATTGCTTAGGATGGAAGTCAAAGCCAAGGACATGTGATGCTCCTCTCACCTGTCCCTGAGGTGCCCCAGCCCTCCTGCACACCTTGTATTTCAGACCTTCAGGGGGCAAAAACAGTATCTTTCTGCAAGCTATGGCCTCTGCCCGGGCTATCCCATCTCACCTTGTTTTTATTCCTGACACAATCCTCATCAGCCTGCAAAGCCCAAACCAAAGGCTGACTTCTCAGGAAACCATCTGAGATCCTGGGATCTGAGAGCTCCCGGTGAGCTCCTGTGTTTCATGGTGCCTTGCTCCATCCCAGCCATGGCTCAGTTTAGTTTAAGGATTTGTGTTACTTTGTTCCTGCTCCACTGAGCCGTGAATTCCTGCATAGAAGGGACTGAGTTCTATTTATATTTGGAGGCTGTTATGAAAACATACTAAGCGTGCTAAATATTTGCTGAAGCAAAACTGCAAAACGTGTCTCCAAATAGCACCAGGTAGAGAATAGATCCCAAAGTAATTATCAAACTGAACTCAACAAGATGTTGGATTTCATTTTTCATTGATAGAAAGTCTCCCGGAACAACTTGAATTTTCTTTCATCCACGTCACCCTTGGTCCAAAGTCATGTAAGTGGATGCACTTGCAGAACTATTGCTATGCTGTTGTTATAAAAATCCTTGAACATCGGAAGGAAAAATAAATTCTCAATGAAGGGGGTATTAAGTGAATCCCATGCCAGAAGTCTCCAGGTATATCCTGTGAGTTTAAAGAGTCTGATACATGCAAAGTTTGCAGGAGATTCCTCCTGTCGTCTGCAAATATATATTGAAGCGAGTTGAGCAGACCTGTGAGCATGCTGTTGTAATACATGCAGTGGTACAGGGGCCAGCATGCAGGTCTACACAGCATGTAGAGGGGTTAATGAGAGGCTGCATTGCTTGGCAACTAAACAGAGCTTTGGAGCTGGACTTCCTGGGTCCAGACATTGCCTCCCACTTACTATCTGTAATCTTGGGCATGTTGCTCCACCTTCAAGTGCCTTAGTTACTCCATCCATAAATTAAGACTGATAATATTAGATTTATGGGTAGGATTACTATAAGGATTAAGTAATTAAGTACATTAAAATTTCTGCAAAGCTCTTGGCACACAGTGCCTTGTAACTCTCAATTGTCAGTGTTGCCATTGTTATTCTTAGACCGCCCCCCCACCCCCCTTGTATATGTAGGAGAGGGCACCTGGGTGGATGGCACTGAACTGAGATCTAAAACAGGAGTGGACATCGCAGGTGTGTGTGTGCCTGAGTGTGTATGCACACAAGGTGTTGGGGAGGGATTCTGGATGAAGATGAGGACATGCACGAAGGCAGGGGTTGTGACCAAGCAGGGGTTTGCAACCCTGGCTGCCCATTACAATCACCTGGGAAAACTTTACAAAGGTTTAATGTTTAGGCCACACCCTCAGAGAATCTGAGACGGGCCCAGACATTGGTGGACTTATAGCCTCCTAGTGATTCCGATGGGCAACCATAATTGAGGACCAGTGAGAGAGCGCGGTTTGTTCATGGAATGTAAAGCAGGCTTCTCTTGACTTAATGTCTATTCACCTTGAAGATGTAATGTAAGTATCACCTCCTCCAGGAAGCCTTCCATGACCTTTCTACAGTACTCAGTATATATCTCTTGCACAGTAGTTTACAAGTATATTATAATTATCTAATTAAATAGCTATAACACGATCATACACCTCTTCCTGGACTGTATGCATTTATGTTTGGCTCCCCAGAGCTCGGCACACCGCTGGGACAGAACCAGCACTCAGTTGGCAGAGCAAGGGAGTAGGGGAGTGAACAAAGGTGCTTGGTTAGCACCCAGGTGACGAGGGTGAAAGTGTGGCAGGCGTGGATGGCAGGGCCTTTTTTCAGGGAGTTTCAGCTATGACAGCTCTGGGCTGCAGCTGCCTCTTTGTTAGTGTAAAGGGCCTCCTCGGTCTCTGGAAAAAACCCTTCCAAGCTCGCCATCTGTGATTGCACAGGCTCGGGCATCTGTGGAGTAGAAAAGTCCTCTTGTGGCTTAATTAGAAGCTTCTTTAACCTTATCTAAAGCCATTTCTATAATCAACTTGAGGCAACATAATCCTCCCAAAGACACATTTAATGAATAGCTTTTCTTTTTTCTCTTGTTCACTCTGGTGGCGGAGCTCAGGATTCGTGCTGTGTTTGCCGGTGCCACTGTGGTGGCAGCGTGGTAGTGGTGCTGTGAGTGAGGGAACAAGGAGGCCGGGAGAGGCAGTCTGAGTTCCGGAGGCCTGGGACACCTCCCACGGACACCGAGCCACCTATTCATTTTGTAAAGAGTCACTGACCCTCACTCTCTATCAGCTGTTGTGCTGGGGCTGGGAATAGTGAGAAGGCTGAAGCTCAAAATGCAGGGGATGTAGGAAGTGAAGCCAGCAACATGTGGGTGGAGGTGCTATGAGTGGTGCCCGTGCAGGTCAAGTAGACGTCAAGAAGGATCTTAGACTTACACGCGGAGCATTGGAGAAGGTTCAGAAGAGTCATCAGAAGCAATATGGACTGTGTGTGGACTCTCTGAATTTAAAACAAAAGTTGAAATTATTTAGAGAAAAAAAAAAGAAACAAGGAGACACAAAATTGGCTTCTGAAATGGTTACCTGGTAGAGGACAGACAAGTCCATAGTGATGAAAAGAAGAAGAAAGGAAACTGGAAGGTGACGGGGGAAGGTGCGCAGGGAGACCAGCAGCCTGAACAAGGGCCTGGGATTGGAGAGGACCAGGTGTGTGTGCAGCCCACTGCCAGCAGGTTGGTATGGCTGGGAACGGGAGTGCACTGGGCCAGGATGGGAAGTGGGCAGAGGTGAGGTGGGGGGCATTTTCAGGAGCAGTTGTGCCACGTGCTGATGCATAAGGTTGGGTCTTATTAGTGAGAGGCACTGGTTCAAGAATCTATATAGAAGTCACTTACAGTTCATCCAAAAGCCTCACTCTCTAGCCAGGAGGTTTTGTAATGACTGACCCTGTCCGCCATATTCCCCATTCAACTTTTACTTTTCTTTTCTTCTTTATTTTTTTGAAACGGAGTCTCACTCTGTCTCCAGGCTGGAGTGTAGTGGTGCGATCTCGGCTCACTGCAACCTCTGCTTCCCAGGTTCAAGCAATTCTCCTGCCTCAGCCTCCCGATTAGCTGGGACTATAGGCACCTGCCACCATGCCCGGCTATTTTTTTTTTATTTTTAGTAGAGACAGGGTTTTACCATGTCGGCCAGGATGGTCTCGTTCTCTTGACCTCGTGATCCGCCTGCCTCAGCCTCCCAAAGTTCTGGGATTACAGGTATGAGCCACCATGCCCGGCCCCAGTTTTTACTTAACACTTTTGACCATGATGTATGGGAATGGGCCAAGAATGGCCATTCCCTGTTTGACCCCTGCCTGCCCCAGAGCCAGTGCTGGAAGTAAAGCTTCCATCAGAAGAAAATGCAGGCGATTCCCTCATTTTGGGGTTTCATAGCTTGTGTCATCATCACAGACTTATCTTACCTTTTGGAAGAAGTAGCTCAGAGATGATGCTGTGGCTGAATGATGTTCTGTATCTGGAAGCAAGTCATCCATGATAAAGCAAAAATATGCAACATTTACAGAACCTTACTGTGTGCCAAACTCCTCCTTCCCTCTTTCTTACTCTTGGATGTCTCACTTTACCCAATTGGTCTCTATCTAGCACTAGTCTTCAGTCTAAGAATAGCAGAAGAAAATTCCAGCATTTCAAGCTAGGCATTGGACTTGGATCTCCTCATATTTTACACCCAAAAGCAGTAATTTGTTTTGCATACTCACTTTACAGATGGGAAAACTGAGGCACAGGGCAACGAAGAGAAAGGAATGGGATTGGATGTGGCTATGGCTGTGTGTCCCTGGTCTATTGTGCATAGTAGAAAGCTCCGCGGCACTTTTAATTGTTAACTCACATTAATGAGTGGAAATATCCACCATTGAACAAAGCTCCCTACGGACAGAGACCCTCTCTTGTTCATCTCTGAGTTCTCTCTTATTCTAAACATGTGCCTGGGATTAAATGCTTGAATAAGTGAGGAAGCTTAGAGGTCAGTGACAGGCTTTGGCAACTGGCTTCCTGCCATCCTCAGAGATGTGACCTCTCTTCTCACCTCTCCAGAATTCGAGTTACTCCCCCAAAAGATGGTTCTCCTGGTATTAAACTGTAGCTATCTAAAGCATTTCTGTCCAAAGGGTCTTCTCCCAAAGCCTCTAGGCCCTTTCTAGTCTAACTCCTCTACATTTTAGTTAATGTAACCAGGAATCTCCCGTAAGAAATGTGGAGTGAAGCCAGGTGTGATGGCTCATACGTGTAATCCCAACACTCTGAAGCAGGTGGATCACTTGAGCCCAGGAGTTCGAGACCAGCCTGGGCAACACAGTGAGACCCCGTCTCTACAAAAAGTTGTCTGGGTGCAGTGGCATGCACCTGTAGTCCCAGCCAGAGGTTGAGATTGGAGGATTGCTGGAGCCCAGGAATTCGAGGCTGCAGTGAGCCATGATCACACCACTGCACTCCAGCCTGGGTGACAGAGCGAGACCCTGTCACTAAAAGAAAAACAAAAACAAATGTGGAGTAGTGTGAGGAGGATGGTGGAGAAAAGCTATGGAGCACCTATCGTGCATGAATTGCCTCAGTCCTCAGGTGCTTTGAGGTTACAGAGATGCTGTCTTCTCTCAGGACGTTTTTTAAACACTTACTATGCGAAGGTGACATGGTGATGTGGCTTCATAGTCATACATCCCTTCCATTGAATCCCTGCTGTATGTGAGGTTGGGCATTCTTTTACTGACTTTCATTTCACTTTCTGTAATTGGATGGCCACAGTAACTCTACCAAAGGGTATCTGGCAGGATTAGATAGGGAGCACCGTCAAATGCCTAGTACTCTACCTTACACATAGGAGATAGTGATGATTGGAAGTTATAACTGCTGTGAAGTACTGCGTCCAGAATTTGATGGGATACAGAGTAGAGTCCAGTAGATGGATCTGGGGTACCTTGAAGAGTTTGGGGAGAATGTGAGTAAAAGGTTTCCAGCTGGGGCAACTGTGAAGACGTCATAAAGCAAGTGTTGTTGGCTCTGGGCATTGAAAAGTAGGGTGAATTGAGTTTTGTGGTGATGGGATTAGAAGGCTTGGATAGAAAAGTTGAAAGGGGATATCCAGGATAAACGAAGAGCGAGGGAAAACATTCAAGGTGCAAGATGTTTATGGAAATCTAAGAGTAAGCTGTACTCAGAACATACATGAAAGTAAAATGAAATGGAAAAGATATACTGGGACTAGGTAGTGGGCAATCTTGCCTGCTAGACTAAGGGCTTTGGATGTTTTTCTATAGATAGGAACTACCTCAATAATTTATTGTTGCCATTGCTGTCTTAGCTTCCAGATCAAACGTGATAACATGATCCTATAGTACTATGAGTTGTAATATATAATACTACAGATGTACAGAGAAAGGAGAGTGCTTTATTGAAAACAGAAAAGTCAGTAAAGACTTCAGGAAGAAGACTGCTCCTGACTTCATGGAGTCAGGAGCCTTGAATACCACCTTTTTTGCCTCTCCAGATGTTGAACAATCCAGAGAAGATCGCTGAGCAGATAAGCAAGGATCTGGCCTGGCTCACGTCCCACATGATGACTCTGTGGACCCAGTTCCTGGACACAGTCACTCTGCACTCCCAAGTGACCACTTATCTCACCCAGGAACACCACACCCTGAGGGTGAGTGGCCAACTGCTGTGCATTCTCTGATCACATGCATTTGATTTCTTTGGAGGAACCTTTATGAGAATTAGATCAAGCATTAGGATTGGCCTCTAGATCTTCGTGCTTTCGTGTCTCTACCATGACCGTGCAGGGTGGCGTTGTGAACTTCCTTAGCCTCTCAGGCCTTTGCTGTGTCATTCATAGAATACTTGCCTTGGCAATCTCAGAGGATTTCAGAGCCTATCACAAGAAATATTAAAAGTATTTTGGAAAAAGTGCTTTTCTTTTTTTTTTTTTTCTTTGAGATGGTGTCTCGCTCTGTCACCCAGACTGGAGTGCAGTGGTGCAATCTCCGCTCACTGCAATCTCCACCTCCCTGATTCAAGCAATTCCCCTGCCTCAGCCTCCCGAGTAGCTGGGATTACAGGCTCACACCACCACACCCGACTAATTTTTTTTGTATTTTTAGTAGAGATGGGGTTTCACCATGTTGACTAGACTGGTCTCGAACTCCTGACCTCAGGCAATCTGCCCGCCTCAGCCTCCCAGAGTGCTGGGATTACAGGCATGAGCCACTGCACCAGCTGAAAAAGTGCTTTTTAATGTAAGACATTGCTCTCTGTGTGTTTCTCTGCCACCAGCTTAGGTACATATGGGTAGGTGCTGATGCATAACTAAATATGCTGGTATTTAGATCAACATCTAGTTAGAACAAGATGACAAAACATATGAAGATCAGAGTCCACAAAATGTTCAGAGAACATACATGACTGGGTTTGGGAATTCTATTTCATCTGCATTTATTTATGGACCCTGTTCACAGAGGTCTTATATTCTAGTAGAATAAATAAGACCTCAAGTTAAACACAATAGCAAAAGCAATGCAAGAACAGATTCATAGACTGCATTCACGTGTGTTCATAAACCAAGTGTGGGCTAAGAGCTCTGAAGGAGAGAGATCAGTTTGGAGGAATGTGAAGACTGTTGATTCAGAACCTTCAGGTCAGGGGCCTGGCTCTCTTCCTATTAGGAAATATCATTCATCTTTTTGAGCCTCAATTAAAAAAAAAGAAAGTGCAGGTAATACCTACCTAAAGAATTGAACTGTTTACATTGTTTTATTCTGCAGGTCCGAAGGTTTTCTGAGGCCTTCTTTTACATGGAGCACCAAAAACTTGCAGTCCTGACATTTCAGGAGAATCTGTAAGTATCCATTGCATGCCCACTTCATCCCTAAAAGCAGCCACCCAAGACATGCTGTTCAAAGTTACTCTTCACTTTCTCACTGGAAGTGAAGGAGAGAAGTCTGCCCACCTCTGCACTTTCTGTCTGCATTTCCTCTGCAGGCAAAAGAGTCAGACAGATTGCAGAGTGGGGAGCTGGCAGGTGGCAGAGAAGGTCACCAGCCAAAATTTTCTTTCATTGAGTATCATGGTTTTGTAGACAGAATCAAGGCACCCTAGGTCCCTGAAGACATCTGTGCTGAGTCCTCTGCGAAATGAATTAGAAGCAGGTGGTGTGGCCTCAAACTATGTCAGAAAAAACACAGAATTTGCCTTAGACTCTGTGGTAGCTATGAAATGCATTCAGCATAAGAATTAAGTCTGAACTACGTAATTAGGAGGGCTGATGAATTGCTAAGTTTGCCTTCTTCCAGAAAAAAAATTGAAAGGTACTCAAGGCAGTGAGAGGGTTGAGGGAGGATGAGGTCACTGTCTCATAGATTCCCAGGTGAGTGGGAGTAGAGAATCTTCCAATATGTTTTGTCCTCTGGTCCACAGTCCAAGGGTTTCTTTTTGCTTCCAAATGATACGTTCACCTCAAACATTAAATGTGGATGGAAAGATGCTTGAGATGCCATAGCAAAAATAGAAGGAGAAACACATGAGACCCATCCATCACTCAAGATGGACGTGGAGACTTTTTCACCTTTCTCATTAGAATCCTGTTTTCTCCCCACAATTCATTCTGTTTGGAAAGTACAATGACATTCACGGCTTGTCTCATGGATTCTGCAAGTAAGGGGGTGGCACCAAGGAAAGCACAGCTGCGTGTTGAAATGACAAGTCTAGGAATTTCTACGGTCATTCACTCACTCATTAATTCTTTTATCCCAGTGGCCAGCTAGAGCTGGGAGAATATATTTTCTAGAATTAAAAACAGAGAAGAGCTAATCTGACAAATACAAACATAACCGTGAGGGTCACTGAGAAAAATATTGCATATCAAGATCCCTGCAGGAAATCTTCTTTCCAGAGTTACTGCAACAATAGGTAAACCTTCGATTGTGGAGCCATGGTTGCATTCTCAAGCAGTGTGAGCACACACAGAGGAGACAGACTCAAAGACAACTGCTCTCCTGGAAGAGCTTTGCAACACTGACCCCCTGTACAAACCACAGATGACCCAGCACTCAGATTACATGGGTTCAAGACCCTGTTCCTGCATTTATTAGCAGTTGGTCCTTGAGAGAGTTATGTTTCTGTCCTTCTTGTTTTTTTCTCACCCCCATCCAGTCTCAGCTTCCTTATCCACACAGTGGGTAAGACAGCAATTGTGAGGACATAATGGGCATGTCCATGCACATGGAACACACGGAGCTAGCCACAGACTCTGCTCAGAAAGTGTTAGAAGGTGACTGATGAAGTAAGCGAATGTGTATTGTCCACATAGGAGTGGAAATACAGCAATAATATAGTAAAGGTGCTGTATACATGGGTCACTCATCCTAGTGAGGAAACAGGCAAGACATAAATTATATAATTTCAAGTTTTGACAAGTGGAAGAAAAAAGCAAGATAAGAACATAGAAAATGAAGAGAAATGGGGTAGTAATCTCATAAATGTTTAGCCACCAGCTTTCAGAAGAGGAAAAACAGACAAAGGACAAACTGCCTTTCGTAGTGTCTGCTGATTTCTTCTGTGCAAATGTTTTCACAATGGCCAGTTTCAAGCTACCACTGTGCTATCACTGAATATGGAATTGGGAAGAGATGTGCACAGTTAGCTCTTGCAAACCAGCGTGAATGGGCTCCAAGGCAACACTGAGTAGAAGAGAAAGTCTGTTTTAGCCAAAGCGATAAGAAAAAGTCTTTTTGAAGATGTGACATTTGAACAGTGTCTGGGGTTACAGCAAGCCATGCCATGACATACAAGAATATTGTTTAGGTAGACAGAATAGTTGTCATAAAGATTCTGATATGGAAACACAATGTGTTTAAAGATCAGCAAGAAGGCAAGTGTAGCTAGAATAGAATGAGAAAGTAGGAGAGGGGAGGGAGGGAGGGCCAGAGGGCAGTAGGGACCAGTCCATGTGGGGCCTTGTCAGCCAGGAAAAGACTTTGGATTGTGTACTGTGGTAATTATGGTTAATGCTTTTGTTTTTCTTTTACCAGCAAATGACTATGGGCCTTGGCATTTCAAATCTTATATACACGATTTGAAATCTTAATTCTGTAACTTGTAATGCTTGTGACATCAAACTAGTTACTGAACTTCTTATATCTAATTTTTTTAGGTGTAAAGGGAAGAGTCCTTCATTCAATAACTAATGTATTTAGTGTTGACTGTGTTAGTTAGGTCTTCACTATGTTGAGTGCTGGATATTCAACAGTGAATAAAACAGACAAATCCACTATCTCATTAAGCTTATATTTTGGTGATGGAAGGCCTACAAGTACATAGATATGATATGCTAAGTGGTAAGGAGTGCTATGGGGAAACATGCATCGCTGTGAGAGGAACAGAGAGTCCTAGTTCATGAATTGTCACAGAAGGTCTGCTGGAGAAGGTGATGGTTGAGTGGAGATCTGAATCAGATGGGAGACGGAGCTCTCCAGATCCCTAGGAGATTGTAATGTTTATCCTCTGAGTGACTTTAGAGATTAGAGAATGTTGTAAGCATTCAGTAAATAGTAGACATTAACAAAAAACATAAATCATAGACTAAGATAAGCGAGATACTACTCAGGAGAAAGTAAACTTTTTGCCAGGTCATCAAGAATAAGAAGAGCTGTAAAACAGAGGGAGAATTTCATTTCAGACTGAGAAGATTGCTAGAGAAAAGGTACAAAGTGCTGTGAAGAGAAGTGAGGCTTACTGTGAGATAGTGAAGAGGGGCTATGCAGGGCTGGCACCTGTGCGTTAACGTGGTTCTGCACACCTGGAGGTCAGAGCTGGAGAAAGGTAGTCACCCCGGGGAGGTCATGCGGCTTACATAAGGCAGCAGCGCACTCCCAAATCAGGATGGACATGAGGCAATGTAGGTGACGGCACAGGTGAAACTCAGCTGTCAAGACCCATCTTGTTCGAGCTCAGATTAAATTGTGTTTCTCAAACAATGGGTCACAATCGTTTAGTGGACAGTGAAATCAACCTAGTGTATTTGGAACAGTGCTTCTTAAATGAAATAGGATAGGATAGGAGGGAGTAGGAAAGGACAGGGCAAGGCAGAATAGATGGTATGAGGAAGGACTGTCTGCTGAAACTTTTGCTTCAGTGTGTGTGTTTCTGGGAGTATGTGATTGCACTGGGTTGCCATGGAAATGAAGACCATCTTTCGCCACGGGTCACAATTTTTAAAAAGTGTTAACAAATAATCTAGAATTGACCAGTAGCAAGGGTGTGTTTTATTGTTCCTCTTCTCTGTTTTACCAATGTCTAGCTAGTGCTTTTCACACAGCAAAGAGGTATTGGGTGAAAGTTTGCTGAGGAATGAATGTGGAAGTGGTGATGGAAAAGAAGGTCTACACCGATGTATTCATTTTCATAACAATAGTAATGAGATATCACTCTGACTTTTGCATTTCCTGTGTTAATTGTAAGTTTTAACTTTTCAAAAGGAATTCATTCTAAGACATGCTATGTCCGTAGGGTTGACCACAATAGGCATTTTACCTGGTGCCAATAAATAGGCATTTATTCATGGTGCTTAGTCTATTGAAACTACTCTGATCAGAAACTGAGTGCGTTACATGCTTTGGCTCGTTTAATGTTCACATGAACTCTATGAGGTAGGTACTATTATTCTCCCCACTTTAAAGAAGAAGAAACTAGGGAAACCTGGGCTCAGAGAGGTTAAGTAACTTATCTTAGACCACACAGCCAGCAAGCGACACAAGCATGGATCTGTTGGAGCCCAGAGGCCACACTCATAACCTCCTTGCTTTGGCTTCTCTGTGCACTGTTGAGCCATCATCTTAAAGAACACATGATAAGAAATAAAGTGAAATGCAGATTTTTGAACCTCTAAAACAGAAGTGTTCTTATGCTTTCGCTCTGTATTCCTGGAGTCAGGGTTACAGTCCGACAGCATAAGCCCGGACTCAGGTAAACCTGACGTTGAAACAAAAAGGAGATGAACCAGGTCCTGTATGTTTCAGGAGACTCTTTCCCTATGTGCCGCACAGAATACCCCAAATAAAATCCAGGGATTCTGCCTGAATGCTCAGAATGGGAGTGTCTCTGCCTACTGTGCAAACAACTGGTTTCCAAGCAAAGCCCGCTCCCCTAGAGTGTCATTTAGAAAGATGAGGAGGTGACCATGTGCTGAACAGGGGCCATGCACGCTCAGACACAGGTGTGCAAGGCCGACCTATGCAGGCTGCATTCCAGGCTTGTCTCTCCCCACTTGTGTGGCTTCTGCCATGGGTGAGGTAGGGGAGGAGTGGGCAGGGAGGGGAATGGGAGGTGACAGTTTGAAAAGGCAAAGGCAGAGTTCAGATTCCTGTTGGGATCCTCTTGATGATAAGGAATGAGGATTTCTTATTTACTTAATGCTACCCTTAGTTGCTAATGTATTTATTTACTCAGCTCCCTTTCTCCTTCCCTTCCTCCCTCCCTCTGCATAATTATTCGTCATCCATTATATCCAGGAACTGATCTGGGGACTTTCTATACAATGAATTAAAAAGCTAACAAGGTAGACAAGGTCTCTGCCCTCACTGGACGGAGAAGACAATAAATAAATTTGCAGATAAGCAAGAAAATTAAAGATGGGGCTAAAGAACCGGGTAATAGAAAGTTCCTGATTTGACCAAGTAGGACCAGTGGCTCTCTAAAGTAGGGTGTTAAAGGAGAACAGTTCAGAGAAGGTGACATTTATACTCACTGAGGTCTGAGGGTGGGAAGCAGCCCAGGAGGACAGTGCATTACAGGTGGAGGTAACAGCCAGGGCAAAGGCCCTGAGGCCAGACACAGCCTGAATGCTGCACCAAAGATCTAGGAGAACGTCAGTGGGGCTGGAGGGCAGTGTGTGAAGAGGAAGGTGGAGGAGTTACAGGGATGGCAGGGGTGGGAGTCATTCAGAGCCTTGGAGAGTCAGAAATCAAGATTCACTCCCAGTTGTGCTAATAATAAACTCAACTCCAACTCCAACTCCACATTCTCCCTGCAGTTTGCTTAATTCAGAGAGAAAGTTGTTTTTCCCTTTAAATATTGTTCAAATATTGTTGCCTTTAAATTGACCTTTCTCAGCCTATCCCTCTTTATTCTCCACAGAACACCAGAAAACACATACACGTAAACATGCACTTGTGCATGCAGCAATAACATTCCCATATATGCACCATGCATGCACCCAGCTACACTCGTATGCACACACATGCACACCTCCACCTGTATAAACACAGATATGTCCATGTAAACACATGTGCACTTGCATACACTCAGGAAAACATACATGCACACATGCCACACCCGTAACCACATGCCTGCATACACCACACATGTAAAGAAACCCACTATCTCACGGACTCCCTGCCTGGTCAGACTGATCATTCTAAAACACAGATGAGGCTGTGGCCCTTCTTGGCCTATTGGTCTTCACTGCTTCCTCATTGCCCACATAGAGTCCAGACTCAAAAAGTGCTCGGGACCTTCCTGCTGCAGCCTCAGCCGTCTGAACCACTCTTGCAGAGCTCCCTAGTTCCCTGCATATGCCATGTTGATTAATTTTATTGATTTAACAAGTATGTTTTAGTCAAATACTGTTCACTGTATGGGAGGCATTGTCTAAGGCACTTGGGATATGCATCATTGAACAAAACAGCATGTGTTGGAAGACAGGTGCTAAACAATAAGCATTATGAATCAATCAGTTATGCAGCATGATGGAAGGTGATAGGCATTGTAAAAACACAGAGCAGGGTAAGTGGACATCACAACTGCCTTTGGTTGAGCTGAGTGGGGTGGATTGTGGTGTTTCCTAACTGTGATCTTTGCCATGGAGGGGAGAGCATCCCTGCCTGGAACACTTCTCCCCGACTTGCTTCAGTCAATTAGCACCTGGTAATTTTTGTTACCAGGATCTGTTTTTGTCAGCGTTCTCCAGAGAGACAGAACCCATAGGATATACATGGAGAGAGAGAGATGAGAAGAAATATATTAGGACAATTGGCTCAGTTTATTGTGGAGACCAAGAAGTCCCATGATGGGCCTTCTGCAAGCTGGAGGACCAAGGGAGCTGGCAGCGTGGCTCAGGCCAGGTTGGAATTCCTCAGAACCAAGGAAGCTGATGGTGGCCAAAGGCCTGGGAGCGCATGGAGTGCAGAGGGTGTTGTTGAGAGTCCCAGAGTCCAAGAGCTGGAGAACCTGGAGTTCTGACATCTAAGGGCAGGGGAAGAGCATTCCAGACCCAAGAGAGAGTGAGAGATGAATGTGCCTTTCCTCTGCTTTTCATTTCATCCGGGACCCAACTAATTGGATGGTGCCACCCACATTAAGGGTAGATCTTCCCCACTCAATCCCACAATTTGCATGCCAGTCTCCTCCAGAGACACCCTCACAGACACCCCTGAGGCAGCCCAGTCATTCTAATCCACACTAAACCACCTACATTTCCCTTTCAGCAGAAGAATTGAGAATAATCCATGCAGTGTTTAAGAATGTATAGTGCTTTACCAGCTATATAGGGAATCACATAATCCAATCATGGTGACATCCAAAATCAACCATCACAAATCCACCCCTTGTCAACTTGGCACCCATTCGCATTTCTTAAACCACATTTAATCTTCAAATAAAGATAGTGGGCCGGGCGCGGTGGCTCACGCCTGTAATCCCAGTAGTTTGGGAGGCCTAGGTGGGCAGATCACCTGAGGTCGGGAGTTCAAGACCAGCCTGACCAACACGGAAAAACCCTGTCCCTACTAAAAATACAAAATTAGCCAGGTGTGATGGCACCTGCCTGTAATCCCAGCTACTTGGGAGCCTGAGGCAGGAAAATCGCATGAACCCAGGAGGTGGAGGTTGCGGTGAGCCGAGATTGTGCCATTGCACTCCAGCCTGGGCAACAAGAGCGAAACTCTGTCTCAAAAAAAAAAAAAAAAAAAAAAGATAGTAACAGTGTCTTAGTTACAACTTGCATGACACAACTATCCTGCAACTTCCTCCAGACAGCCACACTGCACTGGCTGTGCATCAAATTTAAGGATGGCAGGGAAGCTTCTCCCATGAGGCCTGCCTAGCAAAACCTTGCAGTTGCCTATGGTTGGGTCTGAGAAGTCATGCACAGGATTTTGGCCTAGAGCCAGACTCCTCAGTTTCCTGCAATCAGAGATAGGCGCTGATTCCTATGTACCCTTTAGCATTTTCAGTCAGTTTTTCAACACTTGCTAGGCATTGCTTTAGGTACTTGGTCACATTCACGAAAGCCCTGTGCTCAAGAAGCTGCATTTCCCTAGATCACAGCCTGCATAACATAACTTAGACCAGACTCTCCCACACCTGTCCTGCTATATTGCTTAATCGCTTGTTTTTTTCATGAATGTTGGCTTGTTCGACCTAAAATCAAGCTGCAATCCTCTAGGTGTACTTCCCAGCCTGTGCACACCAGCCTAAGTTCACAGGTGCTCAGCATATTTTCTAATAAAACCAAAACTGGTCCAGAAGTTCCAGATTCAGAAGGTGGCAAAAGGTACAGAATTGAGTGCAATAAAACTCCATTTAAACACTCAGATGAGAATATTTAAAGAGTTAAATATGCTGAGAAGAATATTTAAAGAGTTAAATATGCTGAGAAGAATATTTAAAGAGTTAAATATTCCGAGAAGAACATTTAAAGAGTTAAATAATCCGAGAAGAACATTTAAAGAGTTAAATATTCAGAGAACATTTAAAGAGTTAAATATTCAGAGAACATTTAAAGAGTTAAATATTCAGAGAAGAACATTTAAAGAGTTAAATATTCAGAGAAGAACATTTAAAGAGTTAAATATTCAGAGAAGAACATTTAAAGAGTTAAATATTCCGAGAATTCAGAGTTATGAAGTTGTAGCAGCCTTCAGGGCTTTGATGAAGAGAAAATAACCCTTCCCTTGTGGTGGGTTAAGATCCAATTGAAAAATGAGAAGGAAACAAAATATACATATTTAATATGTATATTAAATAGATATGTATATGAAATCATAGTTAATATGTAAATTCACTATGTATATTATATGAAATATACATACATAAATATTATATATTTCCATACATTTATCTTCATTGCATCTGTTACTGAGAATGCTGAGTTTGAGAATTTGCTTTGAGTCTGTGCAGAGTTTCACAGCTACAAAGCTCTTCTACAGGCAGCTGGTCTACAAGACTGGAGAAGGGGGGCTTCCAGAGGCCGAGCTGCTCCAACAAGAGTGATGGACAGACACACATAATCTAGCTCTGCAAGCTCAAGTCTTCCCAAAACTCATAGACTCCGTAAGGCTCCTTCTTCCCTTGAGGGAAGAGTGATTGAGTTGGCATGGAAAAAAATGATGAAATGTTCATGCTTTTTCCTTTATAGAGTAAAATAAACTCTTCCCCTACTGTAGAAACTTGATGAGAAGGGAATACACACTTTCTACCACCCCAGCCTTCGAATTAGGAATGGTGATTATTCCAAACTCTGGAATTGAATTCCTGTTGATGGAAGGATATATATGTCATAAAGAAAGAATATGGGACATTTTTTCTTCATCTTACAGGGGAAACCAAAAAATATGGCCCTTGATCTAGGGAAATTTATACCTTCATCCAGGATGCCACTATCCATGTAATAATCAATAGAAAAGGTATTTTAGATAGGTTTTAATTCAAATATGCCAAAATATGACCAGATCCTAAGTGGTCTAAGAAGTAAGAAAAGAGTAAAAGATACATACATTTACATTTTTTTCAAAATGCTAATTTAAAATTTCTAAATTTCTAGTCATTTAAAAACTCAGCTTGCTTTCCACTAATGTGGTATTTATTATATTCCACTAAAATGGTCGATGATAAATACTCTTGTCAAGTTTCTGCTAATCCTACAATCCATGTCCTCTAACTTCAGCACCTCAGCCAGTTCCAAAACAAAGCAGACTATGGCTCTGGGGGCTAAGTAGGTGGGTGGAAGAAAAGGATGATGGGCAGACAATTGCCAGAGTCAGCTGAGAACCGAGTATTTTCCCGGGATTAGGAAGAGGGGGCAACGGTTTGGAAACCTCTGACTCTTCCCTGGACGCTCACCCTGCCATGTGCTCCCCAGGATACAGACGCACAGCCAGCTGTCCCTGGATATCCGGAACTCGGAGTACCTCACTAGCATGCCCCCGCTGCCTGCAGAGTGCCTGGACATCGACGGCGATTGGAACACCCTGCCGGTGATCTTTGAGGACAGATACGTGGACTGCCCTGCGACAGGTTTGTCTGTTTTGTTTTGGAAAGACTCAGGAATAAGGCTTTCCAGTGGGATTCTGACAATGGCACAGTTTGTTTATATTCCAGCAAAAGTGAGACCAAATTAATGAAGGATTATGTCAGTTCATAGAGAGGAAACAAAGTAATGGTTTGAAATGACTTTGTTTCCATGAAATAGACAAAACGATCTAACAAAATAACCATGAAAGACTTCCTCCCTGACTCCTTCTGGAGTGGAATTATACGTAGTGCTTCAGCGTTTTCACCTGCAAAATGGGCACCACAGCCTGCCCACCCCCACACCAGAGTGACATGAAAGTCAGATGAAGATTCTTTCTTATCTCAAATGTGCCATTCAAATAAATATGATTTCCAGGTGAACTTTAAAGGCATTGGGCCAAAGGCTGGACGCCGTGGCTCGCGCCTGTAATCCCAGCACTTTGGGAGGCCGAGGTGGGCAGATCAACTGAGGTCAGGAGTTCAAGACCAGCCTGGCCAAAATGGAGAAACCCCATCTCTACTAAAAATACAAAAATGAGCTGGGCGTGGTGGCGGACACCTGTAATCCCAGCTACTTGGGAGGCTGAGGCAGGAGGATCGCTTGATCCCAAGAGGCAGAGGTTGCAGTGAACCGAGATCTCGCCATCGCATTCCAGCCTGGGCAACAAAGCAAGACTCCATCCCCTCAAAATAAAAAAATAATAATAACAAATAAAGGCATTGGCCATTTGGGCAACTGTCTGTATGGAGTTAGCACATTATCCCCCTGTCTGCTTGGGTGTTTTTTCTCCAGGTATTTTGATTTCCCCCCATGGTCTACAGCTGTGCACATTAGGTGAATTGGTGTGTATACATCATCCTGGTCAGAGTGAGTGTGGGTATGTGTGAGTGCGCCCTGAGATGGGATGGTGTCTTGTCCAGGGCTGAGTCCTACAATGGGATGGTATCTTCTCCAGGCTGATTTGTTTTCCTGAACCAACAGGAAAGGGTAAAGTATGGAAGCACTCAGCGAGCTACCATATTCCTGATTGATTGTGAACTACAGGTTGGTAGGATGTGCTCCTTACAATTTCACTTTGCAGACATTTATTCTTTGATCTAACCCACCACCACTACAACTGCCGTCACTCATCGAGTCACCAAATACTGGGAAAATCATTATTTGTTTTTATTAATTGTTCTTAAATGTATGTATATCTCAGATTTACTTCAGGGTTTAATATTAGAAGTGTTTTAAGTCTGTAAGTTTAATGATGTTTTGGGGATCAGAAATATGCCATAGGAACTTAGCTCTTGTTTATATCAATTAGCCTATGGTAAAACTGGTTCTGTTATACATCCTTTTAATTGTGTTATAGGTCAGTGTTTCCAGCAACCTACTGATGATGTTAAATGAGGACTTACCGTATATGGATTAATAGATGAATGATTCATTTCAGGAGGAAAAGATCACATGTTTGTGTGTATTGTTTGTGTATATGTATCCAGAGTGCAACCTGTTTTGCTGCTTTCACACATGCTTTCACACAGAGTTTGTTAATGGACTGAGAGGTCAAGTGGGGAGTGGGCAAGAGGTCAAGGCTCGTTTCTTGTCCTGCCCCACGGCCCTGCTCCTGGAAACCCAACAAGCTAAATTGTCCTGTGTCCCTTCGAGGATCAGAAAAACATCAGGCTCTGTGCTGGAGGTTTTGGGTGTTTTATCTCTTTAATCCTATAAACAACCTCACAAACTCAATGCCACAGAGAGAATCTGAGGCACTAAGTATAAGCATGTATTAAAGATCACAAGGCTTATTAAAGCCGACGTTCAACGCCAACTCTGATTCCAAAGTCTGTGCTCTGCCTCGCTGTCTGTGCAAGTTTTAAATCATCATGTTTAGGTGCCCATCATTTAAATGATGCTTTAAAATGGCTAAATTTCAAAGATTCTGCTACCTGAGACTTGTAGGATATTTTAAAAATCCAAGTGACTTCCAAGGGCAGTGCAACCTTGCAAATATACGGTTATTTGGTTCTCAGTTATACCCTGACATCTAGTGTCAGTATAGTGTATGGCAGTTATAAAGTGTACAGGCCAGAGAGCCTCCAAACCAACTGGTCAAAACAAGTTTAAAACATGACACTGAGACGTTTTCTTCTGTGAGGTGTGTGTGTGCATGTATGTATGTGTGTTTGCATATATATGTATGTGTATGTATGCATACATAGGTATGCATGTATATTAATATGTAAGTGCATCTTCATTAGAGTTACATGATTTAACTACAGAGAATCTGAACTGTTGGAGAAGAAATTTAAATTAATCGCCCACTAGCAGATCCTCTAGTATTATCATTATTAGGTTTTGTTGCAGATTGTCTTCCAGTCTTTTTTTCTGCACATATTAACATACATTCTTGTGAATATGAATCTCAGTCCCTCAACTCACAGGTGAAGTTATAACACATATCTCTATTTTTTTAATAAATTAGTTCCCTTGGCCAGTCACAGTGGCTCACACCTGTAATCTCTGCACTTTGGGAGGCTGAGGCGGGTGGATCACCTGAGGTCGGGAGTTCGAGACCAGCCTGACTAACATGAAGACACCCCATCTCTTCTAAAAATACAAAATTAGCCGTGTGTGGTGGCACATGCCTGTAATCCCAGCTACTCGGGAGGCTGAGGCAGGAGAATCGCTTGAACCTGGGAGGCAGAGGTTGTGATGAGCCTAGATCCCGCCATTGCACTCCAGCCTGGCCAACAAGAGTGAAACTCCGTCTCAAAAAAAAAAAAAAATCAATTAAATAAATAAATAAATTCATTCCCTCTCTGCGCCTCCATCCTGCAATATCAGCTGGAAAATCAACCTCAGTCTTTCTGGGGCTTCTCTGCTCACTCCTTTCTCACCACCTCTCACGTCAGTGCCCTGGAGTCAAACAGCAACAAGACATGGTTGCAGAAGATCTTTCTAAGATTGTCCGAACGTGTGGTTCCTCTAATCCATTGGTTATCCATATTTATGTTGTGAATCCCAAAAACCTGAGATAGGTCTTAGTTAATTTAGAAAGTTTATTTTGCTGAGGTTGAGGACATGCACCCGTGACACAGCCTCAGGAGGTCCTGACGACATGTACCCAAGGTGGTCAGAGCACAGCTTGGTTTTATGCATTTTAGGGAGACATGAGACATCAATCAAGATACATAAGATGAACTCTGGTTCAGTGTGGAAAGACGGGACAATTCTAAGCGGGGAGGGGGCTTTCAGGTAATGGATAGATAAGAGACAGATGGTTGTATTCTTTTGAGTTTCTGATGAGCCTCTCCAAAGGAGGTAATCAGATATGCATTTATCTCAGTGAGCAGAGGGGTAGCTTTGAATAGAATGGGAGGCAGGTTTGCCTTAAGCAGTTCCCAGCTTGGCTTTTCCCTTTAGCTTAGTGATTTTGGGGGCCTCAAGATATTTTCCTTTCACAATGTCATATTTTAGGACCAGCCTCTCTTTGCAGCTTCTGTGTTGAGCTTGAGGCTGGGACTCCGGCACAGTGCAGGTGCACTCATCTTCCTGGAAGAACAAAGGCAGTCACTCTCAGAGGCGGGTCTCTCTTCTCCAGGCTTCTCTCCATGGACCTCTGACCTGAGCCTTCTCTATCCCTCAGACTACTTTTACAGAAATATCTGTACCCCTTCTCCATACTGGAAGCTTTTCTTGAACTCCTTGATCTCTCACAAAGCATTTTGATGATTCTTTAACCCCAGATCAAAAGCATGAGTGATAAAGAACTATTTTCTCTTCCCTCAAGAACCCAGTGACCTTAATACTTACGCCTTGCCATGACGTTATCAGATACAATTATATTCCATTCTTCTAGTGTAAGGAAAAAAGGGAAATAAAAGATTTCCATTTCTATGTTAAAATAATAGCATTTGCTGGGCATGGTGGCTCACACCTGTAGTCCAAGCTTCTCGAGAGGCTGAGGTGGGAGGTTTGCTTGAGCCCAGGAGTTTGAGGCTACAGTGAGCTGTGACCGTGCCTCCTGTCACTGAACTCCAGCCTGGGTGACAGGTGAGACCCTGTCTCTAAAAGGAAAAAACAACTAACAAAAGCCATAATAGCATTTGTTCATGGTCTGTGACAATAGCATTTGTTCATGGTGTATTAGTATGTTCTCATGCTGTTGATAAAGACATACCCAAGACTGGGTAACTTATAAAGAAAAAGAGGTTTAATGGACTCACAGTTCCACGTGGCTAGGGAGGCATCACACGGTGGAAGGTGAAACGCACGTCTTACATGGCAGCAGGCAAAGAGAGAATGAGAGCCAAGTGAAAGGGTTTTCCCTTTATAAAACCATCAGATCTTGTGAGGTGTATTCACGAGCACGAGAACAGATGGGGGAAACTGCCCCCATGATTCAATTAAGTCCCACCAGGTCCCTCCCACAACATATGGGAATTAAGGGAGCTGCAATTCAAGATAAGGTTTGGGTGGGGACACAGCCAAACCATATCACATGGCCTAAACATGTGCCATGTGCCAGGCACGCTGCAATATCTGTCTTTGTCTCTGCTCCCCCAACACCCACACCATGCCTCTCTATCCCAAGACAATTGGGAGGTTCGCCTAAAGCCTGAAGAGTTAGCCAGATTGTCAGATTGTCTGGTTTTGAGTCTTTCCCCCTAACAATTATTAACCGTGTGAAATTGGGCAAAAGGGGTTGTAATTTCTCCTCCAGGGGATTGCTGTGACTAGTGGATTGATCAGTCCATAAAACACTTAAAAGAGCAACTGGCATAAAGGCATTCTGAATGCACGTTAACTAACACTATTCATTAGTATTTGACTCTAAATCCATTCTCTTTCAATTAGATCTTCTGCTACTTTCATTTTTCTATAGTTGCAATAGTGAAACTAATTATTTGCTATTTTGGCAACTGACTTACTTTCTGCACTTTCTGTTTCCTGTCTTAACTGTCTGTGATGAATCTGATAAAATTTTTTTTTAATTCCAAGAATCTATGACCTGTGGTATAAAGACCAGATGACTCATTTATACAAGGCATTCAAGTTTTTCTATGGCGTGGGTTCTCTCTCTCTGTCTGACGTCATACACCCCATACCTCACTCTTGTTCCATCCACGTGGGAATGAACCAAAGCTGGAGCAGAGTGTGCCCAGCCTTCTGGGCCTTTGCCCATGCTGCTCCCTGTGCTTAGTGTGGCTCATTCCCACCTTTTCTGAAGAAGCTCATTTCATATTCCCCAGCAGTCCCATTCTTTTTTCATTTTTTAAAGACTTTTTAAAAGAGATTTCAGGTTCCCAGTAAAGGAAAATAAAGAGGAAGGTGCAGAGATTTCCTACATACCTCCTGTGCCCTCACATGCATAGCCTTCTTCATTATCAACATCTCCTACCTGAGTGGTGCCTTTGTTACAGCAGATGAACCTCTACTGACGTGTCATTATCACCCAAAGTTCCTAGTTTGCACGAGGGTTCCTTCTTTATGTTGCACATTCTATATGGGTTTGGACAGACGTATAATGAGTGACGTGCATCCACTCTTATAGTATCATACACAGTAGTTCCATTGCTCGAAAAATCCTCTGTGCTTAGCCTATTTATCCTGCCTTCTCCCCCGTGCCTGGCAACCACTGGTGTTTTTACTATCTTCATAGGTTTGCCATAGTCCACATTATTTTGGCAGAAGAGATAGCTGTATCTGTATATGTTTCCCAATATTTTGCAAATCCCTTAAAGGCAGAGCCTGGTTCACTGTTATAACTAGTACTCACTTTCCCTCCTCCTAAGCCACTGCCTAGGATAGGGATTTTTCACATAGAATATGTCAAAGTACTGTGTGTGGGACTAAATGATATTGAAGCAAATTTTTTCAAACCAATGCAAACAATAATGAGCTTATTATTATTTGTTTTGTTGGAATTCTGTTCTATTCTCAATTCATCACCTATGTACTAGCCATGATGCTAGCCTTGGGGCTATAGAAATTCACAAAACACCAACTCTTCTCTCTAGACTTGACAACAGATGCACAAACAGATCATAGTATGGCAATAGGATATATCACACTGCATGTAAGTAGAAGGGAGGCTCGGAATTTCTTAGAGAAGGTCTAACTTGCGGTAGGTCGTGGGAAGGGTATTGTAGAGAGAGGCAAGTTTGTTCACAGTTTCTTAAGGTGCAAAGAATGCGCCCTGGTAAGGAAGAGATCCGTTATTTCCTTGCTGCAATCATAAACTTCATTCAAAGGCATCATGTCTTAATGCTTCCTGCAGTTAGCTATGTAGTGTCTCAGTGGTTTACTTCATGGTCACATTCAATAGTGATTGCATTGATTTAACTTCTGCTAAGACCATGTGGAGGATTTAAACTTTTTAAAGAAAATAAAAATCCAGTCCTTTTTTTTGTTTGGTGTATATGTAAATTGAATAATATGTCACACGACTATTTCATGACAGCCATGATACAGACAGACATGAGAGGTTATTGTTTTTGTCCAGTTACGAATTCTTAGAAAGGAGGGAGGCAGAGAGAAAGAGAAAGAGGGAGAGAGAAGAAAGGGAAGAAGAGATAAGAGATTGAGAAGAGATTGAGAGAGATAATGGCTTACCTAAATAAAAATAGGAAAAGATCATCTTTGGCTCCCCACCATCTGATTATGAAGATCACAATGGTTCTGGGAGCTTTCCTGTGGTCTGAGTGCCACAAAGGAGAGTTTCTCTGAATAGAATTCAAGCTTGGCAGTATTTTTCTGAGAAAGTAGAAATCTGTCTTCCCCAGGTGTAACATCATCTTGTATCATAACTCTACTTTGATTTATGACTGTAGAGCATGAAGTTTATTTTGAATCTTCCCATTGTAGAGTTGAGCAAAGTGACCTCTAATAGGATAATAGCTTATCTAAGTTCCATAGTTGTCCAAGGTCTCATCGCTGGTAAATGGCAATGTCAGAATTGAAAATCAGGCTTTTCTGGCTCTAAAGCTGTCTTTTACTCTGTAAGTATTGTGCATAAGATGGAGAAATGCTTTGATATTTACAAATGGGGATTATTACACATACTTTGATAAGTTAAAACTTAATGGATGACAGGTTTTGACAGCTTTTTGTTTGTGCAGTGCAGTTCTGACGCTAACTACCCAGAGATCAAACTTCACCATCTAAGGGCACAATCCTTGATGAACTTGACCTTTAAATATCAGACACCAGGCTGGGTGTGGTGGCTCACGCCTGTAATCCTAGCACTTTGGGAGGCCGAGGCGGGTGGATTGCCTGAGCTCAGGAGTTCGAGACCAGCCTGGGCAACATGGTGAAACCCCATCTCCACTAAAATACAAAAAAAAAAAAAAATGAGCTGGGCATGGTGGCATGTGCCTGTAATCCCAGCTACTTGGGAGGCTGAGACAGGAGAAACACTTGAACCTGGGAGGTGGAGATTGCAGTGAGTCAAGATGGAGACACTGCACTCCAGCCTGTGCCACAGAACGAGACTCCATCTCAAAAGAAAAAATAAATAAATAAATAAATAAATAAAACCAGACACCAGCTCAGGGGTTCCCAGGCCACCCATATACTGAACAACTGGCTATAAATTGTGGGTTTCCATAAGCCTTCAGGTTCAATAATTTGTTAGAATGACTCCCAGAACTCAGGAAAGCGTCATAAATTTGATCGCATTTTTATTATACAAGTAACATCCAGTCAAAAAGGAGATCCATAGGATGAGGTCTGAGGGGTCTCAGACATAAACCTTCTGTGCCCTCAGGACTTACCACCCCCCAGGCACACCAGTCTGTGTCATCACTAGAGACACTCATCTAAGCCTCAGAATTCAGAGTGTTTATCGGGGGTTAATTGTAACCAAAATCAATCTCCAGGCCACTCTTTCCCAGAAATCAGGCTAGTATTACTTGACTGAATGTCTTAACTCTCTAGTCACATGATTGGTCTTTCCAGCATGGCCAACCTCTATCCTGAACTAACTTATTAGCATATAGTGTTTAAGCATGCATCATGAGTCCCTGGTTAGCATAAATTATCAAGACCCCATAAATACCAAAGACACTCTTTATCATTTGAGAAATTCTAAGAATCCAGAGAGTATCTCTTAGGAATTAGGAATGAAAAAAAGCCAAATTCTTTTTTTTAAAATTATACTTTAAGTTCTAGGGTACAAGTGCACAATGTGCAGGTTTGTTACATATGTATACATGTGCCATGTTGGTGTGCTGCACCCATTAAGTCATCATTTACATTAGGTATATATTGCCTAATGCTATCCCTCCCCCCTCCCCCCACCCCACGACAGGCCCTGGTGTGTGGTGCTACCCACCCTGTGTCCAGGTGTTCTCATTGTTCAATTCCTATCTATGAGTGAGAACATGTGGTGTTTGGTTTTCTGTCCTTGCGATAGTTTGCTCAGAATGATAGTTTCCAGCTTCATCCATGTCCCTACAAAGGACATGAATTCATCCTTTTTTATGGATGCATAGTATTCCATGGTGTATATGTGCCACATTTTCTTCATCCAGTCTATCATTGATGGACATTTGGGTTGGTTCCAAGTCTTTCCTATTGCGAATAGTGCCGCAATAAACATATGTGTGCATGTGTCTTTTTTTTTTTTTGAGACGGAGTCTCGCTCTGTCGCCCAGGCCGGACTGCAGACTGCAGTGGCGCAATCTCGGCTCACTGCAAGCTCCGCTTCCCGGGTTCACGCCATTCTCCTGCCTCAGCCTCCCGAGTAGCTGGGACTACAGGCACCCGCCACCGCGCCCGGCTAATTTTTTGTATTTTTAGTAGAGACGGGGTTTCACCTTGTTAGCCAGGATGGTCTCGATCTCCTGACCTCATGATCCACCCGCCTCGGCCTCCCAAAGTGCTGGGATTACAGGCGTGAGCCACCACGCCCGGCCGTGCATGTGTCTTTATAGCAGCATGATTTATAATCCTTTGGGTGTATATCCAGTAATGGTTTGGCTGGGTCAAATGGTATTTCTAGTTCTAGATCCTTGAGGAATCGCCACACTGTCTTTCACAATGGTTGAGCTAGTTTACAGTCCTACCAACAGTGTAAAAGTGTTCCTATTTCTCCACATCCTCTCCAGCACCTGTTGTTTCCTGACGTTTTAATGATCACCATTCTAACTGGTGTGAGATGGTATCTCATTGTGGTTTTGATTTGCATTTCTCTGATGGCCAGTGATGATGAACATTTTTTCATGTGTCTGTTGGCTGCATAAATGTCTTCTTTTGAGAAGTGTCTGTTCATACCCTTTGCCCACTTTTTGATGGGGTTGTTTGATTTTTTCTTGTAAATTTGTTTAAGTTCTTTGTAGATTCTTGATCTTAGCCCTTTGTCAGAAGGGTAGATTATAAAAATTTTCTCCCATTCTGTAGGTTGCCTGTTCACTCTGATGGTAGTTTCTTTTGCTGTGCAGAAGCTCTTTAGTTTAATTTGTCAATTTTGGCTTTTGTTGCCATTGCTTTTGGTGTTTTAGTCATGAAGTCCTTGCACATGTCTATGTCCTGAATGGTATTGCCTAGGTTTTCTTCTAGGGTTTTTATGGTTTTAGGTCTAACATTTAAGTCTTTAATCCATCTTGAATTAATTTTTGTATAAGGTGTAAGGAAGGGATCCATTTTCAGCTTTTATACATATGGCTAGCCAGTTTTCCCAGCACCATTTATTTAAAAAGGGAATCCTTTACCCATTTCTTGTTTTTGTCAGATTTGTCAAAGATCAGATGGTTGTAGATGTGTGGTATTATTTCTGAGGGTTCTGTTCTGTTCCATTGGTCTATATCTCTGTTTTAGTACCAGTACCTTGCTGTTTTGGTTACTGTAGCCTTGTACTATAGCTTGAAGTCAGGTAGTGTGATGCCTCCAGCTTTGTTCTTTTGTCTTAGGATTGACTTGGCAATGCGGGCTCCTTTTTGGTTCCCTATGAACTTTAAAGTAGTTTTTTCCAATTCTGTGAAGAAAGTCATTGGTAGCTTGATGAGGGTGGCATTGAATCTATAAATTACCTTGGGCATTATGGCCATTTTCACAATATTGATTCTTCCTATCCATGAGCATGGAATGTTCTTCCATTTGTTTATGTCCTCTTTTATTTCATTGAGCAGTGGTTTGTAGTTTCTCCTTGAAGAGATCCTACATGTCCCTTGTAAGTTGGATTCCTAAGTATTTTATTCTCTTTGAAGCAATTGTGAATGGGAGTTCACTCATGATTTGGCTCTCTGTTTGTCTGTTATTGGTGTGTAGGAATGTTTGTGATTTTTGCACATTGATTTTGTATACTGAGACTTTGCTGAAGGTGCTTATCAGCTTCAGGAGATTTTGGGCTGAGACAATGGGGTTTTCTAAATATACAATCATGTCATCTGCAAACAGAGACAATTTGACTTCCTCTTTTCCTAATTGAATACCCTTTATTTATTTCTCCTGCCTGATTGCCTTGGCCAGAACTTCCAACACCATGTTGAGTAGGAGTGGTGAGAGAAGGCATCCCTGTCTTATGCCAGTTTTCAAAGGGAATGCTTCCAGTTTTTGCCCATTCAGTATGATAGTGGCTGTGGGTTTGTCATAAATAGCTCTTATTATTTTGAGATATGTCCCATCAATACCTAGTTTATTGAGAATTTTTAGCATGAAGTGCTGTTGAATTTTGTCAAAGGCCTTTTCTGCATCTATTGAGATAATCATGTGGTTTTTGTCCTTGGTTCTGTTTGTATGATGAATTACGTTTATTGATTTGCATATGTTGAACCAGCCTTGCATCCCAGGGATGAAGCCAACTTGATCGTGGTGGATAAGCTTTTTGATGTGCTGCTGGATTCTGTTTGCCAGTATTTTATTGAGGATTTTTGCATTGATGTTTATCAGGAATATTGGTCTAAAATTCTCTTTTTTCGATGTGTCTCTGCCAGGCTTTGGTATCAGGATGATGCTGGCCTCATAAAATGAGTTAGGGAGGATTCCCTCTTTTTCTATTGATTGGAATAGTTTCAGAAGGAATGGTACCAGCTCCTCCTTGTACCTCTGGTGGAATTTGGCTGTGAATCCGTCTGGTCCTGGACTTTTTTGGTTGGTAGGCTATTAATCACTGCCTCAATTTCAGAGCCTGTTATTGATCTATTCAGAGATTCAGCTTCTTCCTGGTTTAGTCTTGGGAGGGTGTATGTGTCCAGGAATTTATCCATTTCTTCTATATTTTCTAGTTTATTTGCGTAGAGGTGTTTTTAGTATTCTCTGATGGTAGTTTGTATTTCTGTGGGATTGGTGGTGATATCCCCTTTATCATTTTTTATTGTGTCTATTTGATTCTTCTCTCTTTTCTTCTTTATTAGTCTTCCTAGAGGTCTATCAATTTTGTTGATCTTTTCAAAAAAACAACTCCTGGATTCGTTGATTTTTTTGAAGGGTTTTTTGTGTCTCTATCTCCTTCAGTTCTGCTCTGATCTTACTTATTTCTTGCCTTCTGCTAGCTTTTGAATGTGTTTGCTCTTGCTTCTCTAGTTCTTTTAAGTGTGATGTTAGGGTGATTATTTTAGATCTTTCCTGCTTTCTCTTGTGGGCATTTAGTGCTATGAATTTCCCTCTACACACTGCTTAAATGTGTCCCAGAGATTCTGGTATGTTGTGTCTTTGTTCTCATGGGTTTCAAAGAACATCTTTATTTCTGCCTTCATTTCATTATGAACCCAGTAGTCATTCAGGAGCAGGTTGTTCAGTTTCCATGTAGTTGAGCGGTTTTGAGTGAGTTTCTTAATCCTGAGTTCTAATTTGATTGCACTATGGTCTGAGAGACAGTTTGTTATAATTTCTGTTCTTTTACATTTGCTGAGGAGTGCTTTACTTCCATCTATTTGGTCAGTTTTGGAATAAGTGTGATGTAGTGCTGAGAAGAATGTATATTCTGTTGATTTGGGGTGGAGAGTTCTGTAGATGTCTATTAGGTCTGCTTGGTGCAGAGCCGAGTTCAAGTTCTGGATATCCTTGTTAACTTTCTGTCTCGTTCATCTGTCTAATATTGACAGTGGGGTATTAAAATCTCCCACTATTATTGTGTGGGAGCCTAAGTCTCTTTGTAGGTCTCTAAGGACTTGCTTTATGAATCTGGGTGCTCCTGTATTGGGTGCATATATATTTAGGACAGTTAGATCTTCTTGTGGAATTGATCCCTTTACCATTATGTAATGGCTTTCTTTGTCTTTTTTGGTCTTTGTTGGTTTAAAGCCTGTTTTATCAGAGACTAGGATTGCAACCCCTGTTTTTTTTTGTTTTCCATTTGCTTGGTAGATCTTCCTCCATCCCTTTATTTTGAGCCTATGTGTGTCTCTGCACATGAGATGGGTCTCCTGAATACAGCACACTGATGGGTCTTGACTCTTTATCCAATTTGCCAGTCTGTGTCTTTTAATTGGAGCATTTAGCCCATTTACATTTAAGTTTAATATTCTTATGTGTGAATTTGATCCTGTCATTATGATGTTAGCTGGTTATTTTGCTCGTTAGTTGATGCAGCTTCTTCCCAGCATCGATGGTCTTTACAATTTGGCATGTGTTTGCAGTGGCTGGTACTGGTTGTTCCTTTCCATGTTTAGTGCTTCCTTCAGGAGCTCTTGTAAGGCAGGCCTGGTGGTGACAAAATCTCTCAGCATTTGCTTGTCTGTAAAGGATTTTATTTCTCCTTCACTTATGAAGCTTACTTTGGCTGGATATGAAATTCTGGGTTGAAAGTTCTTTTCTTTAAGAATGTTGAATATTGGTCCCCACTCTCTTCTGGCTTGTAGAGTTGTTGCTGAGAGATCCACTGTTAGTCTGATGGGCTTCCCTTTGTGGGTAACCCAATCTTTCTCTCTGGCTGCCCTTAACATTTTTTCCTTCATTTCAACTTTGGTGAATCTGATAATTATGTGTCTTGGAGTTGCTCTTCTCAAGGAATATCTTTGTGGAGTTCTCTGTATTTCCTGAATTTGAATGTTGGCCTGCCTTGTTAGGTTGGGGAAGTTCTCCTGAATAATATCCTGAACAGTGTTTTCCAACTTGGTTCCATTCTCCTCGTCACTTTCAGGTACACGAATTAGATGTATATTTGGTCTTTTCACATAGTCCCGTATTTCTTGGAGGCTTTGTTCATTTCTTTTTACTCTTTTTTTCTCTAAACTTCTCTTTTCACTTCATTTCATTCATTTGATCTTCAATCACTGATGCCCTTTCTTCCACTTGATTGAATCGGCTACTCAAGCTTGTGCATGTGTCATGTAGTTCTCATGCCATGGTTTTCAGCTCCTTCAGGTCATTTAAGGTCTTCTCTATGCTGTTTATTCTAGTTAGCCATTTGTCTAATCTTTTTTCAAGGTTTTTACCTTCTTTATGGAGGGTTTGAACATCCTCCTTTGGCCTGGAGAAGTTTGTTATTACCGATCATCTGAAGCGTACTTCCGTCAACTCCTCAAAGTCATTCTCCATCCAACTTTGTTCTGTTGCTGGTGAAGAGCTGTGTTCCTTTGGAGGAGAAGAGGCACTCTGATTTTTAGAATTTTCAGCTTTTCTGCTCTGGTTTCTCCCCATCTTTGTGGTTTTATCTACCTTTGGTCTTTGATGATGGTGACGTACAGATGGGTTTTGGTGTGGATGTCCTTTCTGTTTGTTAGTTTTCCTTCTAACAGTCAGGACCCTCAGCTGCAGGTCTTTTGGAGTTTGCTGGAGGTCCACTCCAGATCCTGTTTGCCTGGGTATCACCAGTGGAGGCTGCAGAACAGCAAATATTACAGAACAGCAAATGTTGCTGCCTGATCCTTCCACTGGAAGCTTCGTCTCAGAGGGGCACCCAGCTGTGTGAGGTGTCAGTCAGTGCCTACTGGGAGGTGTCTCCTAGTTAGGCTACTCGGGGGTCAGGGACCCACTTGAGGAGGCAGTCTGTCTGTTCTCAGATTTCAAACTCCGTGCTGGGAGAACCACTACTCTCTTCAAAGCTGTCAGACAGGGAAGTTTTAGTCTGCAGAAGTTTCTGCTGCCTTTTGTTCAGCTATGCCCTGCCCCGAGAGGTGGAGTCTACAGAGGCAGGCAGGCCTCCTTTAGCTGTGGTGGGCTCCACCCAGTTTGAGCTTCCTGGCCACTTTGTTTACCTACTCAAGCCTCAGCAATGGTGGACACCCCTCCCCCAGCCTCGCTGCTGCCTTGCAGTTCGATCTCAGACTGCTGTGCTAGCAGTGAGCTAGGCTTCATGGGTGTAGGACCCTCCAAGCCAGGTGCGGGATATAATCTCCTGGTGTGCCGTTTGCTAACACAGTTGGAAAAGTGCAGTATTAGGGTGGGAGTGTCCTGATTTTCCAGGTACCATCTATCATGGCTTCCCTTGGCTAGGAAAGGGAATGCCCTGACCCCTTGCACTTCCTGGGTGAGGTGATGCCCCGCCCTGCTTTGTCTCACACTCCGTGGGCTGCACTCACTGTCCAACAAGTCCCAATGAGATGGACCCGGTACCTCACTTGGAAATGCAGAAATCACCCGTCTTCTGCATCGCTCACACTGGGAGCTGTAGACTGGAGCTCTTCCTATTCTCCCATCTTCGAACCGAGTCCACATAGCTAAATTCTTTATTATACAGTTAGACATTTGGATAACTTGTAAACACAGATTCTTACACTATAATATAATTTTCTTTCTTTTTTTTTTGTAGGGCATAACTTGAGTGTTTATCCTAATTTTGATGTTCCAGTGACAAGTCCTACAATAATGAATCTGAAAGACAAGGAAGATAACTGTATGGTAAATAGCAATTTATCTTTTAGGGAAGACCTTGTCTTGTCTACCATAAAACCATCCCAAATGGATTCTGATGAAGAAGTTATAAGGTGTCCAGAGCCAGGTGAGAATGTGGCCACACAAAATCATATGGACATGTGCTCTGAATCTCAGGTGTATATATCAATTGGTGAATTTCAAAACAAAGCAGGTGTGCCTGAAGATGAATGTTGGACTGGCCAAACATCTGATGCTGGGACATATCCAGTGGCAGATGTGGATACTTCTAGAAGGAGTCCAGGTCCAGAGGATGGACAGGCCCCAGTGCTGACCTACATTGACGTAAAATCTAGCAATAAGAACCCCTCCAGAGCTGAACCCCTGGTGGCCTTCAATGCTCAGCATGAGAGTAGGAGCTCTAGAGATAAGTATGGATTAGACAGGACTGGGCTAAGCAAAGTGGTAGTAGGTGGAAGCCACCAAAATGCCATCTCTTCAGACAAAACAACTCTCCATGAATTAAGTACTCTAGGAAAGGGAATAGATCAAGAGGGGAAGATGGTGCTGCTAAGCTTGAAACTCACCCCCTCTGAGCCCTGTGATCCACTAAGTTCTACCCTGAGGGAGCCCTTAGATATTAGGTCTTCCCTAAAGGACTCTCACACAGAAGAGCAGGAGGAACTCTCAGTGCTATCCGGGGTCATCAAGAGATCTTCATCCATCATATCTGATTCAGGCATTGAGAGTGAGCCAAGCTCCGTCGCCTGGTCAGAGGCCCGAAGCAGGGCTCTGGAGTTGCCCAGTGATCGGGAAGTCTTGCACCCGTTTGTTCGAAGACATGCCCTCCACCGGAACTCCCTAGAGGGTGGACACACAGAAAGTAACACAAGTTTGCCAAGCGGCATCCAGGCTTCTCTCACCTCCATTAGCTCTTTACCTTTTGAGGAGGATGAGCGGGAGGTGGCACTCACTAAGTTAACCAAGTCTGTATCTGCTCCCCACATCAGTAGCCCAGAGGAGGCTGCTGAAGATGCGGACACCAAGCAGCAAGATGGAGGTTTTGCTGAACCTTCAGATATGCACAGCAAGAGCCAAGGTTCCCCAGGATCTTGCTCTCAACTTTGTGGTGACTCTGGAACAGATGCTGGAGCAGACCATCCCCTGGTGGAGATAGTTTTAGATGCTGACAACCAGCAGGGCCCCGGATACATAGACATCCCCAAAGGGAAAGGGAAGCAGTTTGATGCTCAAGGACACTGTCTTCCTGATGGCAGGACTGAGAACACTCCAGGTGTTGAAACCAAAGGTCTTAATTTAAAAATACCACGCGTCATAGCACTTGAAAACCCCAGGACCAGATCTCTTCATAGAGCACTTGAGGAAACCCCAAAGGGCATGCCTAAAGACTTGAATGTGGGTCAGCAAGCTCTTTCCAACAGTGGCATCTCAGAGGTTGAGGGTCTCTCTCAACATCAGGTGCCTGAATTGAGCTGTACGTCAGCTGCTGATGCCATCAACAGGAACTCAACAGGCCAGCAAAGCCAAAGCGGTTCACCTTGCATTATGGATGACACAGCATTTAATAGAGGAGTGAATGCCTTCCCGGAGGCTAAACATAAAGCAGGCACTGTGTGCCCCACTGTGACCCATTCCGTTCATTCCCAGGTTTTGAAAAACCAAGAGCTGAAGGCAGGCACTTCCATCATGGGGTCCCATCTGACTTCTGCAGAGACCTTTACTCTGGACAGCCTGAAGGCTGTGGAGGTTGTGAACTTATCTGTGTCTTGCACTGCCACCTGTCTCCCTTTCTCATCTGTGCCCAAGGAGACCCCTGCCAGGGCTGGATTCTCTTCCAAACAGACCCTGTTTCCCATCACCCATCAGCCTTTGGGATCCTTTGGAGTTGTTTCTACCCATTCCAGCACGTTGGATGAGGAAGTCAGTGAGAGGATGTTTAGGTAAGCTGGCTGACGGGCTTACCTTTCCCACAACAGTCTTTTAGATTTTTCCACATATTTCTCCATTTCATGCATACTGTTTCAAAATTTAGATATCTGTGATTTTCTGATTTAAATAAGGTAATATACCATATTATAGATAATATATCATATATATTTAATTCATATCATAGGAATTTAAAATGCAGAATACTGAAAGGAAGTAAAAATGGTCAATAAGTCTACCTTCAAATGTAACCACTGTGTATATTCTTCTGCATTTCTTCTATGTGAATCTATATTGATTTATGCTTTTTATACAAAAATTAGACCATTCTGTACAAATGGCAATTGTAAATGTTTAATTTAATAATATATTAGAAATATCTTTCTATGTTTATAAATCTATGTTTGCATCATCATTGTAATGATTACACAATATTCTATTGCATGAATATACCATGACTTATTAACCAAATTCTTTACAAATGAACCTTTAAATTTTGTTCAACTATTTATTTATTTATTTATTTATTTATTTATTTATTGAGACAGAGTCTCACTCTGTCGCCAGGCTGGAGTGCAGTGACGCAATCTCTGCTCACTGCAGCCTCCGCCTGCTGGGTTCAAGTGATTCTCCTGCCTCAGCATCCCAAGCAGCTGGGACTACAGGCACCCACCACCACACCCAGCTAATTTTTGTACTTTTAGTAGAGACGGGGTTTCACCATGTTGGCTAGGATGGTCTCGATCTCTTGACCTCGTGATCTACCCGCCTGGGCCTCCCAAAGTGCTGGGATTACAGGCATGAGCCACAGTACCCCGCCAATTTTGTTCAATTTTTATTACGAATATTATAACTCTCTTATGAATATCATTGTACCTCTACCTTTTCATGTTTTGAAAGGGGAGTTCTTTGAGAGCCTTTGGGGAATACAATTCTTCACCAGATTTGACTCCCAAGCACCCTTTAACATTGTGGGGCTTCTAAGTTTACCTTTGTAATGCCAGAATTCATTTCCTCATCCTTGTATTGGGTTTGTATTCATATTGCTCTCCCATCTATAAACTATATATCTGATTATGTATATAATAGAATCATTTTGTCAAAACATCCCATCTTCTTTACCCTTTTGCAAAATGCTAAAGAGTTACATATTAACGGTGTCTCCAAAAGAAATTGCCACAGGCAGGTAAACATTGGATTTTTGTTTTATAAAGAATGTTAACTACCTATCATATGGTACTTGTCATTAATTCCATGAGTACACAGCAGACATAGTAGATGCTGTCCAGTGCCTGCCTGGTCAGGGTTTCCCTTGCTTTTATTGTACCTGCAGTCTAACGGAGAGACAGACACATGAGAGAAGTAGATGAGGGCAGTGACTGGGTAAATATGATGTTTCATGTGCGCGTGGTGGAGCCAAAAGGAGAAGCACCTAATTTGGCTTGGGGAAATGGGTGTGAATAGGGATAGCAGCCAGGCAAAGCTTCCTAGAGAAGATGGCATCTACTCTGAGAAGAAAATATGAGACAATGATGGTGATGATGATGATGATGATGATGAGGCTAATAACAGATAATAACAAGAAATAGTGAGTGTCAAATTTGAGATTCTGACCTTGGCAGTCTGACTCCAGAGTCCAGTCCCCTAACCATCATCTTGCCAGGTAACCAGACAAAGAGCATCATAGCTAAGTGAGAAAGGCATTTCAGGCACACAGGCCCTCAGGCACCAAGGCATGGAAGTAAAGCCAAGTCATGTAGTTCATGCAGAGAATTATAAGAAATGTGTTATTTGTGGAGGCTGGGAGTGGTGAGGAGTGGTGCTAGAGAAGCAGGGGAAGGCCAAGCCATGGAGGGCCTGGGTGTCAATCAAGTCAAGAAGCTTTCACTTTTTAAAGATTGCATGGGGCCTTGGAGCTGGGTAGAATCTTTGATGTCCTGTCACTCTGTCTCCTGTTCAATGCAGGAATCACATAAGCATCTGCAGAACCAAAACCCATAGAAGCTTCGGGGTTTTTTTGTTTTTGGTTTTCTCTTTTTAAAATTTTATTTATTTATTTATTTATTTATTTTTTTATTATTATACTTTAAGTTTTAGGGTACATGTGCACAACATGCAGGTTTGTTACATATGTATACATGTGCCATGTTGGTGTGCTGCACCCATTAACTCGTCATTTACGTTAGGTATATCTCCTAATGCTATCCCTCCTCCCTCCCCCCACCCCACAACAGTCCCCGGTGTGCGATGTTCCCCTTCCTGTGTCCAAGTGTTCTCATTGTTCAATTCCCACCTATGAGTGAGAACATGCGGTGTTTGGTTTTTATAGAGTGCTTTCCTGCCTCCTTGTTCAGAACAAAGCTTCACTCACTAGCATGTTCCCTGGGGGCTCAAGTCAGCTTTGCCACTCAGCAGGCACTTTGCTTGTGGGTGCTCAGCCCTTCTACATACCAGCCCAGCTCATTTCCTGTTCAACATGAAGTACACAGCTTGGCTTGTGATTAATTAGTGTATTCTCCAGTTTTTATCAGGCCAAAGAAAAATTTAAAAAAGAACTGAAGATTGAAGGATTTCTGTACAGTGACTTAACTGTACTAGCTTCTGATATACCATATTTCCCACCAGAGGAAGAGGAAGAAAATTTGGAAGATGGAATTCACCTGGTTGTCTGTGTCCATGGCCTGGATGGTGAGTTCTAAAACAAGTTTTCTTCCCAAATTCTGTCATATATACAACTTATAATATTTATGTATTAATTTAGATGAGGTATTCATTCAACAGAATGTTCAATTAGCAACTGTGGAATGACAGTAATTATGATGAATCTAAGGAAATGGTATGGCTTGCTGTTGAAGAAAATATCTCTCTGTCACAAAAAACCTGTTAAGTAAATAAAATACATGAATGAATGAATAAATGTAGCGAAGGAGTGAATGGAATAAATCAATACATAAATAAATGGAATAAATGATGAATACAATGAGTGTCAAAGTGAAAGAAAGAATGGAGTGAATGAATTAATGAAATTAATGTATTATGGGAATGAATATATTAATGAAGTGCATGAATACAGTAATTTGAATCCATGAATTCATGGAATTCATGAGTCAATACAATGGTCTGAATAAAGGAAGAAATGGAGAAGAATGAATAAATGTATTCATTTTGAGGAGCTCAGGTTAGTGGCCCAGACTATCTTGCTACCTATGTTTATTTACCTCCCACTTATAGGATACCTTTTGTATACCAGGGACTTTGCTAGGTTCTGGGATTTGCAGGAACAAAAAAACTTTCTCACTCATCAGCTCGATGTCATGCATGACCAGTCTGTTCCTCTCATGTATATGACACTAAAGTAAAATGAGATAAGACTCTCAATAACTTTGTTAAAATAAGAAATCGGATCAGGTTATAGGCAATTTTTTTTTCCATCATGCATGTGAAAGATGAGGAATGTTATAAAGATAGAGCTGCTTCACCCCTTTTGTACTGTCAGAAAACGGAGCCATAGATCACATTATCAACTGGGCAACAAGTCATGAAAACCACAACCGATACCAAGCATAGGGTGCTTTGGAAGATGACTTCTCTAGTTCAAGGTGCATATGTCTAAACTCTGCAGAATTTTCAGGATCCACTTGTTCAAATTCAATTTCCAAGGGCTTATTTGTATTAACAGAGAGCGGAGCACATTGATAACAGTTATGAATATTTACACAACTCTTCATGTTGTACAAAAACCTCAAGATTCGTATTCTTATAAATGTTCTCAGTTTATTAATAACACCTTATTAAATCATATTTTCTGAGAAAATTTTAAGTTGCAGAAAGTTCTCTTTCCCTCAGTAGCTGAAGGAGAGGGGGCCATTTCTACCCATTACTTAACACTTAATGCTGAATATAAACACTTGCAGCTTTTTTTTTTTTCCTAAGGCAGGCCCTGGCATATCATTAGGGAACTTTAAACAATAGAAACAGTGGGACCAAAGAGCCTAATTTTACTGACAAAAATGAAAGAGGGAATGAATAATAATTAACCTCATAACACAAAATGCACAGATTTCCTTTAAAAAAATGACCATTTTATGACTGTGACTCTACAAGTTTGGGCATGTACTCTGACAGGCCACCAACATAGGGGGCGTATGGGCATATCTGAGTCATCCTTAAGCATTAGAGATAACTCCAAACACCTGGACTTCCCCCAATTCCGTGTGGCACTTTCACCCTCCTTTGAATCATTGGGTAGTTTCATAAAGAATGATATTTGTCACTCACAGTTAACAAACTATTTTGGAACTATGACCTGTGGGGTATATTTACATGACAAAGTAGGTAATTTATATATCCAAATACCCAGCTTCTAACTTTCAACTGTACAGGGAACTTTTAAGAAATAGGACAAAAATTTATTAAGACACAATTGAACCCCTACGGCCAGCATTAAATTTATGCCTCACTATACTTCATATAAACCTTATTCTGTCGTAGTAAATCCATTTTTTTTTCACATGACTTTTATTTTGGGAATGCATTTCCTGTATTCTTTGTGCCTTGATAACCTTGCATTCTTAACCTTTCATTCCTCTGCCCCGATGGCCACTGCTGTGCCTCCGTAGAGCTTGCTCTGCCATGTCTCTTGTTCCCAAGAGACAGTCCTATTCTATTTAGATAACTGTGCCATGATTGGCCAGTTGGGAGGTAGGGAGGCTTGCAGATTACCTAGAAAAGGCAGCACTAGATAGTCTTCCTTTTAAGTAAGTAACTGAAGATGGGGCTCGTATGAGTCGCATTGTGCCCCATCAGCCATTCGAAAGAACTGCTTGCAAAATGGAATTTGCTGTGGAAGAAGGGGAGGTGGTGTATCTCCCACTGTTCCTGTATGCAGAGTGTTCACAAGCCACATGCTCACAGATCAGGGATAACTCTATCGAGGTGGGACCGCTAGAAAGAACCAGACTCTGAGTGTGGGGGGCCAAGGGGTAACAGGAGAGCCGGGGTTTCTAGCTGTTTTAGTTGTTTATATTATCTACTTAACCAAAAGTGACAAAACCCAGTAGAAATGGGGAAAGAGGGAGAGAGAAAGAAATTCCTCGTGTGTCAACCTTTTATATGACTAACTACGGGACTGGGATGGGGGTTATCTGTCATTTTTAGGGAACAGTGCAGACCTCCGGCTGGTAAAGACTTTCATAGAACTGGGGCTCCCTGGAGGAAAACTGGACTTCCTAATGTCTGAAAAGAATCAGGTATGATGATACAAATATCAGAACTGGAAGAACCCTGGATGCATGCTTATATGAGCCTCCTAAATGCACCATGATAATTTATGGACACACACAGATAGGAGGAGACCTTGAAAAGAGATGCTGGCCAGGCATTTGGATGGGTTGGAAAGAAGAGACTGTTTTATTTCGGGAGGGAGAGGAAACGGTAAGAAATGAGAACATGTGTATCGGTTGACGGGAGCCTTTGCCCTCACAGGGCATTAGGGTGGGTGGCAAGTGAGAGCATCAATTATTTGGATAATGACTCCCTTCCTAACTGTTGGCGCTCAGTTCTGCTGCCTTTACTTGGGCACCTGCTCTATACAAAGTTGTGCACCATGCAGTACACAGAGGTATAGATGTTGACGGAGAGAGAAGAGAATGACTTTTTGGAGCATCTGAGTACTCCGTACCTGTTTCCCCATTTTATCTTCATGGCAGTTCTATCACACATTGATACCACCATCTCCTCACAGGACAGGGAACACAGCTTCTGGGAGTTAGGCAGGGTCCATGTCAGGCTGTGCTGGAGAGGAGGATACTATATATGATCTCCAGGAAGGTAATTCCTGTGTGCACCCAACTTTAATACGTGAACAAATCTGATGCAGTATTCAGAGAGGATGGCTGGGCGCGGTGGCTCGCACCTATAATCCCAGCATTTTGGGAAGCCAAAGCAGTGAGATCGCTTGAGCCTAGGAGTTCAAAAACAGCCTGGGCAACAAAGTGAGACCCTTTCTCTCCAAAAAATACAAAAATTAGCTTGGTGTGATGGTGTGTGCCTGTATTCCCAGCTACTTGGGAGGCTGAGGTGGGAGGATCACATGAGCCCAAGGAGGTCAAGGTTGCAGTGAACTGTGATTGCACCACTGCACTCCAGCCTGGGTGAAAGAGCAAGACCCTGTCTCAAAAAATAAAATAAAACTAAACTAAACTAAACTAAAATAAAATAGGATAACCAGGCCAGTCAGAGGAGGGAGCAGGGAAGTGAGTGAGCAGCACTTGCTCACTTTGTGTTTGTGATTTGTGCTAGTGAGGTTTTCTTTTCAGGGAAGATAAGAATTGTTAGCAAGAGAGATCTGGTGAGGAAGTAATCCTTCCGGGTGTGCACATCCAGCAACTCTCTGATGCGGCTTCATGGCTGCTGGGTTCAACCTGGAAACCTCAGGTCTTTAGAGCTGGACCTTTACACAATTCACTTAATTGCAGGAGTTGGCCACTCAGTACTGATTATGCACTCATTGTTGTTACTTTTTGAAAGTTGTCTCATCAGCAGGTCCACTTGCAGTATATGTTAATATAGATTTAAACGCCTTGGCTGGGGAGTTCCTGATATTACTTTTTAAACCTACTGTGATTTCCAAAGCATAGCTCATCATGGTCAACTCAGGCCTCATAATTATAGCCACTTGTTTAAATAATGTATATGTTGAATTAACATTTTATAGATGAGGAAATAGGCTCTGAAAAGTTAGAGAAAAAAAAGCAGCATCTCTATTAGGTATATTTTACCTATTTTTGTTTGTTTTTGAAATGGAGTCTCGCTCTGTCACCCAGGCTGGAGTGCAATGGTGCGATCTCAGCTCACTGCGACCTCCACCTCCTGGGTTCAGGCGATTCTCCTGCCTCAGCCTCCTGAACTACAGGTGCGTGCCATCACGCCCGGCTAATTTTTTGTAGTTTTAGTAGAGATGGGGCTTCACCATGTTAGCCAGGATGATCTTGGTCTCCTGACTTCGTGATCTGCCTGCTTTGGCCTCCCAAAGTGCTGTGTTTACAGGCATGGGCCACTGCGCCTGGCCTATTTTACCTAATTTTTAACATGGCACTAAGGAGGTGGTGACACTATCCCCCTGTAATAAATAAGGAGACTGAGGTTTAGATGGGAAGCAACAGGTCCAGGGCACAGATCCCATAAGCAGAAGAGCTTATGGTTCTCTCTTGTTCCAGGAAGTCTTAGCAGTATGCTTTATTCTCTCGCGCCTCAAAGCTCATTGGATGGCAGGTGACAGAGACTCGTAAAGGTCTTCTCTTCACCACTCCTATCCTCCAACACGTACTCCTTTCTTCACAGGATAGACATTTGTGAGACATCCTATTCACTTTTCCTAGCTCTTGGCAGCCCATGGTGTTATAGACAGCTCCACATATGAGGAACTTTTCAAACATTTTTGGATATTGGCCCCAAATCTATTTCTCTTTGACTCTAATTCATGTTTCTAAAAGTTAGTCCTTGAGGTTATAGAAACCAATCTAATATATCTTCCTTGTTGCTGCCCTTCAAATATTCAAGGACATGTGTGGCATTCCTCCTCTTCCTTTGATCTCCTGGATCCTTCAACCATCCATCCTAAGACGTGGGTGACTTTACGATCCTTCCCAAAGCTGACTGCATACTCTAAAGGCTATGCCACAGAAAGGGCAGGGCCTTTGGATTCAGGCCTGTCTTGGTGTGAACGCTGGGTCATGTGAGGTGAATAGGCGGCCTCCCCTCCCAGAGTCTATTTCCTCCTCTGTGAAGCAGGGGCAGCAATCCCAGTGTCACGCTGACACGCCAGGCACGTGGTGTGGCAGTCGGCACCACAAGCTTGCTACTTCAGTGTCAGCCACCCTCCCAGCTGAGCGTTCCTGAGCATCTCCATGTTTCTTTCTTAGAGCCCCAGTCTGTGGGCCTTTTGTCCTGAAGTCATATCTTATCCTGTAGCCGTAACATCAGAGGTAGGCACATCCCCAGTAGGCGCCACAGTGTTTAGTGGAAGAACACAGGCTGTGCACAAAGCCCAGCCCCCGCCACAACCATACCCAACACCTGTTCCTCTCTCTTCTTCCAGATGGACACATTTGCAGATTTTGATACTATGACGGATCGGTTATTGGATGAAATCATTCAACACATTCAGTTGTACAACCTCTCCATATCCCGAATTAGGTAAAAGGAAACCACAGGTAGTTAATGCTGGGGGAAGAGGGGGGACATTTTTGAGTGTTTGCTGTATAAAAGCAATAATATGATGCCTTCTGTATACCACTGAGCTAAGCTAACTTGTGACTTTTAATAAATTACTTTTAAAGCAGAAGTAAGTACCAGGTCTGGCGTACACATTCATCTCTGCCATAGTTTGTGTCAGGGAGAATAAAAATTTTGTAGTTCTGTAGAAAGAGTCTTGGACTTAAAACAAAAATTCCTAGGTTTGAATTCTTGTTCTAACACTCACAAGTTGGAATCTTGTTTCTTGCCATGTACCAGATATATAACCTTTTGCAAGGTTTCTAAACCTCTAAACCTCTGTTTTCTTATCTATTAAGAGGAACTAGCACTGAGATGATGTTTGAAAAAGGCCGGGCGCGGTGGCTCACACCTGTAATCCCAGCACTTTGGGAGGCTGAGGCGGGCGGATCACGAGGTCAGGAGATCGAGACCATCCTGGCTAACACAGGGAAACCCCATCTCTACTAAAAACACAAAAATATTAGCTGGGAGTGGTGGCGGGCACCTGCAGTCCCAGCTACTCAGGAGGCTGACGCAGGAGAATGGCGTGAACCTGGGAGGCAGAGCTTGCAGTGAGCCGAGATTATTGCGCCACTGCACTCCAGCCTGGGCGACAGAGTGAGACTCCATCTCAAAAAAAAAAAAAAAAAAAAAAAAAAAAAAGAAGAAGCAGAATGAGTTGCCCACCCCAAAGAGAGAGTTTCAATCAGCACTACTTTTATTCTTACACTGTACCAAATGTTTCAGTGACGACAGTGCTAGTAAGCAGCTTGCATTTTTCATGCAATTGAATATGTAGACATAGTGCTAATCCCTTGATATACATTATCCCATTTAGTCTTCATATACAAAATATTACTTCTTTATTCCACAAATGAAGCCTATAGAGGTTAGATTTTTAAAAAAAAGAATAAAAGAAAAGCTAGGTGAGGCAGTTTCATAGGGTGACACTGATTTCTTTTCTTGGATGGTTTTATGCTCATCATGAGTAGAGGTGGGGAGGTATAGCCTCTCATATAATAGGCTCTCAATAAATAAGTATTTAACTTGAGAATAATGATTCATTGAACACGTGGGCCTGTGAGTAGCAGTATGGCTGGAGCAGAGCCTGCAGGAGGGGGTCTAACAGCATGGGCTGTGAGCAGGTGGTTCAATATATACACAGCGGGTGAAGGAGAGGATGAATGGCATTGTGAGGCCATCCGTATATGAATGGCCTCCCAAGCAGGATAAGGACTTGGGACTTGATCCTGTGAATGACCAGGAGATTTCAATGCTCAGAGGTGCATTTCAGGAAGGACCTTCCCTTCCCCCAGGTGGAATTAAAGCAGGCTGCTCTAGCAGCATGAAGCTGGCTGAAATGCCCACACTTCTCCCCTGACTGGGCACAAAGCTCCCATTCACAAAGACCCCATCTCAGGCTTCTCATGGCCAGTGTTTTGAAACCTGATGAGGTTGAGTTGGCAGTCCCTGTTCTCTTTGCCAGTTCCCCTACATTCAGTGGGAGGTGGAGAACAATGGCCCCTGATGCTTCCAGCACTGCACTCTTGGGCAGCAGCATTCACCGTCACACTCATGGGTACCCCTTCTGTTTCTCCACAGCTTCATTGGCCATTCTCTTGGCAACATCATCATCCGATCGGTCCTCACACGGCCCCGGTTCCGGTATTACCTCAACAAACTCCACACGTTCCTGTCACTCTCTGGGCCTCACCTGGGAACCCTGTACAACAACAGCACCCTGGTTAGTACAGGTAAGATTCTTCTAGGACTCGTCATTCCTCAGAATTAATCTGGGGCCTCTGGGGCGTGAAACCGGGCACAGGTACTTCCACTTGGAACCCTGTGACTGTGCAGTCTTTTCCAAGCATGGCATGGAGGGAGGAGTCCTGGCCTTAGAGGTGTGGCCCTTGTGTCTGGGGGCTGAGTGAGGTGACACTAGATGTTTTCCAGGATCATTTCTGCCTTCAAATTTCTGTGAAAAAAAGGCAATGTCTCTGGGGTCCTGGTTGGAAAAGACTGACAAGACACGGTGTTGTGATGAAGAGAACAGGGACTCTGAATCAGGCCACCTGCATGACAAACCTGTGGTTAAGTCCTGACCAGGACACTTGAGGGAGACTGTGGCCTAGACATTTAATCTCTGTGCTCCTCAGTCTTCCTGTTTGTAAAATGGAGGTTATGTGTGTGTGTATCTGTGTTTGTGTATATGTATGTATACATATATGTATGTGTACAAGCATGTACACAATGTAAGTATGTATACATATATATGGTGTGTAGGTGCATATGTGCATATGTGTATCATAGAATTGTTGAAGATTACACAGGGGAAGGAAATAAGGTTGACTAACATCTATGGGAGGTTAAATATATCAGCAAGAGTCAGACAAAGAAGGACCTCGACTGACTCCAGAATATGTTAGACTTACCCTGTAGACCTTGTAGATACTACTCATGAGATTTTACTGAGGAGGTGACATGGTTTGGTGTATGGAAGCCCAAGGAGGGCATTGAGTTTTATATGTAATAACAAATCGTTTATTAAATCATGTTCTTAACAACTACCTCAGTAGTCCCTGATTGTTCAAACCCATTATGTGGCATTAGGGTCACCCCTGATAAGCTTCCTTGTCCCTGCAATCTTCCAGGCCTCTGCCACTGTCCCCTGTCCTCTCCCACACTAACGTTGTTTCCTCATGGCCTGGTCAGTTTAGTTAGTTTGCTTTTAAGTTATTTTATGGCATACTTGTGAACATGAGTTATCCGACACAATGGCACATAACAAATGGAAGTCCTTTCCTCTGCACTCTGTCTTTCCTCCCAAACCAAGGAAGCCATTCTTTGGACAGAAACAAATTTGTTAAACTACATTTTTCCCCCACAGTTATAAAGGAATCTTGCAGCATCATAAAATATTTTTTAAAAAGACAGACTTTACCAATAATATCTCCAATCTAGCATATCCAGAGTAATTTTATATATTTCATTCTACTTATCTTTGTGCACACACATTGACGTAGCAGTCAGTGTAATATATGTACATACCATAGCTTGCTTATTTCCTTGTGTTTCTATCAGATTAATTTGCTTGTTGTGGTTATGTAATCCTTACACTCATCAATGTTAGTGTTTGCCTAAGCTTAGCTAAACGCATGAGATTTTTGTTGTTGTTGTTGTTTTTTGAGAGAGAGTCTTGCTTTTGTCGCCCAGGCTGGAATGCAATGGTGCAATCTCGACTCACTGCAAGCTCTGCCTCCCAGGTTCAAGCAATTCTTCTGCCTCAGCCTCCCAAGTAGCTGGGATTACAGGTGCCTGCCACCATGCCTGGCTAATTTTTTAATAGAGTCGGGATTTCACCATTTTATCCAGGCTGGTCTCGAACTCCTGACCTCAGGTGATCCACCCGCCTCGGTCTGCCAAAGTGCTGGGATTACAGGCATGAGCCACCATGCCCAGCCAACAGATGAGTTGTGAAGTGAGACATTTATTTTAGCTTTACTGTATCCTAAATGTATCTGTAAGGATCATTTTATATTCTTTTCGCATTGAAAATTATTACCCTAGGCTTCTTTTTCGGAAGGAGATTGACTGGATTGAAGAGTGTGGGTAGTTTCTTACTCCGAAGGCTGTTGTCCTGTCATCATTTTTGCAGGATGATTTAAGTCCTTTCCACCAGTACGTGAGAGGACAAATTTACCTCTAACTTCCCAACTATTTGCTAGTATGCCTACTTCTCTCTTATTTTCAAGTTAACTAAAATTCAGTTTAACGTTCATCTCACCAAAATTCCATCCCAGTTAGTTTTTGTTTTGTTTTGTGTTTTTGATTTTTATTTTGTTTTTGTCTTCCTAGGCTTATGGCTCATGCAGAAACTGAAGAAATCCGGGTCTCTACTGCAGCTGACCTTCAGGGATAATGCTGATTTGCGCAAATGTTTCCTCTACCAACTAAGCCAAAAAACAGGTCAGTGGTTTCCCCCACAGCTGCAGTTATGAGTTTGAGCTTGGGATTCAACTCCTGAGACACAAATGAGATATAATGCTACATTGATTCACTCACAGAAGGGCCTAGTCAGGAGGCCCAGCACTCAAAGCCTCTTTGGCTCATTGGGAGGCCAACAGCTACCAGGAACTCAGCTCCTCTTGCCCATTGCCCATATGGCACGTGAGAGATTGAGCCAAGGTGTGTGTAAGATCATTTCAATAGCCAGAAGCTGTAGCTTCCACTTTGTGCCAGTTTTTCAATGTTCTCATTGCATAGGCCTAAGATCTGTGTGCCAGCTTCACCCAGGTACAGGCCCATCTACAAAAAAGGCAGATGCAACATTTTCCACTGATGTTGACTGTGCAGTGGGAGACGGGGGTCATTGTCAGGCAGGCCTGCTATGATACCTGCACCCTCTCTCTGTCATGTGGAAGTGCATAGAGGTGTTGAAGACCCTACCTGCTACATGGGAATGTCCACAGAGGACAGCAGTAATGGTGATCATTGCCGAGTGGTCCCCATGTCCAGTCGGCGAGTGGAGCAGCTGACTGATTGCCCTGCTCAGTCCCACCACACAAGCTGGCCTGGCCCAGGGTCTGTTCTTGGTCACAATCTTCCACCGTCCTGTAAACACTGACTCTGCTGATCCCTCTGTGCCTGTGAATCTGGTGTAGCCACGGGCTCATCTGTGAGCCTGGCTGAGTTCCTTTCCTACTTTCTGCCTCTGTGTGTTGAGTTGAGCTCTTAGAGCTATCTCCTGTGGAGGAGGAGGAGGGAGGCAGGGCTTGGCAGAAGAAGGTGGGACTGCAGTGTGATCACTGTAGAGTCCATCAGGGGTGCAGGAGCTGGGGTGGCCCTGGAGAGCTGTCCTGAAGGAAGGGGAGGGGCTGACCATTACACCTTTGTCTTCCTCGCCCATGTATTGGCCAGCTGTTGAAGTAGGCTGCCCCCAATGTGTGATGTCTGATGAGGGGACCCACACTTCAGTAGGGCACACATAGCTAAGAGCTGACAGCCGCCCACCCAGCAGGATCTGGGGAATGAGAAGGACAGTCTCAGTACAGATGGAGTGTCCGGGTAGTCTGCAGTGCTCAGGAAGTTCACGATGGGCTCTGAGGCCTGCAGGGATACACTGTGATGTTTAATTTGAAGGGTCCCTCTGTCTGCATTGTGGGGACAGATTGCAGGAAGGCAAGACTGGCTGCAGAGAGGTGAGTTCTGAGGCTGTTTTCCTAAAGCATGGGACGTGGTGAAGGCTGGAATTAGGAGAGGTGCTGGAGTTGAGGAGGAAGAACAAGATAGTCAGACTGACTTTTCCTTATGAACCCCTTAATATTTCTATCCCCAAAAGGCTTTTTTGGTCCCATTCTAGTTGCTTATTTCTCTGTGTCCAGAGTAGCTTTCTGTGTGTCTCCTTAGCTTTCATGGCTGATGAGAGCAGGCTTCATCTCCCCTCACAAACGCAAAGCCCCTGCTTAGTGACTTCTTTTCTCAACCTCCCATAGGCCCCCGCGATACCTCTATGCCATCTGCTGTGCATTGTTAAACCTCAGGACAGAATGTCCTTGTGTGATGACACTAGTGTGTGGTGTGTCAACATTTTTTCTCTCTATAGGACAAGTCTGGAAATTTGTGCAAATTTCCAGAGGGTGTTGAAGTTGAAACTACCTGGGTAAAAAGCACTCATCTGGCTAATTTTTACAGGGCTGCAGTATTTTAAAAACGTCGTGCTGGTTGCTTCTCCCCAAGACCGTTATGTGCCATTTCATTCAGCCAGGATTGAAATGTGTAAAACTGCCCTCAAAGACAGACACACAGGTAAGCTACATTTAATTTTTGCTCAGGGACTTTCTAATTTGAAAAGCAAAAGTAAATTCATGGAATTGACTGCCTATTGGGAACACCTGGGCTATAGGTTTAGTGCTGCATTTATCTTAGCTTAGTGATAGGACAAACATAGCTCATCTCGATGTTACTGTGCCAGATCCTTCCTTTGTGTAATAAACAGTCACATGTTTATTAGATTATGAAACTTCTGTTCAGTCCTATTGTGTGCCAGCCACTGAAATTGATGACTGGGATGTATAATTCAATGAGACAGGCCCTGCCCTCAAGGGGCACATTGTCTAGTTGGAGCCTCGACAAGTAATAGCAATGAGAGTAAAATGTGATAAGTCAAAAAATAAAATAATGCCTAAGGCATTAAGGCAGCCCAGAAGTGGAACAGGACATAGGACAGAGTCAGACGAGGATCCCTGGAGATGACAATGAGTTAGGTTTTAAAGGATAGGTAGGAATTTTCCAGACAATCAAGATGGATGTGGGCTGGCATTTGTGGTTTCCTTTGGTTAATTTGTTTAATTGTTTTTTTTTAAAAACATGTTTTTAGCTTTTAATTTTGAAACAATTTTATACTCAAAAAATGTTGCAACAACAGTACAAAAAATTCCTGCATACGTTTCACTCTGATGCCCAATATTAGCATCTTACATAACCATTGTACCATTATCAAAATCAGAAAATTAATACTGATTCAATATTATTATCTAATTTCTAGACCTTATCTAAATTATGTCAGTGTCCACTAATGTCCCCTTTCTCTTCCAGAATCCAATCTAATTTGTATATTTCTATGTCAGGCATATTGATTATTTTTTAAGTAAATAGTAGTTTTGTTATATTTTAAGGTACTATCAAAAAATAGTGTACCAAAGGTCCAAAGATTTGGTGCTAATATATAATTGGGTCTATTCCAAATTTTCCCTGGTATCTAGAAAATCCAACAGGAATTTTGATGAAAAAATTTTTAAAAATTAGTTTTAATACATAAAATAGCATTGTGTTTTATACCATCTAGTATATGTAATGAAAAGTAACACAGGGCATATTCTAAAATGATTCTTTTTTTCTGATTAAAAACATTATAGAATATTTGAAAAAGTCAAACTCATTTACATAATTTATGATCCTTTCTAACTCCACCTCTATCACTACCTACTTTTCGTGTTCTTCTAGTCTGTCTCTTCATGTGTGTTCATGATAAATGTTATAATTTTGTGTCATGATTTGATTTAGAGTAATATAGTTATTTGTCCATGTTAATAAAATATCATAAATACAAACACATTTTAATAATTATAGACTATATGCATATACCATAATTTAACAACTTCTCAATTACTGCACATAGAGCTTGCTTCTGGAAGGTTTCCTTTTTAGTTATTATGTGATGAAAGACTTTGCATGTGTAAACTTTTAATACATCTATGGTATTTCATTAAAATCGATTTCTAGTAGTGGTATTATTGGAGGAAAATGTTAATGAGTTACTACTCTTAAAGTTTTTTGCCAAATTCCCTTCTAAAATATTGATACCAGCAACACGTGTACTGTTAGAGTATATTCGTGCCTGCCTATCTCACTCTACTGTCTCTCAGATTAAATATTAATTTAAAGATATTTGCTTATAATTTTTCAGCCTGAATTTTTAAATATTGATGCTTTTTTATGTATATTTTTAATCCATTTTTAAATATTTTCTAATTGCCCATGGGACATCATTATATGCTAAGACCTGTGACAATAAATAAAGAGTCAATGATCTGGTTTTCAGTTCAGACTTGACTAAACATAGCTGTGGTCAATAGACAGCCAAACTGTTTCTTTGTGCAGGGATTTGCTAATTTTCCTTGCCTACTTTCTTGTCTCCCTGACATAGAGAAATATTTTTGTTGACATTTCAACCTTGGTAAAGCCTTAAGAACAGAGTTCAACAACTATGGTCCACAAGCCAAATTCAACCCATCTCTCATTTTGTAAATAAAGTTTTATTGAAACATAGCCACACCCATCATTTACATATTGTATATGGCTGCTTTCACGCTAGAATTCAGAATTATGTTGAGTAGTTACACTGCGCGTCCTGGAAAGCCTTAAATATTTACAGAGAAAGTCTGACAACTCCTGCTCTAGCATAGCAAATTGTATTTATTATGGGCCGGGCACAATTCATGCGCTTTGCTTATCTTATTTGATATTCACAATGGCCATTTAAGGAAAAGGGAGTGTATCTTCAAAGGATATTAATATATGACTTAAATTGATTAATCTTCCTGTTAGTCATCTTAAGAAAAAATCGCCCTCTCTTTTGTTAAACTTATATTTTCTGTTACATTTTTACACGGACATCAAAGAAGTGTGGCTTAATTGGTGAATTAAACAGATTGGGAGACTTGATATGAAGTTTAGTTTATACATGATTATCACTTTTTTTTTTCTGGAAGAAGTACCAATATTTTTATTTTTCAAAAATTCTGAAATAAAATACCTCTCAACCTCTCTGACTTCACATAACCTTCCAATTTATTCTCTACATTGTCATGTAGATAATTTGCCCCTATCCCAAAAGTCCATCAATTTAAAAACAGTGCTGTATTTGAGAAAACATATAAGAGTTTGCTATAAATGTTAAAAAATATACCAGTGATTGCCTCCAGGGCTTATGAAACCAATCAAGGTCTCAGCAGAAAATGATCTGGTTGAGTAATCACTACATTTTGAGTGACTTTTTTCTTTAAATAAATGACCTTCTGACCTTTATTGCATATACAATTTAAACAAATTATGGTATTTGTGTAACAATATATGCTTCTATTTCCATTTATTGGCAACATTTATTCATTATTCTTGTTATTACATAATATTCACATACATCATTTAAAAAATATTATTACGTAATGTTCATAAACATCATTTTAAAGGAGCACAGAATTGTTTAGCCCACAAAGCATGGTTTACTTAACTATTCCTCTGATGCTGAATTTGGCTGACCTCCCTTTTCCCTTGGAAGGACTATTTCATACATAAAATTACTGTGGCATAACCTCACATCATATTATTGCCTGTTGTAATGACCGCTACTCTAAGACATTAATGGGCTCTTGGGAATGACCATACCATTTGTTTTAACCCCAAATTCTTTTTAGCTGAATTGACATGGCTACAACGAAATCCCTAATTATTTCAATTTCACGTTACAATTCCCTTTACGTCAAAGCTCCTACCAAGACCCTAAGAAGGGGGGGAAAAGAAACACCCCCAAATACATACCCCATGCGTGATGGGGGGGTCCAGCTGTCCATCCCAGTCTGGGAAAGCAGACCTCTAAGTACTCTCCCCTGCTGATAACTGGAGGGAAAAGGAAAACGGTGTTGAGTTCCTTCACGTGGCATGAGAGAGTGTCCAGAGTGAGGCTGTGGACTGTTAAACTCAGAATAAGCTCTCTTTCATCATCCAAAGTGACTGCTCTACTGGCTTTGTAAAACAGACCCGGTTGTTTGGAGTGGGTACCCAGAAGCTCACCTGACTTACAACTTCCAATTACTGTCTCCCCAGTTGGTCAAAAGTAAAATATCCCAGCTCTCAGGATCATTCCAGAAAGTGTCTGTCAATGATACAAAAGTTGTCATAAACAGTTTTTCAGAAAAGAAGAACACAGGGCTGGGAGATATGAATCGTAGATCCAGGTGTGCAAATCTATCTATTGTTCAGCAATTCAATTGCACTGCATGGCTCCAAGACCTCCATGGCCTGAAGCAAAATTGCAACTGTGTCACTTTCAGGTGGAAACAGTCAATTCAGACTAACAATTGTAAAAACAAAACAAACCAACATAAAGAAAACTGCATTCTCCTTCTTTGGAATCAGAGGAGTCGGGTGAAATGCCACATGGCTTCCATTATGCATGACATCAGAAAATGTCTGCTTTCAATTCTCTATTGAGCTGTGTTTCCAACCCCCAAGATCCCCTGAAATAGAACTTGAAACTCTGAGGGTCCTCTCTGGTGTTGGCCTCCTTCTCTGCTACCCTGCTGGGAGGTACAGCTATTATTGAGAAACACGAACACTGCTATCATAACTTCCGGTGCATGGGTTCATAAAGCCGCTATTAGGAATCCCCTTCTGACTTCTGGCTATTGTCATCTGACTAGAAAAAGAGAACTTTGATTTTATTTCATATTAATTTCACTAACATTAGGAAGAGGTTGGAAACTGCTGTATAACAGGTCTGCCCAGGAACAGAATTTCGACACACATCTAGTGATGTTCTCTAGATTCCACTGCTAATTTCTGCACCAGCTTCATGTCCTTCTTCCCCACTTTACAGGGCCAGTTTATGCAGAAATGATCAACAACCTCCTGGGCCCTCTGGTTGAAGCCAAGGACTGCACTTTAATCCGACACAACGTGTTCCACGCCCTGCCCAACACTGCCAACACCCTGATCGGCCGAGCCGCTCACATCGCTGTGCTGGATTCAGAACTCTTCCTGGAGAAGTTTTTCTTGGTGGCAGGACTCAACTACTTCAAGTAGTGGCTTTGAGGGAGCAGGTCTTTGGTAATGCTTACGATCGGTGGAGAGCTTTAGCTGAGACCTGCTTTTACAGACCTCACCATTTCAGAATGAAGCTTCAACAGCATTGGGGGACGGAGGCTCGGGTGGAACCTGACATGAGAGGTGCTTTTGTTTTGGAGATTCGAGAAAGCTGAGCAAATAGACTAAATGACAACAAACTTTGCTTGAATTTGTATAGTTACCTGGAGTGTCATTCAAGATGTTTTCTAGGAAAAATATGAGAGAATAAACAGAATACTTGGGAGTTGGTGAGCTCCCCTTGCTAGCCACTACTGGCTTACTGAGAGATTACTCCAATTTAACTAGACTTGCCGAATATGTTACTAGCTTATAGCTTTATCATTTCTGATTAAGTGCACACAAGCATTTCAGAACTCAGGTTAATCTCTGTGCAGCAGTGGAACATATTTGTGTAAATAGAATCCTCAATAGATTCAAATGTGTCAGTTGTTCAAGAAAATGTGATGCCCATATTCATATTCTCTCCTCATGTTTTCTAAACAAGGGAGCAAGGAATGTGTTACAAATCCCAGTTCTATTTCATAACAGCAGTGAGCAGGGTGACTTAAGGTAAAGAGGGATAAAGGTGACACTATTGGTAAATACAAGTTTGTTACAAAGAAACATGACTCTAGGGACATACTGAACTATGAATAGTTGCTCCACCTACTTCCCCAGAATTCTTCTATGCAGAGCCCTGATCCACAAATTATTTTAGTGATTGCTTACATCTTTGTCTGTAGTAGGGAACACTGAGTGAGACTAACCTAGCAGAAGGGGGCACTGAGATGAATGCACACACGTGTGAAGCTCCTGCTGATACACTTCCAAAGACATGCTATGTTAGCATTTGATGCAATTGCAAAAAATTAAATCCATTAAAGTGGCCAGCTGCTTCTCCTCTCCATGGAAGGAGGAAAACATCTAAATGGAGGAGTGCTGGATTAAAACCTCAGGGGAGCTCTAAGAAGGGTGCTGGCTATCTTTCAATAGAAATGTCTTCTTGCCTTAGGAAAATAAAGGGCTAGGAAAGGTCACTGCGTTGATAAAAACCAATAGACGACAGGGACAAAAGTGAGATCAGATAGGAGGAGAACAACCAGACTGAAGACTCAACATAAGCTGTTATTGGTAAGTGACTCAAAGGGGAGTTTTGAAAATTACCAGGATGTTTAATAGTCAGGTCTCAAAGACTGAGTATGTTGTATGGGCTAAAGTAAGCCTAAAGAATCATTTCGTTGTATGGAAGAGATGAATGAACCTGGACAGTAGGGATAAGTAAGACAGGAGCCTAATCTTTTGGAGATGAAAGCTCCTGCTTCTGCAAAAATCCCTTCTGAAGTGTGGAAACGCATCTAGGACCAGGGTTCTCAATACCTAGACCATGACTCTAGGTCACTGATGCCATGGTAACAAAACCAAGTAAATCTAAGCTCATTTGAGAATTTTAGATCCTCTTATGTTAACAATGTGACTTTGAAAAATAAAAGCAGACCATGGGAATGAGTCCAGATGGGCAGCTTTGCAGGAGTGTAGACATGTGGTATTCTTTTGAAGAAAGAGAGGGTCGTTGAGGGAGAGTTGAATGTCTTGCAAAGGCAGAGTTCCACACAATGGATTTAGGGTTTCTCAGTGAGTCCTTTCTAAATGCTTGTTATATCCTGGTCATAATGCATATGGGTTCACTGAGTCCTCTGGTCACTTTC